>NC_000002.12:3646363-3949393 GCF_000001405.40 Homo sapiens | reverse complement strand
ATAGTCAGTAAACACGTGTTTCCCGGCCATTTATAAATGTCAGAAGCCATTGATCTTCCATCAGGAAGAATCCTGAGGCTCCTCGCGGTCCCCAGGCAGGCTTGCAGTATAGCAGCATTGCCTTGCATCCTCAGGGTCTCAATGTCAGCTGAGCAATAGCAGCAAGACCCTCAGGTGCTCACTGAAAGCATCTTCATGGAATGTCGGATAATGCCATGGAATTCTTTGTAGTTATCGTTTTTAATATGAGTTTCTATAAATCAATCCTTGAGTTGCCCTGGTTTTCAAACATTCATGTTTAGGTAGATTTAACATTAATTGATCAGCAATCCTGATTCAGCAGATCTGGGGAACACACCCTTCCATGAGCACTCCACAGCTTCTAAGTGTGGTCCTCACGCCACCTTTTACGAATCACTGTTGAGCTGCCGTATGGGTTTCTTAGACACTTGTGGAAATTGTACCAAAGCATATTTTGAAACATTTGCCTCAGAATTATACGAAAGCTGTTGAACGAAAGGTGATTTTTGGTTTCACTTTTCCCCACTATGGAAAAGAAAATGGAGTATAATGTCAACCTTTACGAAGCCCTCACTATGTGCCAGGAACTGTGTGCTGAGGATTTTTAGATCATTTCATTCTCATGGCAACCTGTGGCGCAGGCATTATGGTCACCACTTTATAGATGAGGAAACTGAGGCTCCGGAAACGCGTGCTGGAGCTTGCACAGTTAGAGAGTGGCAGCGGGAAGGTTCTTTTCTTGTTTTTCTCTTAGAAATACAAAGGTCAAATATGTTTATTTCTGTCTATTTTCCATTCTGTTGCTAAACTTCATTCTTGTTACAGGACATGTTTCTTCATGAATAGCAGACTACACAGTTTTCTTTTTCTGTCAGAAAGATAAAAACTGAGCAGAGAAATATTTATCTCAGCCGGAGGAAGGAAGGAGGTACACTGAGAACACAGCCCTTGCAGACAAGTTTGAGGAAAACCATACGATGTGGGGCTTGACGGCCTGAACACCGTGTCTTGTCAGCTATGTGAAGAACACTGTGAGACAGCTCTCCAGGAAACACAATACCATCATTCAGTCACACACGCCATGGTAGGTCGCAACGTGATAAAAGTAGATTAGTGCAGCTTTCAGCAAGCTCCTACCTGGGAACAAGCTGAGGTTTCCCAGCTTGTTGACCTCTCATGAAAATGAAATGCATCAGGGCATGTGGTCCTCCTCAGGGAAATCCTTTTACAAAACTGAGCACTTCTGGAAACAAAGCACAGTATAGCCTCTGGAGATAGGAAGAAAAGTCTCACCTAAAACTAAACATTGGACACATCAGTCAACTGAAAAAGTTTCGTGAGGAAGTATCTGAGAGGGACCCAGGACCAGAGCAGAATGGGTAACCACGGCACCAACTTTTTGTTTTTTTTAATTATACTGTAAGTTCTGGGATACATGTGCAGAACGTGAAGGTTTGTTACATAGGTATACATGTGCCGTGGTGGTTTGCTGCACCTATCAACCCATTTTAAGCCCCACATGTATTACATATTTGTCCTAATTCTCTCCCTCCCCTTTTCCCCCACCCCACAACAGGCCCTGGTGTGTGATGTTCCCCACCCTGTGTCCATGTGTTCTCATTGTTCAACTCCCAATTATGAGTGAGAACTTGTGGTGTTTGGTTTTCTGTTCCTGTGTTAGTTTTCTGAGAATGATGGTTTCCAGCTTCATCCACGTCCCTGTAAAGGACATAAACTCATTCTTTTTTATGGCTGCATAGTATTCCATGGTGCATATGTGCCACATTTTCTTTATCCAGTCTGTCGTTGATGGGCATTTGGGTTGGTTCCAAGTCTTTGCTATTGTAAAGACAACAAAAAACACAAATGCTGCACATGGGTGTCCATGAGTTGAGTTTCTAAAGAGCCCATCAGCCTCAACTCCACAGTGAAAAAGAGCAGGCACCTTCTGGAATCAGATCTCAAAGCTCTAACTTCAAAGAAGCCTCTTTAAAATGTATATCATGGTCACGCTTCTCTGTTACCTGGCATGAAGGACCAAATGGTACTCTGTTGCTTCTTTGCAAATGACCTTGACGCCTTGAATCCATAACACATTTTCCACATGAGAAGCTGTGGCCTGTGAGCAAAATACAGGGAGGAGGGAGGGGCACAGCAGCCGGGACAGGCGGGCACCTCCAGGTGGCTGCCAGCCTCTCGGCTCATGAAGCAAATGCAGAGTTGCAGTACTGCTTCTCCTCTGTTAGGATTTTTTTTTTTTTTTTTTGGAAATTCAAACTAATATGTAAAATTAGAAATATTTCAAGTCCTTGGTTTTAAATATCGGTTTGAAAATTGGTTTTAAATGTCAATATTGGTTTTAAAGTTGGTTTTAAATGTCAAAGGGGAAGGCTCTAAAGCCATCTCCCTGCACCACCACCTCTCATAGGAGGCCTCATAGTCACATTTATATTTTACATACATATTTATATTTTACACACATATTTATATTTTACACTCTGTTTAGATGCAATGGATGTCTTATCATGAAATGGTAAACTTCCAAATAGCATGCATGGTTAAAGAGTTTTTGCTATGGAATAAAATTCTCTATGATTTCATCCTGATTGGGAGCTTTCCAAAGTAACCTCGCTTTAATTTCAACCACAAATACTTTCTAGAACCTACTATTTTTGTAGAACTTTGTAGGATATCATACAAAGAAATACAAAGTGAGCAAAGCCCTGACCTCAGAAAATTTGTGCTCATTGCTGTCTTCATTGCTACTAATAACTGTGACCTAAATGGGCAAGAAAGACATCACCACAGAGGAATAAAGAGAAAGCGCCAAATGAGTGGTCCCCCCGCAGCTCAGATCTCTAGACAGAGGAAAGGAAAAACCTAAGTGTGGGGAGCTGCTGTGCAAGACGTTGCCACTCGGAATACTCTTAGCCACCTCCCTGCTTTCAGCTCCATCCCCTTCCAATTCTCTCCTCCCATAATCATACATTGGCTTTCTAAAACTTCTCTAAATATGCCATTTTTCCTTCTCAAACACTTTCATTGTTTTCTGTGTCTACAGACACAGGCCACGTAGCCTGACCTGCAAAGCCCTCCAGGCCTGGCCCCTGCCCCTGCATTTCCAAGGAACTTGGGTCGTTCCACTTCACCCCCTTTGAGCTTCCATGTTTCTGCACATGCTCTTCCCTTGGCTTGTCACATCACTCCTCCTCACCTGGGTCATCCTCATGAACTTCTGTTTGTTCCTCAAGGCCCTGGTAAGCACTTCCCATCTCTGAAACCTTCCCTATCTTTCAAAACAGAAGAACACACTTTCTCCCCTGAGTCAGAGCCATGGACACCTTCCATGTTTGAATTATAATGATCGTGTCTGCCTTTCCTTCAGACCTACAGAGGGGTGTGTGTGAGTGTGTGTTCCAGTGATTGTGTCTGCCTTTCCTTCAAACCTACAGAGGGGTGTGTGTGCGTGTGTGTTCCAGTGATTGTGTCTGCCTTTCCTTCAAACCTACAGAGGGGCGCGTGTGTGTTCCAGATATTCAACATGGATGGGCACATAGATGTTCCAGGTATTCAAAACTGTCTTAAATGAATATCGGTCAGAGGAACCTGTACAAGTCCTTGGAAGATGTAGAAAAGCTGAGAGAAGGCAGGACATCCAATATATAAACCAGCTTGAATGTTCAACATGGATTCTCTCCTGTAGCTGAGAGAACAGGGAAATAGGAGCTGGGCTTGAAAAAATCATGTTGAATTCAAATTCTGAAAAGTCTTGAAGGCCAAGTGAAGGAATAGGAACTTCATCGTTTGTGCAAAATCTTCATTGAAGTTTGTAAACAAAGGTGTGGCTTGATGAATATAGTATTAAAAGATGAAACCAGTCATGATATCCCAGCAAATTGGAGCAGGTGGGGCATAACTGCAACAGAGCTCTCATGAAGAAAGGAGGCAGGAATCCACGACTAGAGATTGCAGGAAATCACGACAGAATGCCGCAGCCTGGCTGTGGACAGGGCTTTGGTAAGCTATGGCTTCTATACATCAAGGGCCCCCTTATATTGGCCATGGTGCAAGGTTGGTGACAAGCCAACATATTGTAGGTTTTGAACAAAAGGGGAAAATGTGTTTACAATAAAATATGGATCTCGCCATCTTGATTATGATTCCCATTGCCAATTCAGCATCAGACAATTTAATTTAATTTTTGTTCCAGAGTTGTCAAAACCTTTCCTTGTTTGTTGGCCAGCTCTCTGGATGTACTATCACAATGCACACATTTCCATACTGAACAATTTGATTTTGACAGGGATGATATTTGGATATATGCTCTTTGTTTATAAAAAGATCCAATCAGCATGTGAGGGCAAAGGAGGGCAGGCACGGCTCCAAGGAGGCCGTGTTATAAACTAGCACATAGCATACAGTTATGTGTGCTTGGTGCTGACAAGGTGTTAGGAAGGCAATTTTTCCAACCAAAGTCATCATGATGAGCCCCTGGCTGGATACACAAAGCTAAAATATAAACATCAAATTTATGTAGTACATTTAGGGTCTTTCATAACAGAAATTATTTTTGTGTCAGGTACCATCTATCATAAGAGCACATATTTAGAAAACTTTTTGAATGCATATTAGCTACCTGATAGACTGACTGCAATAGCTCTTTTGAAATTACTGCAGTCTATCATGTATAGATGGAGATGTGGGTCTTTTGAAAAAAGAAAATGTATATGATGTATCCAGTGGAGCAAAACAGCCTCTCTGAGTCCTCTTGCTCTATTATATTAGTCCCTGTAAATCAAGATTTATTTAACCTTAGCTCCTTTACAAGGCATTGAGACAACTGCACCATGAAAATGTGATAAAACAAAATGAATTAGGCCTTTGACATGATAATTGGCAATGGTTCAATACCACTTCACTTTATGTTGCAAAGTTACAGTGACATTATCCTCACTTGCTGATTTAATCTTCCTCTTCGGAACATCCCCTCCTCTGAGGGCACCTTGCTTAAGTGGAGAGCTCGGGCCCTGTTAATTTTGGCATTGTTTCATTGTTTGCCTGGAAACACCAAAGTCCTTGGGAAGGATGTGAGGGAAATGGCAAGGACAGGGAGGTGCCCTCTCTGGAACCTGATCTCCAATGAGTCTCCTCCTGAGGACTCTCTGTGTGTGCAGTGGCTTCAGGGACGAGGGGAGGAGGAAGGAATTTGGGGCGTTGTTTTCATTCATTCATTGGGCTTAGAATTTCTTAAGGCAAAGATTAAAAACTTGTCTACTACCTTATGCTGAAATAAATTTTCTACAGGTAGAAACTTATGTACAGATTTCTATATTCCTATTTCTATGGTTCAATATAAAGAAGAACCCTTTTTTATCATTTTTTTGTTTTATGAAATCAAATTCCAACACTGCCTTTCTGAAAGACCTGAGGATGAAATTTCACTTTCTTTGATCAAATCTAGACAGTCTGTCTGTCGTGTCTAGAGAGGGTTTAGGTTGAAGTGACACTAGGAGTGCTAGTATTTCATTATTTTGTTAAAAGGAGCATTTTTGTCTTTGGCTGCCCCAGGAGGTCTTTCATGCTTTCACAGACTTACCCTGCTTTGTACACGCACACATTCAGGATAAGTCAGCTGTCGTGAATCTCAGTTCACGTTTTAGAGATCTGGGCAGCCCGCCGTGCAAGAGATGGAATCGTCTAGTGGTTAAGAATGGGTGTGTTGGAGTCAGAATGATTTAGAGGCAAACTAACACTGCTGTGTGTCTTTGGGAAAGTTACTTAATCACTCTGAGTCTAAGTTTGATCATCCGCAAATCCAGCCAATTGTACTACCTCAGAGGGTAGTGAGGACAAGGCGAGGAAACGCACCCCAAGGGCGCACAGGGAGGTTCCCTCTTGCAGTCTCTTCTCCCCAGGTGCGCAACAGCAGCCACTGGGCCCACAGGAAACACAGGTGAGGAACAGGCAGACCCTGACCCAGGGAGCTTAGAATACAGGGTGGATAGGAAAGCAAAAGTCTAGCTGTAATGTCGGTGGCACCCAGAGAGGGAGTCCGGGGTGCGAGAACTTCATTTGGTGTCAGTATCGGTGCAGGTAGCAGGGAGAGACTGGGCAGAGGAAGAAGTGTAATTAGGGCAATCCCTGGCCCCGGCCGACCTCAGGAAGCTCTGCAGCGCCGCTGTCTAGAGCCCTGCATGGCCACGAACCCTGGGCTGAGTCCTGGCCGTCCAAGCAGGGAGGCAGGGCAGCGCGTGCCAGGCCAGGCAGCTCCAGTGCTGAGGCGGGCCCGTGCCCTATGCTCTGTGCGCCTGCAGTGGGCGGCACGACCTCCAGAACAGGACCTGGAAGGCTCACTCCAGGCCTGGCACAGAGACTACCACCAAGGCTAGGGTGGACGCGGCAGGCCTCAGAGATGGGAGGAGGGCGGCAGCTCGGTCCTCGGCTCCTTGGGTCCGCAGTGCCAGGCTCTAGGGAGGCAGTATGCAGCTGCAGCCTACAGGACAAGCCATCTGGGGACCCGGTGAAGGGGCTGATGGCTGTGGCCCCATGCAGTGACCTAGGACACGCAGGGCTCACAGCCCCGTGCGCCTGCTAGGCCTGGAGGGACTGGGTCACGAGCACCCCTGGGAATCCGCCGGGGCCTTGCAGGCAGCACGGGAAGCAGCACCGCGGCCAGTCCGCCTCCAACGGCCCCTGCCCACTTGCCCACCTGCCCACCTGGCTCCTGGAATCGGGCTTACTCACCCTGCCTTAGCAATGGTACTGTTTGTTATAACACCTTTTATTCTTAATAGAAGAAAAAAGGACGTAAGTACAATATATTTGAAATTAAAATGACCCTCGTAGTGGAACCTGCTGCCTCTAGTGATTCTAATTCAACCCACAATAGGAAATAGAAAATCTCAACTTTTTTTCTATTCCTCCTCTCATTTGCAGATTTCAGGGTTACTTAGAGGAGGACTTAAGTAAAAAAATCTGGAATGCAGTTCCCGAGAGTCATTTGTTGTGGGTGCCAATAGGAGGCCTATGATGGCATGCGTTAGTATCTGTTCATTGACACCTATTAATTTGCTGCTAAAAAAAAAAAAAAAAAAAGTGTATCACCTCTCTCAGATTAAATCAGGAAGATATACAAACTCTGAACAAACCAATAACAGGTGGCAAGATTGAAATGGTAATTTAAAAATTGCAAACAGCAAAATATCCAGGACCAGATTCACAGCTGAATTCTATCAGACATTTGAAGAAGAATCGGTACCAATCATATTGACACTATTTCAAAACAGAGAGAAATGGGGAATCCTCCCTAAATCATTCAATGAAGCCAGTATCACCCTAATACCAAAATCAGGGAAGGACATAACAAAAAAAGAAAACTACAGACCAATATCCCTGATGAACATAGATGCAAAAATCCTCAACAAAATACTAGCTAACCAAATCCAATGGCATATCAAAAAGGTAATCCACTAAGACCAAGTGGGTTTCATACCAGGGATGCAGGGATGGTTTAACATCCACAAGTCAATAAATGTGATACACCATATAAACAGAATTAAAAACAAATATCACATGATCATCACAATAGACACAGAAACAGCATTTGACAAAATCCAGCATCCCTTTATGATTAAAATCCTCAGCAAAATCAGCATAAAAGGGACACAGCTTAAGGTAATGAAACCCATCTATGACAAACCCACAGCCAACATTACACTGAGCAGGGAAAAGTTGAAAGCATTCCCCCTGAGAACTGGAACAAGACAAACATGCCCACTTTCACCACTTCTATTCAACATAGTACTGGAAGTCCTAGTCAGAGCAATCAGACAAGAGAAAGGGCATCCAAATCAGAAGAGAGGAAATCAAACTGTCACTGTTTGCCGTGATATAATCATATACCTACAACACCCTAAAGACTCATCCAAAAAGCTCCTAGAGCTGGTAAATGAATTAAGTAAAGTTTCAGGATACAAAATTAATGTACACAAATCAGTAGCCCTGCTGTACACCAACAGCAACCAAGCTAAGAATCACATTAAGAACTCAGCCTCAGGGGGGTGGGGCCAAGATGGCCAACTAGAAGCAAAGCCATTTGGAGGTTCCCATCAGAAAAAAAAAAACATAATAAACATGTGAATCCATCACTGGCCATCAAGGTATCCAGGTTCTCTCATCGAAATTGACTAGAAGGCTGGCGTGAGCCACGGAGAGGAGGAAGAGTGGTGTGGTGCGGGGCCCACCTGAGAGCCACACGGGGAAGAGGAACCCCATCCTGGCCGCCAAGGGAGGCGGTGAGTGAGCATGCTACCCAGCTGGGGAAACTGTGTTTTTCACAGAACTGTGCAACCCATGGATCAGAAGATCCCACTTGCAAACCCATGCCACCAGGGCCTAGCATCCCAACCCCAGAAGGCACAGATTCTTACAGCCTCTCAGCTGCAATCTGCTTAAGCCTGCGGAACTCCCAGGGGGAGGGGCGACCAGCACCGGCTGTGGCTGCCTGCTCTCTAAGCCCTTTGAGCTCATTAGGGGAAGGGCAGCAGTCAGCACCGGGACTCCCAACTGCCTAACATGCTAAGCTTCCTGGGCGGGGGAAGAGCAGCACCCATTTCTATAGCTCCAAGCTGTGCTTGTCCCCTGCTAAGCCAGGGAGGCTGGACAGCTTCGTCCCAAGACTTGTCCCCACAACTCAATACACCGGCTGTGGCAGTGTGTGGCCAGGGTGCCTCTTCAAGTCTAACCTTGACCCATCCTTCCTGGTGGGTAGAGCTTCCCTGCAGGATCTCCAGCCAGAGTCTCAGGGACAGAATTTGGATCTTCCTGGGCCTGAGCCCCTATGGGGAGGGGTGGCCACAGTCTCTGTGGACCAACAGACTTAGCCTCTCCTTCTGGTAGTTCTGAGGAATCCGGGCATCCCAGGTGAGTGGGTTTCCCCCCAGTGAAACACACCTTCTCCACCAAGGGACAGAGTGCTTCATTAAATGGGTCCTCTCCCCCATGGCACCCAACTAGATGAGACCCTGCAACATGGGTTGTCAGATGCCCTATATAGGAGCAATTCTACTGGCATCAGATTGGTACCCCTCAAGGTCAGAGGTCCCAGAAAAAGGAAAATGCACCCATCTTTGCTGCTCTCCAGCCTCCTTGAGTGACATCTCAAGGCACAGATGCAAATCAGATGAATAGGGCCTGAAGTTAACCCTCAGCAAACTGCAGCAGCCCTACAGAAGAGGGACCTGACTATTGAAAGAAAAACAAGCAGAAAGCAACAACAACAGCATCAACAGTAACAAAAAAAAAAGGCCCCCACAAAAACCCCATCCAAGGGTCAGCAGCCTCAAAGACTGAAACTAGACAAACTCACAAAGATGAGAAAGGATCAACAAAAAAAATGCTGAAAACCCAAAAGGCCAGAGTGCCTCTTCTCCTCCAAATGATTGCAACGTCTCTCCATCAAGGGCGCAGAACGGGATGGAGGATCAGGTGGACAAACTGACAGAAGGAGGCTTCAGAAAATGAGTAGTAAGAAACTATGACGAACTAAAGGAGCATGTTCTATTCCAATGCAAAGAAGCTAAGAACCTTGATAAAAGGTTAGAGGAATTGCTAACTAGAATAACCAGTTTAGAGAGGAACATAAATGACCTGATGTAGCTGAAAAAACACAACACGAGAACTTCATGAAGCATACACAAGTATCAACAGCCAAACTGACTAAGTGGAGGAAGGAATATCAGAGTTTAAAGACCAGCTTACTGAAATAAGACATGCAGGCAAGAATAGAAAAAAAAAGAATGAAAGGAATGAGAAAAGCCTCCAAGAAATATGGGATTTCGTAAAAAGACCAAACCTACAATTGATTGGAGTACCAGAAGGAGACAGGGAGAATGGAAGCAAGCTGAAAAACATACTTTAGGATATTATCCAGGAGAACTTCCCCAACATAGCAAGACAGGCCAATGTGCAAATTCAGGAAATAAAGAGAACACCATTAAGATATTCCACAAGAAGATCAACCCCAAGACACATAATCCTCAGATTCTCCAAAATCAAAATGAAGGAAAAACTGGTAAGGGCAGCCAGAGAGAAAGGCCAGATCACATACAAAGGGAAGCCCATCAGACTAACAGCAGACCTCTCAGTAGAAACTCTATAAGCCAGAAGAGATTGGGGCCAGTATACAACATTCTTAAAGAAAACAGTTTTCTACGCAGAATTTCATATCTAGCTAAACTAAGCTTCATAAGCAAAGGAGAAATAGAATCCTTTCCAGACAAGCAAATGCTGAGGGATTTCATTACCACCAGGACTTCCCTGCAACAGCTCCAGAAAGAAACACTAAATATGAAAAGGAAAAGCCGGTACCAGCCACTGCAAAAAGACACCAAAATATAAAGACCAATGACACTATGAAGAAACTGCATCAACTAGTGTGCAAAATAACCAAATAGCAGCATGATGACAGGATCAAATTCACACATAACAATACTAACCTTAAATATAAATGGGCTAAATGCCTCAATTAAAAGACACACACTTGCAAATTGGATAAGGAGTTAAGCCTCATTGGTGTGCTGTATTCAGGAGACCCATCTTATGTGCAAAGACACACACTGGCTCAAAATAAAGGGATGGAGGAAATTTTGCCAAGCAAAAAGAAAAAGCAGAGGTTGCAACCCTAGTCTCTGAAAAAAACAGACTTTAAACCAACAAAGATCAAAAAAGACGAAGAAGGGCACTACATAATGGTAAAAAGAACAATTCAGCAAGAAGAGCTAACTATTCTGAATATATATGCACCCAATAGAGGAGCACCCAGATTCATAAAACAAGTTCTTAGAGACCTGCAAAGATACTTAGACTCTCACACAATAATAGTGGGAGGCTTTAACACCCCACTGTCAGTATTACGTCAATGAGACAGAAAATTAATGAGGATATTCAGGACTTGAATTCAGCTCTGGATCAAGTGGACCTAGTAGACATCTACGGAATTCTTTACCCAAAGTCAACAGAATATACATTCTTCCCAGTGCCACGTAGCACTTATTCTAAAATCAACCACATAATTGGAAGTAAAACACTCCTCAGCAAATGCAAAAGATTGGAAATAATAACAAACAGTCTCTCAGACAACAGTGCAATCAAATTAGAACTCAGGATTAAGAAACTCACTCAAAACCACATAATTACATGGAAACTGAACAACCTGCTCCTGAATGACTCCTGGGTAAATAGTGAAATTAAGGCAGACATCAAGAAGTTCTTTGAAACCAATGAGAACAAAGAGACAACATACCAGAATCTCTACAACACAGCTAAAGCAGTGTTAAGAGGAAAATTTATAGTGCTAAATGCTCTCATCAAAAAGCTAGAAAGATCTCAAATCGACATCCTAACATCACAATTAAAAGAGCTAGAGAGACAAAAGCAAACTAATCCAAAAGCTAGCAGAAGACAAGAAACAACTAAGATCAGAGAAGAATTGAAGGAGATAGAGACACAAAAAATACCCCAAAAAAATCAATGAATCCAGGAGCTAGTTTTTTGAAAACAAAAAAAAAAAAATATATATATATATGTATATATATATATATATATATTCTGATCTCACAGATATACAAACTACCATCAGAGAATACTATAAACATCTCTACACAAATAAACTAGAAAATCTAGAAGCAACTGATACATTCCCAGATGCATACACCCTACCAAGACTAAACCAGGAAGAAGGTGAATCCCTGAATAGAACAATAACAGGTTCTGAAATTGAAGCAGTAATTAATAGTCTGCCAAACAAAAACAATTTTTTTAAAAAGCCTAGGACCATATGGATTCACAGTGGAATTCTACCAGAAATACAAAGAGAAGCTGGTACCATTCCTTCTAAAACTATTCCAAACAATTGAAAAAGAGGGACTCCTCCTTAACTCAATTTATGAAGCTAGCATTAACCTTATACCAAAACAGGGAAGACACACACCACCACAAAAAAACTTCAGGCCAATATCCCAATGCACATCAATGTAAAAATCCTCAGTACTATACTGGCAAGCCAAATCCAGCAGCACATCAAAAAACTTACCCACCATGATCAAATCTGCTTCATCCCTGGGATGCAAGGCTGGTTCAACATACACAAATCAACAAACACAATCCATCACATAAACAAAACCAAAGACAAAAAACACATGATTATCTCAATAGATGCAGAAAAGTCCTTTGATAAAATTCAACATTCCTTCATGTTAAAAAGTCTCAATAAACTAGGTATTGATGGAACATATCTCGAAATAATAAGAGCTATTTATGACAAATCCACAGCCAATATCATATTGAATGACCAAAAGCTGGAAGCATTCCCTTTAAAAACTGGTACAAGACAAGGATGCCCTCTCTCACCACTTCTATTCAACACAGTATTGGAAATTCTGGCCAGGGCAATCAGGCAAGAAAAAGAAATAAAGTGTATTCAAATAGGAAGACAGGAAGTCAAGTTGTCTCTGATTGCAGAAGACATGATTGTATATTTAGAAAAGCCCATCATCCCAGCCCCAAAATTTCTTGAACTGATAATCAACTTCATTGAAGTCTAAGGATACAAAATCAATATGCAAAAATCACAATGATTCCTTTACATCCACACTAGGCAAGCAGAGAGCCAAATCATAAATGAACTCCCATTAACAATTTCTACAAAGAAAATAAAATACCTAGAAATACAGCTAACAAGGGATGTGAAGGACCTCTTCAAGGAGAACTACAAACCACTGCTCAAGGAAATAAGAGAAGATGGCAATCATTAAAAAGTCAGGAAACAACAGGTGCTGGAGAGGATGTGGAGAAATAGGAACACTTTTACACTGTTGGTGGGACTGTAAACTAGTTCAACCATTGTGGAAGTCAGTGTGGCGATTCCTCAGGGATCTAGAACTAGAAATACCATTTGACCCAGCAATCCCATTACTAGGTATATACCCAAAGGATTATGCTACTATATGACACTTTATGCTGCTATAAAGACACATGCACACGTATGTTTATTGCAGCACTATTCACAATAGCAAAGACTTGAAACCAAGCCAAATGTCCAAAAATAATAGACTGGATTAAGAAAATATGGCACATTTACACCATGGAATACTATGCAGCCATAAAAAATGATGAGTTCATATCCTTTGTAGGGACATGAATGAAGGTGGAAACCATCATTCTCAGCAAACTATCGCAAGGACAAAAAACCAAATACTGCATGTTCTCACTCATAGGTGGGAATTGAACAATGAGAACACATGGACACAGGAAGGGGAACATCACACACTGGGGCCTGATGTGGGGTGGGGGGAGGGGGGAGGGATAGCATTAGTAGACATACCTAATGTTAAATGATGAGTTAATGGGTGCAGCACACCAACATGGCACATGTATACATATGTAACTAACCTGCAGGTTGTGCACATGTACCCTAAAACTTAAAGTATAATAAAAAAATAAAAAATAAAAATAAAAAAAAGAGAAGATGCAAACAAACGGAAAAACATTCCATGCTAATGGATAGAAAGAATCAATTTTGTGAAAATGGCCATACTGCCCAAAGTAATTTCTAGATTCAATGCTATTCCCATCAAACTACCATTGACATTCTTCACAGAATTAGAAAAAACTATTTTAAATTTCATGTGGAATCAAAGAAGACCCCATATAGCCAAGATAATCCTAGTCAAAAAGAACAAACCTGGAGGCATCATGCTACCTGACTTCAAACTGTACTACAAGGCTACAGTAACCAAAACAGCATGGTACTGGTACAAAAACGGACATATAGACCAATGGAGCAGAATAGAGACCTCAGAAATAACACCACACATCTACAACCATCTGATCTTTGACAAGCCTGACCAAAACAAGCAATGGGGAAAGGATCTCCTATTCAGTAAATCGTGCTGGGAAAACTGGCTAGCCATATGCAGAAAACTGAAACTGGGCCCCTTCCTTGCACCTTATACAAAAATTAACTCAAGATGGATTAAAGACTTAAATATAAAACCCAAAACCATAAAAATGCTAGAAGAAAACCTTGGCAGTACCATTCAGGACATAGGCATGGGCAAAGACTTCATGACAAAAATGCCAAAAGCATTTGCAACAAAAGCCAAAATTGACCAATGGTATCTACTTAAACTAAAGAGCTTCTGCACAGCAAAAGAAACTATCATCAGAGTGAACAGGCAACCTATAGAATGGGAGAAAATTTTTGCAATCTACCCATCTGACAAAGGTCTAATATCCAGAATTTACAAGGAACTTACATATATTTACAAGAAAAAAAAAAAACAACCCCATCAAAAAGTGGGCAAAGGATATGAACAGACAATTCACAAAAGAAGACATTTACGTGGCTAACAAACATACGAAAAAAAGCTCAATATCACTGATCATCAGAGAAATGCAAATCAAAACCACAGTGAGATACCATCTCACATCAGTTAGAACGGCGATTATTAAAAAGTCAGGAAACAGTAGATGCTGGCGAGGCTGTGGAGAAATAGGAACGCTTTTACAATGTTGTTGGGAATGTAAATTAGTTCAACCTTTGTGGAAGACAGTATGGCGATTCCTCAAGAATCTAGAACCAGAAATACCATTTGACTCAGCAATCCTATTACTGGGTATATACCCAAAGGAATAGAATTCATTTTACTATAAAGACACATGCACACATATGCATGCGTATGTTTATTACAGCACTATTTACAATAGCAAAGGCATAGAACCAACTCAAATGCCCATCAATGATAGACTGGATAAAGAAAATGTGGCACATATACACCATGGAATACTATCCAGCCATAAAAAGGAATGAGAGTATGTCCTTTGCAGGGACATGGTTGAAGCTAGAAGCCTTCATTCTTAGCAAACTAACACAGGGACAGAAAACCAAACACCACATGTTCTCACTCATAAGTGAAAGCTGACCATTGAGAACACATGGACACAGAAAGGGGAACAACACACAGCAGGGCCTGTTGGAGGGTGAGGGGAGGGAACTTAGAGGAGGGGTCAATAGGTGCAGCAAACTACCGTGGCACACATATATCTATGTAACAAACCTGCACATTCTGCACATGTATTCGGTTTTTTTTTTTTTAGAAGAAATGAAGAAAAACTTAAGAACTCAACCCCTTTTACTATAGCTCCAAAAAAATAAAATACTTAGAAATATAGCTAACCTTGGGAAGCGGAGATTGGCGGATCATTTGAGGTCAGGAGCTCGAAACCAGCCTGGCCAACATGGTGAAACCCTGTCCCTACTAAAAATAGAAAAAAAAAATTAGCCCAGCGTGGTGGCAGGTGCCTGTAATCCCAGCTACTTGGGAGGTTGAGGCAGGAGAATTGCTTGAACCCAGGAGGTGGAGGTTGCAGTGAGATCTTGCCACTGTACTCCAGCCTGGGTGATAGAGTGAAGCTGTGTCTCAAAAAAAAAAAAAGAAAAAGAAAAAGAAAAAAGAAATATACCTTACCAAGGAGGTGAAAGACCTCTACAAGGAATACTATAAAACACCGCTGAAAGAAATTATAGATGACACAAACAAATGGAAACACATCCCACACTCATGGATGGGTAGAATCAATATTGTGAAGATGACCATACTGCCAAAAAGCAATCTACAAATTCAATGCAACTCTCCTCAAAATACTACCATCTTTCTTCACAGAACTAGAAAAAACAATCCTAAAATTCATATGGAACCGAAAAAGAGCCCGCAAACCCAAATCAAGACTAAGCAAAAGGAATAAATCTGGAGGCATTACATTACCCATTCAAACTATACTATAAGGCCATAGTCACCAAAACAGCATGGTACTGGTATAAAAATAGACACACAGACCAACCAAACAGCATAGAGAACCCAGAAATAAAGCCAAATACTTATAATCAACTGATCTTTGACAAAGCAAACAAAAACATAAAGTCAGGAAAGGACACCCTATTCAACAAATAGTGCTGGGATAATTGGTAAGCCACATTTAGAAGAATGAAACTGGATCCTCATCTCTCACCTTATACAAAAATCAACTCAAGATGAATCAAAGACTTAAATTTAAGACCTGAAACCATAAAAATCCTAGAAGATAACATCAGAAAAACCCTTCTAGACAACCCTTCTTTGGCTTAGGCAAAGACTTCATGACCAAGAATCCCAAAGCAAACGCAACAAAGTCAAAGATAAATAGATGGTATTTAATTAAACTAAAAGGTTTCTGCAGCACAGCAAAAGAAATAATCAGCAGAGTTGATATGGTTTGGCTGTGTCCCCACCCAAATCTCATCTTGAATTTTAGTTCCCATAATCCCCACATGTCATGGAAGGGACCTGGTAGGAAATGGGTTAATCATGGGGACCATTACCCTCATGATGTTCTCGTGATAGTGCGTGAGTTCTCACAAGATCTGATGGTTTTATAAGGGGCTTTTCCCCCTTTTGTTTGGCAATTCTCCTTGCTGCCACCATATGAAGAAGGACATGTTTTCTTCCCCTTCCACCATGATTGTAAGTCTCCTGAGGCCTCCCCAGCCACGCTGAACTGTGAGTCAACTAAATCTCTTTCCTTTGTAAATTACCCAGTCTCAGGTATGTCTTTATTAGCACCATGAGAATGGACTAATACAAGAGTTAACAGACAACTCACAAGTGGGAGAAAATGTTTACAATCTATACATCTGACAAAGGACTAATATCCAAAATCTACAAGGAACTCAAACAAATCAGCAAGAAAAAAAGCAAACAATCCCATCAAAAAGTGGGCTAAGGACATGAAAAGACAATTCTCAAAAGAAGACATACAAATGACCAACAAGCATACGAAAGAATGCTCAACACCATTAATTATCAGGGAAATGCAAATCAAAACCACAATGTGATACCACCTTATTCTAGCAAGAATGGCCATAATCAAAAAATCTAAAAATAATGGATGTTGGCGTGGATGTGGTAAAGAGAGAACACTTGTAAACTGGTACAACCACTATGAAAAACACTAGATTCCTTAAAGAACTAAAAGTAGAGCTACCAATTGATCCAGCAATCCCACTACTGGGTACCTACCCAGAGGAAAATAAGTCATTATATGAAAAAGATCCTTGCACATGCATGTTTTTAGCAGCACAATTTGCAATTGCAAAAAATATGGAACCAGGCCAAATGCTCATCAATGAGTAGATAAAGAAAATGTGGTGTATATATACCATGGAATACTACTCAGCCATAAAAAGGAATGAAATAATGGCATTTGCAGCAACCTGGGTGGAGTTGGAGACCATTATTCTAAGTGAAGTAGCTCAGGAATGGAAAACCAAACATCATATGTTCTCACTCATAAGTGGGAGCTAAGCTATGGGGACACAAAGACATAAGAATCACACAATGAACTTGGGGGAAAGGGTAGGAGGTGGGTGATGGATAAAAGGCTACACATTGGGTACAGTGTACACTGCTGGGGTGATGGATGCACCAAAATTTCAGAAATCACCACTACAGAACTTATTCATGTAACTAAACACCATCTGTTCCCTGAAAACCTATTGACATAAAAAATACATTTTTAAGGAAAGTGTATCCTCACATAATAAACCCAGTGTAATAAACAGATGCCTGTTTTTGTCAAGTTACCATAAGTGAATGCCAAAGTCTTGGTCTGACCTAAGGCCATATCTCTGTGGGATATGAGGGCAGAGAGAGGTCAGGAGATTTGGGGGCCATGGTTCGGATTCTGCAGAGGCAACTGGTCACCCTGCCTGCCTTGCTGCAGCCCCTCCAGGCATTGGGTTGGGGAAGCGGGGTGGACGGAGTCACCTCCTTCCTCAAAAGAGCAGGTATTGAATGATGATCTCTTGCTAGGTGGGGCCCTGCTTAGTCTTCTGAGGAAATACAGACATTTTCTTTGAATTAATAATATTCATTAAAATCACAAAGAAATATTAAGTGTTGCCGGTTTGAATAGATAGCAGCATGCCAACCAAAAGCCTGGCTTTCAGAGTCTTTGAATCTCATTTCTAATCTGGACTCCACTGCTGACCAGCACTAGCCTGGCTCCCAGGCCATGGCTCCATCGTCTGCAGACATGGAATCGAGTTAGGCGCCCAGCCCTCTACACCAGCCTGACAGATGGTAAGCTCCCACCCAACAGGGTTACCATTATTGTCATTCCTATAACAGACTAAATAACAGAAGTCAAACATACATTAGAAGACAGCAAGGGGATGGCATGGCTGCAGACTGCTTTGTAGAACATTCTAGAACATGTTTTTTATCAACAGATAGTTTGGGAGAGACTTGTGTAAAGGACATAACAATACAAGATAGTGTGTGAGTCAGTATGTGCATTGGCCCAGCATATTTCACAGAGGAAACTGTTAACAATGTGGCATTAGGAAGAAAATGCACCACTGTGTGTGTCTCCTCGGCCTGACAGTCCCCAGGCTCCTGTCTTTTCATCTCTGGCTTCACAAAACCAAATATTCAATGAGGAATGCGTGCAATTATTTTGAGTCTTTCATTCCAGGTAGAAGTGGAATGTAGGATGTTTGCTCTGGAAAAAAAATCTAATTTCATTAGCTTGTGGTTATTAAAAAAAAAAAAAAAAGAAAAAAGAAAAACAGAAAACCCCACTTGAATGCATTCAGTGAGCTAGTGGTGAGACTCTGAAGGAACCTGGGCTGCATTTCTCGGTTCTAAAGCCCGGTTGTTGCAACTCTTCACCCTCACCCACGGCTTCATTCACGCATTCCTGCAACCAACCAACCAGTACTTATTTCACAAGGACTATTGCCCGAAACTGGGGAAAGTTAAAGTTGATGATGGAGACTCAGACAGGATGCAGCTTTGTTCTAGTGAAGCGAGCGTGGACTGTCTCCTGCATTCCCATGACAGCCAGCATGGATGCTTTCCCATTTACACTTCTATGTCTGTGTCTAGAAATATTTTGATGAATATAAAACAAACTGTATGCACATGAAGTTGTCAGCTGCCTTCCTGGTGAGGGGAGAAAGACATGGGACGGGAGGGGAGGAAGACATGGGAGGGGAGGGGAGGGAAGGGAAGGGAAGGGGAGGGGAGGGGAGGGGAGGGGAGGGGAGGGGAGGGGAGGGAAGGGAAGGGAAGGGAAGGGAAGGGAAGGGCGAAGGGAAGGGAAGGGGAGGGGAGGGGAGGGGAGGGAAGGGAAGGGAAGGGAAGGGAAGGGAAGGGCGAAGGGAAGGGAAGGTCAGGGCGAAGGGAAGGGAAGAGAAGGGGAGGGAAGGGGAGGGGAGGGGAGGGAAGGGAAGGGAAAGGATAGGGAAGGGAGGGGAAGGGCAGGAAGGGAGGGGAAGGGCAGGAAGGGAGGGGAAGGGTGAAGGGAAGGGGTTCTCTGCTGCTGTTTCTCCAAATCCACCTCTATCCCTTCTCTGCCCTGAGTAAAAAGCCCTCTCCCTCCAGGGCCCAAGTACGCTCTTGTTGATGGTAAGTTTAGACCTTTTCAAAAGGCAGGAGGTAAAGTATTTGTGGACAACCTGATTTTGTCCCTGCGGCAGGAGCCAGCGGTCACAGAGGAGCTAGGCAACCTCCTTGAAGGAGACAGGAACAGAACACACACAGATGAACACAAGCGAGGATGCCAATAAATTATCCCACCACACCTGGATTCCCTGAGCACAGACCTGTTCATTTAATTTCAGAAATAGGAAGAAAGATCATTTATAGGACAGGGAGTAACCCTGGCATCAAAGTCCAGCCTGAGTCCGCCTAGAAAGTAAACAGTCCTATCACCAATATTCATAAGGGGAATGTGCTGCTTTTTAAAATTATCCATAAGGTGAATGTGCTGCTTTTTAATTCATGCTAAGGAGTGTAGCCACTTCCTGTTCAAGGAAAAGATCAGGGACTTTAAAGGGATTCTTTCAATAATCTGTAAAGGAGAAAGAATAACGGGAAGGCAGAAAAAAATTCAATTACCTGATGAATATTTTGCTATGAAGTGTCCTGCGTGAAGAAAGTCCAAGAAGGTATAAGATTATATGACCATAAAGTACCTTCTGTGGCTTCAATTGTGACCACTTCTGAAAAAATTAATATGCTAAAATATCTGTTGATATGGGTTTTCCTGGCACATATGTACATGCACATATAGGTATTCCTTTGGTTATCAATTGCAGTGTAACAAACCCCCTTCAAACTTAGAGGCATCCTACAATAATCATTTTGTTATCTTTTTTTTTCTTTTTTTTTTTTGAGACAGAGTCTGACTCTGTTGCCCAGGCTGGAGTACAGTGGTGCGATCTCGGCTCACTGCAACCTCCGCCACCTGGGTTCAACCGATTCCCCTGCCTCAGCCTCCCAAGTAGCTGGTACTACAGGCACACACCACCATGCCCAGCCAATTTTTGTATTTTTAGTAGAGACAGGGTTTTGCCATGTTAGCCAGGATGGTCTCTTAAACTCCTGACCTCAAGGGATCTGCCCACCTCAGCCTCCCAAAGTGCTGGGATTACAGGCGTGAGCCACTGCGCCTGGCCCATTTTGTTATCTTTCATGATTCTGTGTGTAGGCTGGGCTCTGCTGGGCAGCACTTTTGTTCCATGTGAGGTCAGCAGTGTTTGCAGGTACCTGGGGCTCACGTGACCTGCAATGTCTACAATGGTGGGGTCCTGTGCCTTGACCCCTGGCAGGGCCAGCTGGACACTGGAATGACTCCCTTTCCCATGGAATCCCTGGCCCAGCAAAATCTATGAGGACTTTCCACGTGGTCCCAGTGGTGCAGCTGGATTTCTTAGTTGGAGACTTGGGGCTTCTAAGAGCTCGAAGGCAGAAGCTGCCCAGACTCCTTGAGGCCTAGGCCGGGAACCTGCACCGCGGGGCTTCAGACACCTACTTGTTAAAGCAAGTCTGAGTCAGTGTAGGAGGATTCCTCCTATGCACTGATCTCCTTCCTCTGTCAAGAGTCCTTTCTTCCCAACTTGCTCATCTTGTTAACTCACCCCCACCCTCATCCATCTCAACCCCAAAGTCACTTCCTCCACGGCCTTTCTTCTTATCGTATAGATTAGGCCATCTTCGCCTCACCCCACTGCATTAATTTCAGGTTGCAATGAGACATCTGCCTGTGCCCCCATGTGATCCTGTCTTCCTCCCCGCCTTGGCCACAGGTCCATTAGAACCAAGCCCACTGTATCCTCACTGCTCAGTGTCTGCGGCCTAAGAAAACCACGAGACAATTTTCAATAAATATTTGTTGACTGGGTGGATAGGAAAAGTTATATTTGGATGAAAGTGTTACCACAATAAAGTGAGTTTGTTTCCTCCCCGGAGTGTGTGACTGTACTGTTCCACCTTACACACAGCATATCGTGAGTTTCATTGTCTGCTGAAGAACAGTGTCTTCAAATGCAGTCACCATTCACCTTTTCGGGGTCCTGTTCCTTCTGATCTTTGAGAGCTGTACATCCTTTACTTACAAATGCCCATAGCAGCTTATGAGCATATGAAGCACGATATGCGTCTCTACCCAGCTCGGGGCAGAACCCTGGTTAAGATGCCAGCTCGGGGCAGAACTCTGGTTTCAATGCCTCAGGAAAGCCTCCCTCAGCCATAAATAAGACCGGCCAGGCTCTAGGTGCACAGGGAGGGAGCTGGGAAGATGGGATTGAAATTGTCTTCAGAATAGAACTAACCTGAAACAGTGATTTAAGCTCCTAATATGAGTTCTTTTCTCCTAATTTGCCATTTTCTCATTAAAAAACAAAGGCCATGGAAAGACCTGACTTGCAGGTGCTAGCTGGGTTCTACCTAATCACACTGCTGTCAAGATTTAGATCATAGAAGCAACCCCAACTCACCAAAAACAAAAACAAAAAACACATGCGTGCTTTTAAAAGTTAGAATTCATCTATGGAATGCTTTTGAGTATGATAAACTCTACGTAATATCTGAAAAAAAATGGTTATGTTATCAAGAAACAGTTTTAACCCAATTGAAAAAGAAAAGTGTGTGCCTTAGACCTGTGACACAAGCCCCTCGTGGAAGGGGCAGCCAGACGTCAGCAGTCCTGTGAGGAGGGGGCAGCCCGGGCTCCACCACTCACTAGAGGAACCCCTGGTGGGAGCACAGGAGCCTCTTACATTTACCTGGGAGCAAGGTTAAGCGGCTCACATTTGCCTGGCAGGGTTAGCATTAGGGCTGGAAACAACATGCCAGGTTCACAGCACAGTGTTTGGCTCAGAACAGGTTTGCAGCAAAGGTGAGCTATTGTTTAAACTTGCTAGCCAGTGTCACCCTGAATAACCAGCCCCACATGTCACCTCAGCGTTAACTGTCATTAAGCCTTGAGAGGAAAACATGGACAACTTTCACTTTCTTTATAAAACAAATGCAAATTAAATATTTTAGTAAAGCAAATCATGGAGGACAAATAGTTTTCCCATATCAAAAAAGACAAATATATGTCTATGACAAATATAAAGACAAATATATATAAATGCATATATAATTTATACACACACACACACACACACACACACACACACACACACACGCATTTAGCCAGTTGAAAGAATCAGAGAAAACCATTCATGGATGATATTTTTAACCATATAAAGAAATGAGAAGGCCAGGCATGGTGGCTCACGCCTGTAATCCCAGCAGTTTGGGAGGCCGAGGTGGGAGGATCACTTGAGGTTAGGAGTTCGAGACCAGCCTGGCCAACATGGCAAAACCTCAACTCTACTAAAAATACAAAAATTGGCCAGGCACAGTGGCATGTGCCTGTAGTCTCAGCCACTCGGGAGGCTGAGGCAGGAGAATTGCTTGTACCGAGGAGGCAAGGGAGGCTGAGATCATACCACTGCACTCCAGCCTGGGTGACAGAGCAAGACTCAAAAAAAATAAAAAGGAAAAAAAAAAAAGAAATGGGAAATTGAGAGAAGTGATGTTCCTCTCCAACAGTCTTCAAAACAGGAAAAGCAGTCAACAAAATGAGGTGGGGAGAAGAGGAGATAAGGAAATATGGTGGCATCAGGTAAACTGTCAAAGTAAGGGTTCTTCAGCTTTTCTTGTGAATCTGAAGAAATTACTAGTATGTTGGTGAAAATGTGTGACAGCAGGGGAACCAACCTGAACAATGTTGTTTGTGTACTGTTTGACAACATACTATTTCAGGGGACGAAAGGGACATTTCAGCCACATAGAATAAAACACCCTGACTGTGGCTAACTCTCCAGTCACTCCTGCTGACCGCTGAAATTTGCACTCTGCTCATGTTTCTTAGCCAGGGGATGGTGAGCACGTGGGGAGTGCTTCCAGGTTGTGCTCCTATAAGAAAAGGCATATAGTTTCTTGAAACCTAAAGAAACAACAGCAGGTTTATGTCTGAACAATTGGATCAATTACAAAAAATAATTCAAAATATTAACCTGGGGACTCTGTAAAGCAGCTGACCTACACTCCTCAAAACGTCAGTCATGGAAGACAAAAGAAGCTGAGGAAATGTCCTACATAAAAAGAGACATGAGAGTTAAGTGCACTGCACGATCGTTCATCAGATTTTTTGGTTTTGAGACAGGGTCTTGCTCCATTGCCCAGGCTGGAGTGCAGTGGTACAATCTCAACTCACTGCAACCTCCACCTCCTGGGTTCAAGCAATCCTCTTACCTCAGTCTCCTGAGAAGATGGGACTATAGGTGTGCACCACCACGTCCAGCTAATTTTTGTATTTTTTGTAGAGACAGGGTTTCACCATGTTACCCAGGCTGGTCTTGAACACCTTAAGTGATCCGCCTGCCTCAGCTTCCCAAAGTACTGGGATTACAGGTGTGAGCCATGACAACTAGCCCCCCATTCATCTGAATTTCTAAAAGCCAGCCTTAAAGAACGTTATTGGATCAACTGGGGAAATACATTAAAGAGCTGTATTAGAACAACGTTACATTTCCTGAATGCAATAGACACAACAAGTCTCCCTCCCAAAGATGTTCAAATCCCAATCCCCCAAACCTGTGGATATGTGAGGCTGCCTGGCAAGGAGTTAAGATTGTAGAGCTAATTAGCCGAGCTTCCTTAAGATGGGCTTTGTGCCTGGGTTACCCAGGTGGGCTCAATATAATCATCAGCAGCCTACAAAGATGAAAGAGAGATGGAAGGGTCACAGTCAGGGTGAGATGGTCTGAGAAGTCCTTCAGCCACTGCTGGGCTTGAATATGGAAGGGGCCAGGAGCCAAGGAACGCAGGCATCCCCCAGAAGCCAGGAAACGGGACTCTCCCCCAAGAGCCTCCAGGAAGCCGCACAGCCCAGTGAGATCCATTTCAGACTTCTGACCCCCAAAACTGTGAGATAATAAATTTGTGTTTTAAGCCATAAAGTTTATGGCAATTTGTTAAAACAGCAACAGCAAGCTAAGAAGCTTCATCACTTTGTGACTATGTAGGAGAGTGCTCCTGCCTTCAGGAATACATATGGTCCTGTTTAGAACTAAGATCCCGTGCCCTCTGCAACTAACTCACAAATAGCTCAGCAAGGAAGAGAAGGAGTGAGACACAAATATAATGAAATGATAGCAACTGACAAACCTGGTGAAAGGAATGTGGGTGTTTATTATGCTAGTAACTTTCCTGGGGGGTGGCCTAAGATATTTCAGAATGAAAGTTTGGAGGACAAAAGGAGTAAGATTGTGAGATCATGTCAGAATTATGTGAAAAAACAGATTTTAATCAACTAGCAAAGGAAGAAACAATTGACATCTATGGCATACTTGAAGATCCTAGACCGGGATCCCCAACCCCTGGGCCATAGACTGTACTGATCTGTGGCCTGTTAGGAACCGGGCTTCACAGCAAGAGGTGAGCACCAGGCAAGCGAGCAAAGCTTTATCTGTATTTACAGCTGCTCCCCATTGCTCACATTACCACCTGAGCTCCACCTCCTGTCAGATCAGCAGCAGCATTACATTCTCATAGGAACATGAACCCTATTGTGAACTGCACATGTGAGGGATCTAGGTTGCCCACTGGTTATGAGAATTGAATAATCTAATGATCTGTCACTGTCTCCCATCACCCTTAGATAGGGCTGTCTAGTTGCAGGAAAACAAGCTCAGGGCTCCCACTGATTCTACGTTATGGTGAGTTGTATAATTATTTCATTATATATTACAGTGTAATAATAACAGAAATAAAGTTTCCAAAAAATGTAATGCGTTTGAATCACCCCCAAACCATCCCCCACCCCAGTCCATGGAAAACTTCCATGGACTGGCTCCCTGGTGCCAAAAACGTTGGGGACTCTTGTCCTAGACTACCTACTCAATAATTTCAGACCCTTTATTCAGGATGGAGGGAAGGAGAAGAGAGGAGAGGAGGGGAAGGGGAAGGAAAGGAGGGAAGGGGAAGGGGAAGGAAAGGAGGAAAATGGCAAAGGGAGTGTCGAGGGGAGGGGGTAAAAAGTGAGTAGAAAATTCCCAGATCCCTCCACCCCCACCACCAACTCCCCAGCAGAAATCAAAGGTTTTATTCTCTGGAGGGGGATGGAAGGTCTCTGGCTGGGAGCATCGGGGTCGAGTTGAGGGTGGAAACATCACACAGGAAATGGACCATGTGAAAGCTGACTTAATGCCTATGCAGTTGCACTCTCTTCCCCACGGAGCCCCTAGACAGACTCGGACCCTCTGTGCAGGAGAAACCTCCTCTGGAGAGTCTGACTAGCTGAGAGAGAAGCCCTAACAATTCTACCACTTGGGAGTTCCCTGCGAATTGGCCAGCAAGATCACCCTACAGCAAAGACCCCCCCCCATAAGCACATTACTTTCAAGCCTTGTTTTAGGGCTCCCTCTCAAATATGAATGATACTTGAGAAATAGTTTAATATGAAAGACAGTCAAGCTGGGCATGTGGCTCTCGTCTGTAATCCCAGCACTTTTGGAGGCCAAGGCAGGTGGATCACTTGAGATCAGGAGTTCAAGACCAACATGGCCAACATGATGAAACCCATCTCTACTAAAAATACAAAAATTAACCAGGCATGATGGTGTGTGCCTGTAGTCCCAGCTACTCAGGAGGCTGAGGCAGGAGAATCGCTTGAGACCGAGAGGCAGAGGCTTCAGTGAGCCAAGATAGCACCATTGCACTCCAGCCGGGGTGACAGAGCGACACGCTGTTTCCAAAAAAAAAAAAAAAAAAAAGGCACAGTCCAAAGTCATGCAAAACATTGAAAGGATCCCCCAAGATTTCATTAGTAATATCAGAGAACAAGAAGAGATAGTACATCCTTAAAACAGACTACATAAGAATCTTTTTTGAAAAAAGGAATATATGGAGAACAAATACATTTTGAGAAAAATAGCTCTGGGAAATTAATTATATGGGAGTGGAAAGTTCAAAAATTCAACAGGAGAGTTGGGAGACAGTGTAGAAAACCCAGCAGAAGGTGGAACAGAAGAGTCCCGGGCTCGCCACGCCCCGTTTCCGTGGAGACAAGCCACGTTTCCACTGATGCATTTCCACAGCTTATAGTCCAAACACTCTGGCAAGGGGCTGACAAGGAACATGGTCTAGGTAATCGGGGTCTAGACCATTGCACCAGCTTCAGCCAGTGCAAGAATCATGAGGCCACTCAGGAATCAAGTTCAGGTGAACTTGATCTGCCATTTCCCTCCTTTCCTTCCCCTTCCCCTTCCCTCTTTCCTTCCCCTTCCTCTTCCCCTTCCCCTCCTCTCCTCTCCTTCCCTCCTTCCTGAATAAAGGGTCTGAAATTATTGAGTAGGTAGTC
This sequence comes from Homo sapiens, assembly GCF_000001405.40. NCBI lineage: Eukaryota > Metazoa > Chordata > Mammalia > Primates > Hominidae > Homo > Homo sapiens. The sequence goes on along the minus strand of NC_000002.12, from coordinate 3,922,576 downwards.
TAGGACAAGAGTCCCCAATGTTTTTGGCACCAGGGACCCAGTCCATGGAAGTTTTCCAGGTGACAGTAAAGTGTAAAAACCCCACCCAAGTGTGGCAGGAGGTTAGAGAAAATGCTGAAGGTGAGGCACTAGGGACCGGGCTGGAAAGTCTCTGAGAGGAGAGGCATCTGGGTGGCCGTGGACGTGCTGGGCATCAATGGTGTCCTCTGCAAACCCGTTGAGCAGAGCAGGACACCGAAGCAGCCTGCTTATTTGGATCACTCTTCTATCTTTCTCAGTTTCTGATCCAAGATCTAATCGTCAGAAGTCAACCTTGCTATGTGTATTTTAACACAGAAGAAAGATTGGGAATAAAGGAAATGCAGGAAAAATAAACGAGAAGAAATTTTGTTTAAAAAGCCAACCTTATTGTAGACACTTTTATCCCATAGGATTAAAAAATGCAGGACTGTTTTTCAATAAAACTGCCGAATTTTCCCTTAAGGCAAGGAAATTTAAATATATTGATTAACAATCGTGTCTCCATTCTAACTTCATTGCAATAAAGGACCCGGGACACAGTTGCCCTTTTTTACAACATCTGCTCAAAAACTTCCTGTTTTAGTTCATGTTCAGCACTTCTACTAAGGCCTTTGGAATTGGTATTTGCCAAAAATAAAGTAGCCAGTTACTATCTTTACATTTGGAAGGCATTTCATCTTCTCAATTAGTGACAATTAATATTTTCATTTAACAAAAACCTATGTCTAATAAGTTTTATATTCCCATTTCATAATTATTTTTCTAACTAAAAACCATTTTAACTCTGTCAAGTTTGTAAAGAATTACAATAATGCACACATTAAGTAAAAGCTATTAGTAATTTTCCTAGTTGCTGAAGTAATCACAGTGGTAATTCAAAGCTAAAATTTGCATGGCTTCATAACCAACTCTTAAATTTCACTTATTTAACGATGTTTTCTAAGTATTCTCTCATTTCAGATGAGACCAGCGCACTCAGGATGCTATGGTCATAGACAACATTCTGTCGTTTCAGACAGTGCCAGATGCTGACATCAAAAATGGGTACAGCTAGCAAGCTAAATTCTGAAAACTCCTCTCCAGCCCTCCATTTTCCTAGGAAACCAGGGTGCTGACCACAGCGGTCGCTAACGCCTCTTCAGAATTCAGCCTTCAGCAATTTTCGTCCTGCCCCTTGTGAATCTATCTGAGTTTTCTCAGTGTTAAGCTACAGAATCCCAGAGTGTGAAAAATAACTTTTCCTGGGGGTCTGATTTGCCATGAGGAGGTCTTCAGTACGAAGGTGAGGAGAGGGAAGGACAGAGGAGAGGTTCCTGCTGTGGGCGTCCCCGCATGGGCTCTGCGCCCAGCATTGCCGGACACAGCACACTCGTGTGGAACACACTGATCCCCAAAATCATTCATTGCTTATCAGAAATTCACTTTTAACTGGGTGTACTATGTTTTATCTGGCAGCTGTATCTAGACCAAGATTTTCGCTGTTAGAAATGATGCTGGAACATCCGCTTCCAGTTGTGAGAAAGTAACCAGATCCGGACCTACACCTGGGTCATTAACAGCTAGAAATCTAGGCAAAAGGCATGAAGCAAGTGCTTATGGCATTGGACAGGCACAGGACAGTGAACCCTGAAAGAAAAGGGAAGGGGATCCCCAAAGGCGCAGCCCTGAGTCCTGGAGAAGCTAGGCAGGGGCAGTTGCAGAATCTGCATATGGCCCTTGGGGCGTGGCGGGAACCAATCCAAGACCATGGGGGCAACAAGCACCAGGAGCTATTAGCCAAACAATTTCCAGAGTTTACAGGGGGCAGAAGTTGAGTTCCAGGGGAAAGACCTCTCACCAAACCCAGAGGGTGGGCATCCAGGAGTGGTCCCAGGGAGGCCAGGCCATAGCGGCAGGTTGCTGCTGCTCCTCCACCCCTGCCGGGTTACAGCCGCTGGGCCCTGACAACTGACCGTGAAGCACACCTGGGCTGCGTTACTTGGAGGCCACCATCCACACATCCCTTTAATGCACCCAGCTCTGTGACCATCTCCTGTTGTCAGCCATGACCTGCAAAAGAGCCACCACTGGATTGGCTCCCATGATCCTGGTGCCTTCTCACCCACACATGCCCAGTGGCCATGGTGGCTGGTGTGTCCTTGCCTGTTACAGCCACCCCAGCATGCCCACCCCGAGTCCCCTCACCCTGCTTCTCGCTGAGTGTGCAGTATGGCCGTTCTTGCGGATGGACAGCTTTTCTCCCTGTTGTGAGAAGCTGGTGTCCTTTCACCTCACGAATCTGCCTTCCCAAAGGCCTTGTACTCCCAGAGGTGAGCTGGGCAGAGTACTTCTTGTAGGCCTTGACCTCACTGTGTCCACCTCGTGCTAGCAAGAATCAGCCCCTTGGCCACAGCTAGTTCTTATGTGGCTGACAAAGGTGGTCAGTCACCAGAAAGCCAGCATCTCCCAGAGATGACTCCACACTGAGGAAGAGAGAGCACACACTTGGGGTGCACCGGTATCTCTGCAGAGCATTCTTAAGACCCTGTCCCTTGCCCCTGATGTCCTCCCTGTCACTGAGCTCTGAGGGTCCTACTTCCTTAGTAGCTCTTGAACCTCACCTGTAACACAGTCTGCTTTTCCTCACCTGTAACACAGCTCTCACTAGCAGCACAGCTCTCACCTACAGCACCACCTCTCACCTGCAGAACCACCTCTCACCTGCAGAACCAGCTTTCATCTGCAGAACCAGCTCTCACCCGCAGAACCAGATCTCACCCGCAGAACCACCACTCACCTGGAGAACCACCTCTCACCTGCAGCACAGCTCTCACCCACAGCACCACCTCTCAGTGGCAGCATCACTTCTCACCTATAGCATCACCTCTCCCCTGCAGCACAGCTTTCACCTGCAGCACCACCTCTTACCCGCAGCACAGCTGTAACCTACAGAACCCGCTCTCACCTGGAGAACCAGCTCTCACCTGCAGAACCACCTCTCACCTGCAGCACAGCTCTCAGCTGTGCAATGGCAACGTTTCCTAAGCAGCCTTTCTCCATTTATTCTTATTCTCTTCTTCACACTGCAGTCAAAACACAAATGTGAACTTGTCATCCCTGAGTGCTTCTCTGCTGCCCCTAGAACAAGACCATGCTCCCACCTAACGTTGCAGAACTGGCACACCCCTGGATGCCTCGGCTTCATCTGCTGCACTGCCTTCCTTCAGACCCCATCCCACCGTGCCATCACCCAGGCCCTTTGTGCCATCAGTTCTGTCCAGATGCTCTTCACTGACTGACCCCCACTCATCCTTCCCACCATTCTAAGCTCCACAGGAAGTCTTCCCAGACCCCTCCCCCAGGAGACGTTCCCAGCGCCCCACAAAGCTCTGGCCATGGTATTTGGATTCCCACACATATTTGTTTAGTTACTTGATGCATGTCTCTCTAGAATACAAACTCCACAAGGGCGGATGTTGTGTGTTTTCACTTAGCACGGTGACTGACACAGAGTAGGAGTTTCATATGTATTTTGGGGAGGGAGAAAGGGAGGGAAGAGGAGGAAGATTTATGTATGAGCCCGACAATCACGTCTTGCACTTCTCGTGGAAGGAGGCCCATGTGGGAGGGGAAATGGGCATGCCAAGGGGCAGGAGAGGACAAGTTAGAACTGCTGGATCAGAGACAGAGTGGCGGAGGAAGTGGATTGAAATTCAAGAGATCCTCGCAAGGGTTCTGGACACGTCCGTGATTACCGGGGCACCTGTTCATCTCCACTGAGCATCTGGGATGTGCTGAGCCCTCTTCCAAGCACTTGGGATACATGAGTTTAAGAAACAAAACGCAGATCCGTTCCTTTCCCTTGTGCAGCTCACACTCCAGAGGGGGCAGACCTAGCATTTTCTCACCTAAAAGACAGGAATAGGCCAGGCACGGTGGCTCACGCCTGTAATCCCAGCACTTTGGGAGGCCGAGGCAGGTGGATCATGAGGTCAAGTGATCGAGACCAGCCTGGCCAACATGGTGAAACCCCGTCTCTATTAAAAACACAAAAATTAGCAGGGCGTGGTGGCAGGCGCCTGTAGTCCCAGCTGCTCGGGAGGCTGAGGCAGGAGAATGGCTTGAACCCGGGAGGCAAAGGTTGTAGTGAGCCAAGATCGTGCCACTGCGCTCCAGCCTGGTGACAGTGTGAGACTCCATCTCAGACAACAAAAACAACAACAACAAAAAGACAGGAATAATCAGAATAATCATCATTTTTACGGGTCATTGTAAGGACTGCACCTGAATGTCTCCACTGGACACCTGGACACTGATCTCAACAGAGCAGGAACGAGCTCTCACCTGCAGCACCAGCTCTCACTGGTGCCATGGGTTCCTTCAACACACACGTCTGAGCTCCCACAATGTGCCTGGCACCACACTAAAATACTGGAGAAACCCAGTTAGCATGATGCCCGCATGGCCCTCATGGTGCAGAAAACAGATGCTCCACATCACGGAGTGGCTGCTCTATTCCAGGCACTCTCAAGTTGCATTGAACATATTTTTTTTCTCATTTTTTACAGAGGTGACTGAGCAATGCATGGAACATTTTTGAAGTCTTCACATATGCTAGACACTGTTTTCTCAACACTAGTCTACATTTAATCTTGACAAGAACCCTGTGAGGAAAGAACTGTCATTATTTCCATTTACAGATGGGGACGGCACAGCTAACAGGGCTGAAACTGAGAGGTAAGCCCAGGCAGGCCGGCTCCGAGACCTCAGGCTAAACCAGCCCCCATGCTGTCTCCTCATTGGAACCTTACAGTCAATTCCGATGCTCAGCAGATGCCTGGAATAGAGACAGTACTTAACAATGCCGAATGGACAAAATGCTATTCACAGATACATAGTCAAACCACACCACATAGGTGAAAATTAAGAGTGTGAAAAATAGTTTACATCCTGTACCTCCAAGAGAAGACACCTCATCCGGCCGCACCGACCTGCGCTTGTCCTCTCAACCGGCCTGCAATGCTCCCGTGTGCACATTTTTGAGTCGAACGTGCCGCTGCACAGCTATTTAAAGAATTTCATTTTCATCTTAGGGTAGCAATAGGACAACAAATTTGTGTTTGAAATGAAGCCAATAAAGACTTTTAGCTGAACATAGATGGATATTTGTATTTTTGAATACCATTTTTAGTTCATCTGACATATGTAGTAGAATTTGTACTTTCAAGTTAATCACCTAATTTTTAAATAAAAAGTGAATATATAAATTATATTTAGTATTTGACCAAAATAAATCAAAAGATTTAATGTCTGAACCTTCTACACTGTAAAATATTGAAGACAGGCTAATCTTAGAGAAGCACTCAACTTACTTCGCAGATAAGGACTCTGTCCTCTAGAGAAGGCAAGCAAGCTGTCTAAAATCACACAGCTAGTTAGAGGCAGAGTTAGGACCACCACCAAAGCATTTCCTATTCAACATGTATTTATTCAGCCTATGCTGAATCAAGAATTGTTCTAAGTACTGAGTTTCTGTATTCCTTCTAATACATTACAAACGTGCCTGTCAGAAATGTTAACAACTCTCTGGTAATATTTGACTTGGCCAATAATGATTTTTTTCATGGATTCAGCAAGCATTTTGGGGTCATATGGGAGGTACTGAAGGGTAAATGGAGATGAAGTAAATGAGGTTTTTGCCTATAAAGAGCTTCGGATCTGGCGGGGCGGCCAGATGTGTGCATGTACGCCGATGATGCTGTATCGCTGCGGATCTCATGGGGGAGCAGAGGACGTTCGGGAGTCAGAAGAGAGAGAGGTTTCTTTCACCAGGAAAATCCCAGCACTGCTGGTCCAGGTGAGGCAGCACCCGAATGGACAGCACCCAGAGACCACTGAAGGACTGAAGTGTGGCAGCAGCTCTGCAGCCTGTCCCCGAGTGAGTCACAGAGAGGATGGCTGGGAGGGACACCAGGCTAGAGGAGCAAGCCACAGTGAGGACAGGACAGTGGAGGCAGAACAGCGGCTCTTCCACCACGTGAATTCATGCAAGTCACTTTCTAAGCCCCAGTTTTTCAATCTATAAAATGGGCCACATAATCGAATAAACTCTGAAGCACTATCCCAGTGGAACAGTTGCTGTTGACCTAGCAAAGGCTGAACAGGGCATTATTAGTGTTACAGGAATGGAGAAACTTTTCATCCCAAAACCAAGTTAGACCTATGTAGTATTTGTGAGGTATTCACGTATTACTGCTTCAGAGTTCATTCCTTATCCGCATCCAGTTCAGTGTGGTAAGCCGTGGGTTAGAAGCCCAGCTGCATCAGAAGACTGGGCATTTTTCCTTCCATAACTGAGCACTGTGGATGGGGCTCCTGGTTTAGGAGGTGCCCATGGAAGGAAGAATCACAGGCCAGGACAAAGGGGTTACATTCTAGATTCTTGCCGTTTCCTTCCTGCCTGGCCTCGGGGAGTTGACTCAACCTCTCTGAAATTCAGTCTCCTCATCTGTAAAATGGAGCTGCTTCGGATCTACCTGACGTGGTAATTCTGAGAATGGAGCGAGACAGGATGTGTAAAGTACAGCAAAGGGCCAGGCGTGCACCTGCTTAGGGGAGGTCACTAAAGTGGAAGAAACACGAATGACCTAGACATCTCACCTGGTCAGACAACAAAAGCAGACATCAATGCAGAACAGCATCAATGAGGAAGAAGCACTTTTGAGGATCAAAAAAAGTCCTGTTCAATTTACAATCAGCTGGCTCCCCTGTTGTCCTTGTCGTAATCACCTGCCTCTGATAAAGGCCGGGGAGCCCAGCCCTCTAAGCTATAGCCCACAGGGGAGCCCAGCCCTCCAAACTATAGCCCACAGGGGAGCCCAGCCCTCCAAACTATAGCCCACAGGGGAGCCCAGCCCTCCAAGCTATAGCCCACAGGGGAGCCCAGCCCTCTAGTTGCTGGTAAACAGACCACATCCTTGAAAAGTTCTTGCTTATGTTAGCTCTCCCATGTGGTTTTAAATCATGGAGCTTCCAAATCGTTGCTAATTCTTTCCTCATTTTATAGGTCAAGAAATCAAGCCAAGAAAGGCTGGGGAAGCTGAGATCCCACAGTGGCTGGTGGTGGAGCTATTGGGCTCACAGGCCTGCTTTCCAAAGCTTGTTACAAACTAATTGCTGGGGTGAAGCTGGAGCTGAAGCCCTGGGCCACTGTGCTTGGGCTCCCAGTCCAAGCATAACCCCTGTACTCAGGACAGAGCCACAGTAATGGCTGTGGGGAAGTGGATGGGGAGGATCCTAGAGATGAAAGGCCCCCGAATAGCAACATCATAAGATTTGGGGACTCCTGCCACCTCCACCCCAAGTCACCCAGCAACCCTGAGCTCTGTGAATGGGGACTCACTCTTGAGTGGCATTAATTCCTTATGGCAAATGCCCAGGAACTTCAAACAGATGAGCTTGGCATTAAGAACGCCTTGCTGAGTGTGACCTCCACCAGACACCCTATCAGGCTTCAAACCAGAGGAAAAATAGGAATAAAATATTAGGGGTGAGGAGGATTAAAATGATTATCCTGCCAAACATTATCAAATTTGATGATGGTATGGCACACTGTCCTTAGCACTTTACTTACACAACCTCGGTTGATTCTCATAGCAGCCATGACAGATACACTCTCCCCAGTTCCTCCCCCTCTATAGACACGGGAACTCAGAGTGCCTTCTGTGTGCTGGGTGTGATACGTGCTCCACTTGGTCTGTGGTGGAACATTTCAGGAGGGTCATTGCCAAATAATGAGTGGTGAAAATTAAATGAGAAAATGTGTCTACAGCGATTTCAGCACAGTGCTATAACGCCATCTCCAAAGCGTTCACTATTACTCGGTGCTCATTTTAAGTTTGACTCCAAAGCAATCACCAGTAGGTCCTGATTAACTTCAAAATTATTTCCAAATTTTGAAATTATGTAAATACAAAAGGATCATAATCTGAGAAGCAAAGAATATGGGGCCTGGGCAATTTAGAGACTTCTAATAAGTCAGACATTGTGAGGGCTTTTTTTAGCAGTCATTCAGGAGGGAGGGAGACAGGAAATCAAGATCCCATGAACAAGCAGGCCAGCAGATTTCTTCTGGCTGAGCGCTGAGCAGCCCCGGGGGCAGGGCTGCGTCTCTTGAGTGCAGAGCTGGGCCTTGTCATCCTCCTGCACACTGTGCCTGGCACACAGAGAATGGCCCCAGGTATGTGAAGAGTAAAGAAAAAGCAGATAGTTTCAAATAGATCCTTGCTGTGAACTCCAGGAAGCTGCCAGAATTTCCCATCCACAATAATTACTATAAAGCCCCAGCAAACAATCATACTTAGTTTCGCTCAAAAACAATAGGAATGAAAAAGAAACTGCTAAATGACACCAGTGGACAAGTGTTGCCAGCACCGATGGTACGCAGTGACTTTCTGCCAGGTTTGTAATTGCAGGTATTACCTACATTCAGAGGCCTGTGGCCATTTCTATGCAAAATCCAGGCACCTAAATGCCTAGAAGGATGAGAATTAAGGAACGGGGGAAAAACAGCCTATTTTCTTCTCAGAATTATATCATTAGAGTACAAAGGCAAGAGGGAAACCTACCCAGAAATATATAAATATAAAACTATATATACACATTATACCTACATAAGCTAATTATAGAACAGAATTGCTACCGGGGGATATTTCCATTTCCTTACCATTTCACTAATTGCCTTGGTAATTATGCTTATAAGACTATAAGGCACTAATGTGGAATAACAGTTTTAAATTACGATGGAAGTTTGAGACTGCGGGGACAGGATCAAGTACAGTGAGCTGCATTTCTGCAGAACCTCTTCCAGCCATTTTGCCCACAGACTTATTTAGATTTCACACCGTTACAAACACCGGGAATTAAAGTCTATGGCAAGTTTTTAAGCTAATTTTTCAAACTGGTGTACAAAAAGTATATAAGTGCTTGAATGTTTAGAAGTGGCTCATTTCACATTCACAGATTTTTTTCGACTTTCCAATCCCTGGAATGACGGAACCACGAACGGATTTCACTGTTAAGTCACTTCACCCTGCCTGTGCAGAACACTTCACAGGAAGCTCCTGCCCTTCCGGCTTCCAGATAAAATCCTGATGACAATGTGTGATCTCATCCCAAAAAAGGCTAAAAACCGGCACCGAAGGTGCCTCATTGTAACTCAATGGAAGCAGAGATCTGAACAAAATCAAACGTAAAAGCTGTTGTGAGGCTGAGCTTTAGAAGCTCGTGAGCGCCACTTCCTTGGAAGCAAAACAACGGCTGCATTTAATGTCATGCTGCATTTGTATGTGATTTATTTCCGCAGTCCCAATTTATCTTTCTTAGAAGTAATAAATTGAGCCCCTTGATTTTTCTGGCGTGCCTAGGCATGAGGATTTGCTGTTGTGTCCAACTGTCTTTACATTTGAGTGCACACAAATTCAGTCTTGATGGAGGTCTGACCCTTATTAATTCACTTGACCAGGCTGGAAAACTGCTCTTCAAGAAAGGATGAAAAAAAAAATCCCCTAGTTCACAAACTAAGAATTGTCAATATAATATATATTGGGAAAATCAGACCAAAGAAAAGAGTAGTTCAACACTTACCACTCAATGAACACCCAGGCCCTCTCACAATTTCAATGCAATTGATAAAAAGTTGTTAAAATACTTCTTTTAGGATGAAGTTTCTCTTTCCACTACAACTGAGAAATGCTGATCAAATCATGTGCTGGCCTCCGCTGCCTGATGCATCCTAAAGCTTGGGATGGTCTTTACATTTTGAAATTAAATTAGGACACTGAATTGCAAAGTGCTTGTGTAGCGTGATGTATTCTCCACAAAGACCCCAAAGAAATAAATATTCCAAACCTTCTAGCCAAGGTTGACCTATCGATCCAGGAGGAAAGGGCATTCTAAAAGGCAAAGCATTTTAAAAAATTAACACCACCCAGATGCACCTTAATGCTTTTAAGAAATGTCTTTGGCAGATGAAACATCAGTCTTAAAGAATTAGAGAAGAAAAGTCAGCTTATGGTAGGAAAAAAAAAAAAAGAAGAATGCTACTTAGAAAGCACAGCATACCTTCCCATAAGATGATCCTGCCTCAAAGGGAAGGGAAAACGAAAACAGAAAGAAAAAAAAAAAAGAAGGAATGAAGCTTTCTTTAAGGATTACAGAATGACCATGCTTCAGCGGGCACGGCATTCCCACAGCGCTCCTCACACTGGAATGAGAGGGGAAAGGCAAAGGTCACATGGTCTGCCACGGAGGTCTCGGCCTTCTACAGCACTAGCTCCATTTATAAACACCCAAGGCATTGAATGAAAAGAATGGAAACTCATTTATGTTTTGGAAAATATAATTGGGCCTGTGTACTCTAAGGAGAAGGCCACAGGAAGCCCAGAAGAGGCCGACCACTGAAGCTAACGAGGGCCAGAGGCTGTGCACAGGGGCGGGCGTGTCTTGTGCAGAGCCCCACACCAAGGACAGGGGAGGGCCTGTGAGGCTTCACACCCTCAGAGAGCTATGAAATGGGAAGCTCTAAGCACTGCCACAGCCTCTCCAGAATCCAAACGAGGTGTGCTCAAAGGTCGTGTCTGTTCCTAAGGCTTGACTCTCACTTTATGATCTAGGTTTCGACATTAAAGAGTAACTCTTTGCTGTGAAAAGAAGGCTTGAAAAGAAGGCTCCAGGTTTCCATTTTCATCTCATGGTTCATTTCCCCCTGATCAACCTTGCTTACCGGTGTCTACCCAAGATATCATGCCTGTGGTTTGCAATATGATGAGGCAGGGACTTATTTACAGTGTCCCTCAGCTAGGGACATCATGGTCAGGTTAACCCAGTGAGAAAAGTCACTAAGACCGTTGCATCAAATGTCACATCAAAAGCTGCTGGTTTCCATTCTGCATGGCCATTTAAGTGGTGTCCCATAACCACAAGATAACTCCCCTGTCACTCTCTGAAAAGTTTAGACCAAAAGAAATGTGTGGCCAGGCACGGTGGCTCACACCTGGAATCCCAGCACTTTGGGAGGCTGAGGTGGGCGGATCACCTGAGGTCAGGAGTTCGAGACCATTCTGGCCAACATGACGAAACCCCATCTCTACTAAAAATACAAAAATTAGCCAGTCATGGTGGTGCATGCCTGTAATCCCAGCTACTTGGGAGGCTGAGGCAGGAGAATCACTTGAGCCCAGGAGGCGGAGGTTGCAGTGAGCCAAGACTGCACCATTGTACTCCAGCCTGGGTGACAGAGCGAGACTCTGTCTCAAAAAAAAAAAAAAAAAAGAAAAGAAAAAGAAAAAGAAAAAAGAAATGTGCATGTGTATGTGTTTTACTATAATGAGATGTTCAAATTTTAACTACTGTTTCATCTCAACTAACATTTACTTAGCACTTAATATATGCCAGGCATGTTGATAAGTGGGCTTCAAATATCAAGATGAAAAATACATTTTCTTTGCCTATATGGAGTTTACCATTGTCTGTACCAATTGCAAGTCCTAGAGCCACAATTCTATTCTAACAGAGAGTTTTGGATTGCAGAACATCAAGACCCTAATTGAAAAGTTAATAACTTCAGAGACTGTTACACACCATAATGAAAGCCAGCCGATAGAAGATGGGGCCCTTGCCTTCCCATTTACAAATGCAGTTCTTTCCACTACCATTTGATTTTCTTTGACCTTAAATTCCAAGCCAAACTCTTAACATTTGGTCCAGGAAACTCAAACACATAACTAAGACTCTTATTTTTACCTCGAGATTTCTAAATCCTCTAATGTTTATGAGGCAAGGAAGTCCCATGTGGGTCAGGTGACTTTGATGGGGGTTTGGGCAGAGAGCAGACAGTCCCTGGAAGCAACAGGTCCAGGTGGGCATGAGGAAGGGTGGCCAGCTCTCATGGCTGGTGACAACCTCTCCCACCAGCTCAAACCCCTGCCACCAAGCCTTTGTGAGTCTTTCCTCAGCCCCTCTCAGGGACTTCCCTGTTGAGAAGTTTTGAAATGTATAAATGATGGCAGAGACTAAATTCTGTCCACTTAGCCCCACCCTTCCCAGTTGCTGATTCTTCCCTCTGGCCCATCCTGTCTGCTCTGCCCCTGCTTGTGGCTTTGTCCCCTGGCCATTAATGTCCCCTGCCCCTGCCACAGGGGCAGCCATGCCCTCACACCTGATGGGAGGGAGGATCTTCTCCATCTCTCCCAGTCTAGTCTTCACCTTCCAGGCCCCACCACGCCTGGCTGGTCCCTGGAACTACACCTCTGATGCAAATCAGCTCTGTGTGCATGTGTCACCATGCACCTTGCCTTTGCTTCCCAATTTTTCCTACCTCTTATGACTTACTGAGAAAATCAGTTCCAGTGGCTGCCTCTGTGCCTGGAGAGGAAGGTTGGATGGAAGGGAACCTGCTCAGTAAAGAGGCATGGAGGGTAGGACAGGGCCCTGTCTGAGAGCTGTCCTCCTCTTTACACTCCAGTTGTAATAAGGAAAATACTCAAGAATGATCACGGTGTTCCCATGTGTCACCTCTTTCAAGAAGCATTTCTCGGCCTCTGAGGCAGAACTCCTGCCACTGAAGTCCTGGAGCCACTGGGACCTTTCACCTCATGGTGTGCTCATGAGCAAGCTGGCCGTCTTTTCTAGACAGTGAGTTCTCTAAGGTGGAGCTGTCACCACTGTCACCTTCCCAACCTGCCCCATCACAAGGCCTGGCACAGAGCAGCACTAAATAGTTTATAATCGATGAATGAATAAGTCATAGCCTTTATAAATTCTGTTCAGAATTTAGAGGAAAGAAGTCTTTTCTGGCTTTATGAAAGATGATACAGTTTGGCTGTGTCCCCACCCAAATCTCAACTTGAATTGCATCTCCCAGAATTCCCAAGTGTGGGAGGGACCCAGAGGGAGGTAATTGAATCATGAGGGCCAGTCTTTCCTGTGCTATTCCAGTGGTAGTGAATAAGTTTCACAAGATCTGTTAGGTTTATCAGGGGTTTCCACTTTTGCTTCTTTATTTTTCTCATGCCGCTGTAATGTAAGAAGTGCCTTTCACCTCCTGCCATGATTCTGAGGCCACTCCAGCCATGTGAGACTATAAGTCCAATTAAACTTCTTTTTTTGTAAATTGCCCAGTCACAGGTATGTCTATATCAGCAGTGTGAAAACGGACTAACACAGTAAATTGGTACCAGTAGAGTGGGGCACTCCTGAAAAGATACCCGAAAATGTGGAAGCAACTTTGGAACTGGGTACCAGGCAGAGGTTGAAACAATTTGGAGGGCTCAGAAGAAGATAGGAAAATGTGGGAAATTTGGAACTTCCTAGAGACTTGTTGAATGGTTTTGCCAAAAATGCTGATAGCAATATGGACAATAAGGTCCAGGCTGAGGTGGTCTCAGATGGAGATTAAGAACTTGTTGGGAACTTGAGTAAAGGCTACTCTTGTTATGTTTTATCAAAGAGGCTGGCGGCATTTTGCCCCTGCCCTAGAGATTTGTGAAACTTTGAACTTGAGAAAAGTGATTTAGGGTATCTGACAGAAGAAATTTCTAAGCAGCAAAGCATTCAAGGGGTGACTTGGGTACTGTTAAAGGCATTCAGTTTTATAAGGGAAGCAGAGCATAAAAGTTTGGAAAATTTGCAACCTTACTAGGCAATAGAAAAGAAAAACCCATTTTCTGGGGAGAAATTCAAGCCAGCTGCAGAAATTTACATAAGTAGCAAGGATCCTAATGTTAACTCCCAAGACAATGGGAAAATGTCTCCAGGCCATGTCAGAGACCTTCACAGCACCCCCTCCCATCACAGGCCCAGAGGCCCAGGAGGAAAAAATGGTTTCATGGGCTAGGTCCAGGGTCTCCATGCTGTGTGCAGCCTAGGGATTTGGTGCCCTGTGTCCCAGCCACTCCAGCTATGGCTGAAAGGGAGCCAATGTACAGCTCGGGTTGTGGCTTCAGAGGGTAAAAGCCCCAAGCCTTGGCAGCTTCCACATGGTACTGAGCCAGTAGGTCCACAGAAGTTAAGAATTGAGGTTTGAGAACCTCCACTTAGATTTCAGAAGATGTATAGAAATGCCTGGATGTGCCGGCAAAAGTTTGCTGTAGGGGTGGGGATCTCATGGAGAACCTCTCCTAGGGCAGTGCAGAAGGGAAATGTAGGGTTGGAGTCCCAACACAGAGTTCCTACTGGGGCATTGCCTAGTGGAGTTGTGAGAGAGGGCTGCCATCCTCCAGAACCCAGAATAGTAGATCCACAGACTGCTTGCACTGTGTACCTGGAAAAGCCACAGACACTCAGTGCCAGCCCATGAAAGCAGCCAGGAGGGAGGCTGTAGCCTGCAAAGCCACAGGGGTGAAGCTACCCAAGACCATGCTCACCCATCTCTTGCATCGGCATGACCTGGATGTGAGACCTGGAGTCAAAGGAGATCATTTTAGAGCTTTAAAATTTGATTGCCCCACTGAATTTCGGACTTGCAAGGACCCTGTAACCCCTTTGTTTTGGCCAATTTCTCCCATTTGGAATGGCTGTATTTACCCAATACCTGAATCCCCATTGTATCTAGGAAGTAACTAGCTTGCTTTTGATTTTACGGGCTCATAGGTGGAAGGGACTTGCCTTGTCTCAAATGAGACTTTGTACTGTGGACTTTTGGGTTAATGCTGAAATGAGTTAAGACTTTGGGGGACTGTTGGGAAGGCATAATTGGTTTTGAAATGTGAGGACATGAGATTTGGAGGGGCCAGAGGCAGAATAATATGGTTTGGCTGTGTCCCCACCCACATCTCAATTTGAATCATATCTCCCAGAATTCCCACGTGTTGTAGGAGGGACTCAGGGGGGGTAATTGAATCATGGCAGCTGGTCTTTCCCATGCTATTCTTGTGATAGTGAATAAGTTTCACGAGATCTGATGGATTTATCAGGGATTTCTGCTTTTGATTCTTCCTCATTTTCTCTTGCTGCCACCATGTAAGAAGTGCCTTTCACCTCCTGCCATGATTCTGAGGCCTCCCCAGCCATATGGAACTGTAAATCCGATTAAACCTTTTTTTCTTCCCAGTCTTGGTTATGTCTATCAGCAGCATGAAAATGGACTAATACAAAAGACATGGGACTGTGTAAGAAAACTGGTGAGGCAGGGGTGGGCATTCCCTTCACTATGGAAGAGATTTTGTCCTCCGAGTACCCAGAGCCAAGCCTCTCTGCTAAGCTTCAACAGTTTGCAAAAAATTGCAAGTTAATCTTTGAGTGGCTCCTTCACCGATAATTCTCCAATTCAGCTGTAAATTGGAGAGCAAGCACTAGGGTGGGTATGAACAAGTTATCCCAGGATACCAGGCCAGGAAAGAAGAGAGAAGGGGAGAAAGAGGAGAAGAAAGAGTAAGGGAGGAATGGAAGCAGAAGGGAGGGAAGGAAGAGAGGGAGGAAGGGAGGGAAAAACGGAGGGAAGAAGGGAGGCAAGATGGAGAGAGGGAAGAAAGGAGGAAAACCCTCCCAGACAGCTCCACCCTCAACCTCTGAATGAAATTCCAATGAGCAAATGCCTCTAAAGCATGGCTGTCCAGTAGAAATATTGCGTGAGCCACACAGGTTTTAATTTTCTAATAGCCACATCTTAGAAAGTAGAAAGAGTCAAAATTAATTTTAATTATATAGTTTGTAGTTAACCCAATATACACAAAAATATGATCACTTAAACATAAAATCAATGTAAAACATCATCAATGAGCTAGCTTCCCTTCTTTTTCCCCACTAAGTCATGGAAGTGCTCTCCTGTGGAATTATGGCATAGTAAATAAATTCCATTGAATGTCTCTCTCTAAACAGGGCCAGATTCTTTTCCTTGAACAAAATCTTTTCACCTGAATCTACAACATTGGTTTTACCTTGACCGGATTTAGAGACCTTACTAGGAAAGTGAACTGAGACATCTCTCCTTAATCACATGTCCACAGGGTCATCACTCAGAGAATGGCCTGCATTTGTAATGTGCTAAAGCTCACTCCATTGAGCACACCACTGGGCCAGGGCTCTGTGCAGCCCCACCCAGTGGACTCGCCCTCAAGGCAAGGATCGGCTCCCAGCCTGGAGGTCTTCACTGTACCCTCTATGAAGTACCAAGGGGCAATGCAAAAACAAAAAGTGCACTTCCATGTCCCTCCCTCTGCTTTTGCACAATATCTCTAGGTAACTTGGGTTGATTTATTTATTTTTGTTCTTTGCTAATTTAATTCTGAGGCTGTTCTCTCTTTAGTACCAGCAAGGGGTGAGTCTGCCTGTCCCAGGCATCTCCAGGGTGGTTCTGGAGGTTGGTACAGGGGCTCTGCTCCTGCCCTTTTCAAGTTGGCCTCATTAGCAGGACAGAATCGCCTTGCCTTCTGGTCCTCCAGAATTTCCTAAAAGACTGAGTGAGTTCCATACAGGTTTATCTCTGCCGAATGTGAACGATTTGAAGCTACTATGCTGAAAACTTCACTGAAATAATGGCACTGTATCCTGAACTTCAACAGTAAGGGATATGATCAAAGAACTCAAAACTCTATTTAAAGATTAACCAAACTTCCACCTGTTTTTTTGTTGTTTTTGTTTTGTTTGTTCGTTTTTGAGACGGAGTTTTGCTCTCATTGCCCAGGCTGGAGTGCCGCGGTGCAATCTCGGCTCACTGCAACCTCCGCCTCCCGGTTTCAAGCGATTCTCCTGCCTCAGCCTCCCAAGTAGCTGGGATTACGCACCACCGTACCCGGCTAATTTTTTGTATTTTTAATAGGGACTGGGTTTCGCCATATTGGCCAGGCTGGTCTTGAACTCCTGACCTCAGGTGATCCACCTGCCTTGGCCTCCCAAAGTTCTGGGATTACAGGCGTGAGACACCGTGCCCAGACCCACCTTTTTGACTCTGAGCACGGTGTAGGCAGCCCACAGAGAAGTTCTGATAGAGGAAGGGTGTCTCTGGGATGCCCAGCTGTGAGGAATCAGGAAAGAAGTCTTAACCTCAGCACAAGCAGCTGGGGGCTCTGCACACTTGGCTTTGAGAGTAGATGGCAAAGATGATATGTGACAATGAGGTCCTGAGTTACTGCTCTGATCAGCCAGGTATGCTGCGGCAGGCTTCCCTTCAGGCTGTAAGCCTGGTCCACGAAAAGGCTTGGCACTTTCCGTTTTGTTTTGGTTTTTTGGTGTTTTTTTTCTTTTTTTTTGAGATGGAGTCTTGCTCTGTCCCCCAGGCTGGAGTGCAGTGGCGCTATCTCGGCTCACTGCAAGCTCTGCCTCCCGGGTTCAAGCCATTCTCCTGCCTCAGCCTCCCGAGTAGCTGGGACTACAGGTGCCCGCCACCACGCCTGGCTAATTTTGTGTATTTTTAGTAGAAATGGGGTTTCACTGGGTTAGCCAGGATGGTCTCAATCTCCTGACCTCGTGATCCGTCTGCCTCGGCCTGACAAAGTGCTGGGATTACAGGTGTGAGCCACGGCACCCGGCCAGTGCTTTCTTTTTTAATTAAATGATTGTAACTGAGAAAGAGGAAGGGGAAGAAGAGCAGCCTTTACTTTGGTACTCTGAAAATGATACTACGGAAGTTGTTGTTTTCAGTTATATTTAAACGTAGTCTTATATTTAAGAAATATGATATCTGAAAGAACCCATTTTCTGGTGTTCCCAGCTGTTCTATGTCATAAGCTAAAAATTGATGTTTACCTCCCTTCTAGGTCAAGAGTAAGCAGCACCATGCCACTTACATGACAGATTTCTCTCACTAGGTAATGAGAATTGAGCCCGAATGGGCGTCTGAAACTGTGTCTTAGCCCATTGACTATATAGTAGCTTGTCCCAGCAGGAAAATCCACCTTGAGAAGCCAGAAGCCAGTCGTGAAGGTCATGAATGATGACAGACCCGTTTTATTTATATTTTGTTTCTTCTGTTGTAATGCTATAAGCCCCCTGTTTTTATATGGCAGTTCTTTGGGAATACATTTTAAACATTTCTCAGAAAAATCAGGCCTACAGTTCAGTGATGCACTATATCTTTTCATGTAATATTCATTCAACAAATCTCCATAAGCCTAAGGCCCGAGATGCCTCGCACACCATCCATGATGGATTCCCGCTGGAATGCACCCACTACTGGGCAGTGGACATGTTTTAGAAGCCTCTCGATTACCACAGAAACAAATCTTTTACTTTAATCCACTCTCGTTTTTCTGTTCTGTTATTCTGCTCTCGCTGCATTATGACATATGCCAAATAGGTAAGGTGGAGGGCAGGTCTTCAGGGGCATGTTACGTCATAGACTATGTGGGTTTGCTGTTGTCATTTGCTTGAGTTTTAGGGCTAGGTTAGACCAAAGTTGGTTTTTCAGCAACCAAAGATTGCCAATTAAAGCCTGTCTCCTTGGGTGCACCATTATCTCTGGGTCTGTTTGTTTAAAACTGCTATTTAACCCAACATCTTTTCCCATAGTGAAGGTGCCATCCTGGGTTGCGGGGGGCAGGGGCACCCATTTGAAGTACACACTTCATAATAAACAGTGTGATTCACAGCCCCCCATAAGCACTTCAATATGACCTCCACCCTCAAAACCAAGCAGGCTGTTTTCGAAGTGGTCACTTTGTAGAATACCATGTAATAAGTCACCTAGGAAACAACCTCCTAAAATGTCTGTGACAAAAGTAAATGCAATCAAGGGCCCAATCCTGCAGCTTCGTGCTGCAGACCCACCCGCCCTCCCTCCTGTGTGCATTGCTTGCTGCTGCTCCCGGGGGACCTGCCTGTACCCTCTCTGCTGAGTGCCCTGTTAGCCAACTGTTCCTCCTGCTCTTCTTGGTGGAAAATAAGGACAACCTTCCCTAGAGCGGTGAGCAACTTAAATATCAAAGTGAGAACTCCAGCGTGAAGAACCAATCAGCTCTGTGCACAACTAGAGAAAGGGCGGAAACCTGCGCATTAGCAGGAAGCAGAGAACAGACCACGAGGAGGAGAGGATGAGCTGAGTGTGCACTCCTGGTAAGAAAATCATCTTCATCCAAGAGAATACTCTCTGGGGGTGATGAGAAATTATGGGACATTATTGAACTTGGGTGATTCAACCAACCTATAAATTAAACATGTAATGTTTGAAGATTTGCCCCTTTTATTCCAATTAAAACATCCTCCTGATATATTATAGACTGTTTGCAGTTGAGGGCCCCTGAGCTATGTAATATTCTCCTCCAGATTTCTTGGTAGGGGCCTTAATTAAAAGGAATATGAATGCCAGGCACCCCCAAGAATATAGTTCAGGCATTTTTGCCGGTGTTTGGGCCCCAAAATTATCTTTACT
The DNA here is from genome assembly GCF_000001405.40 of Homo sapiens. Taxonomy (NCBI): domain Eukaryota; kingdom Metazoa; phylum Chordata; class Mammalia; order Primates; family Hominidae; genus Homo; species Homo sapiens. Next base: position 3,903,213 of record NC_000002.12, on the reverse strand, counting down.
TGGGCTCATTTGAATAACTAACTCTCTCCAACATAGTCTTTTAACTCCTGAGTGTTCCTGGGCAAAGGCAGCAGAGCTTTGGGGATGGGATGCGGAAGCAGAGGGGCTCATTCCGTCTGAGCCCAGGGGGAGGCAACTCCAGGAATCACATCCAGGAAGGGTGTCATTGTCAATGCTGGGGAAGTGAACCCAAGCAAGGGCCTCAATCCATAGGCATGAAGTACAGAACCGAGCAGAGGGCAGATCACAAACCTAGAAAAGCCCAGAATGTCACAGCACAGAGGGTACAGATGAGAGACCAGGGGTCGTCACCTGCAGCCACTTTTCCTGAACCTCATCGTGAATGTGTTAGATAACTCATCTAAAGGTATCAGGTCAGCATGACTATCAAACCTGTATTATGTTTCAAGAACAGTGACAGAGCAAGACTCTGTCTCAAAAAAAAAAAAAAAAAAAAAAAAAAAAAAAAAAAAAAAAAAGAACAGTGTTATCTCCAGAGCAGAAATATTCACAAATTGACCCACAAGCTGAGAATGTTTATTCACAAAAAGTCAGAAATGTCCAAAACTAATTCTGTAATGGTGCTTTTCTAATCTATACCATTTAGAAATGTGATAGGCTGAATGTTGATGTCCCCCAAAATTCAGTTTGAAATCCTAACACCCCAGGGTTGAGGGCTTGTGAACATTTGTTAACAGTGGCCACAGGAAGCTAAGCCGCTGGCCTTCCAGCATTGAAGGCTGAACCTTCCTCTTGTGGTAACTTCTATGCCACACTGAAGCATTGTGCACAGTGCTCACTACCGTGTTTATAGCTACAAGTCCGGAAGTGCAATGTTAGGCGTGGCTCTCGCCGCTTTCCCAGAATTGGCCTGGACCTTCAGCCAAGATGCTGGTATTTGAAGACTTCATCAGCCAATCACATATTTTGCCAAATGTTCCAAACAACAGCTCAAAGCACAGCCGACACTGGATGTGGGGAGGAGGCCAGCAGCACCTCTCTCACATCACATTGGGAGTGTTTGTCTTTCCACATCTGCCAGTAGATTATCAGCTTCCTGAAGGTACTGATGAGATCGTGGTTGCTGTTTTATTCCCAAATAGATGCTGGGAATACAGTAACTAACCTAATTCACAGGCCCTGTCTATCCTTAGGAACTTAGAGTTTGGCAAAAAGACATTTTTTCATATTATCTGATCTATGTGACTGGTTCATATTAATAAGTCCTCAATAAATCTTTTCTGAATAAATAAACGGAAATGTTGAAGATGAGAAATTCACGTAAATGAATGCCTAAAGCACCAGCAGAAGTTCATTACCCATAAAGGGCGCCTTGTGCGGGATGATTCCGATACCCCAGTGGCTTCTGCTATCTCAGCCACAGATGTGCAAACACCTCAGGGCGTTGACCCCTTAAAGCCTCAGCCAGAAGTAGTGCCTGATGATGGGTAGCAAATGGGATAAAGCAATGTAGCAACAGTAGGCTATATGGTGCCAATTCTCCTTGGAGAAAATATAAAAGTTCTAAAAAAATGTTGATAAAGAATCCATATTCTAAGTGCGTCAGCAGTAGCTCAGTGGGCGGTGGAGATTGGTCTCATATAGAGGAATTGAGGAATGCAGTTCTGGGAGAGAAGGATGCCCCGAGTACTTTCAAGTAAAAGTGGTACTAGAGGAAAACAGGAGCCAGGCTCCTCACTACCCAAGAAGGGAGTTACTCACACAAACACGGGGAAAACAGGAGTGGCCCTGTGGTGTTGAAGGGAATTAGAGGTGTGGCATGAATGCCTGGTTTTTAATATGTACGTATAGAGATGGGTCTAGAACATGTAACATGTAGAGTTACATACATGTGCTAAGTCTCTGTAAATGTCCCAATTTGACTGTGCAGGCTGTCCTTCTTGAGAGTGGACACAGTTGAAGCCCAGGGAGACAGCATGACAGAGCTCGGCTCAGGTGGGTACAGACAAAACCAGACCCCATTTTTACCATTCTTGCAGCCTCTCTATAAGCTAGAAATTAGTTGTTTAATTCATATTGATGTGGAAACATTCCAGGGGAGAACTATTTGGTTGGAGTTGGGCTTCCTCTTGACATTATTTGAGTAGCCTCAGTTTCTGTAACTGGTGCCTGCTGCAACCGTGGACTGCTGTGCTCGCTGCCAGCCCCATGTGGAGGCATTGCCAGGCTGGTGGGTGCTCCAGCACCAGCTTATCCAGGCTTGTTTGAGTGGGGTCCTGAGTGAGCTGTCACCATAGTGCTGCATCATCCTTGACAAACAGCTGGGCTGCAAGCATAGTGCCCACAGCAAGGTTTGAAAGGGGATACACAGAACTTGGACCACTGGCACACCAGCGGGTCCTCTGCCCTGCTTAGCTGGAAGCCACAGGCAGGAATGGATTCATGTTCCAGAAGCCCTACCTGGGCCATTCTCTCCTCGACCATGAGGACAATCAGACAATACCGACAATAACTCAATGCTCTGTGGCCCCCGCTTCTGTTTAACCACAAACATCAGTCTTTCCTGGGACCCATAGAACTGTGCCAAGACAGATCTCCACCACTCTAACAGGAGTGGTTGATCCCTGTGAAAACTGGGCCAACATGGAGGTGCCTACACCAGGGACATCCCCAGGTTGATGTGCAAAATGCATCCTTAGGCGTGCCCTTCCCAGGGCCTCACGGGTGGTGGTGACCTCTCAAGGAATCTTTGGGGCCACAGAATGAAAGAAGCAACGACTCCTCTCTGGTTGGCACAGTTTCGGAAGTAGACCCGCCTAGAAATATACAATGTGTGGTGCCTGCCCTGGCTCAGGCCCCACAGATTTTAGTGCAGTGATTTCAGGCAGGGCTAACCTCAGAGTCTCTTTGCACCAACACGAAACTGTCTTCTGAAAGCATGTTTTCTCTTCCCAGATTTTAAAGGTTGTCCCCTAGTGGTCCAACTGGTTACAGAAATGTGCTAATTTATATAAAACATTGCTAATTTCTCTCTGATTCCATCCTCAATTCCCATCAACTTCTGTGTGGATTTACATAGTATCCTGCTTTCAAGGCAATATCAGGAATTCTGTGTTTCCTATCTTTAGACAATGCTAAATTTTTCCTGGGCTCAAAAACAGATTCAAACCCACTTACCTCCTTCATACATAGTTCAGGCAGAAAAGGGAGAAATACTTACTATGAATTGCTTCATGTATATGTGATTTCAATTCCACAAGACCATGGGAAATATTAGAAAACCAGAGGGGCCAAGATAGCTGATTAGAAGCAGCTGTGATTCACAGCACTCATGAAAGGGAATGAAAGAAGTGAGTGAATTCAGCACCTTCAACTAAAATTTCCAGGTTCTCGCATTGGGACTGATGAGGCAAACAACTCAACCCACAGAAAATGAAGAAAAGCAGGGTGGGGCAACAGCCCACCCAGGAGTGGCACGGAGCCAGAGGAACCCCCACCTCCAGCTAAGGGAAGTAGTAAGTGATTGAGTGATCCTGCCCAGGAAACCACACTTATCCCACAGATCCTTGCAACCCACAGAACAGGAAATCCCCTTGTGAGCCCACACCACGAGGGCCTTGTGTCCGATACACAGAGCTGTGTGGAGTCTGCAAAGCAGCTGCTCAGGCACACACAGAGACCCAGTTTTATATAATCTGGCCCCAGGAACCCCAGCAAGTTAGGAAATTTGTCTGTGCAAATTCCTAGGAAGGGGGTTAAATCAAGGGAGACAAGTAGCATCATTCTACAGGCCCTGCTTCCATAGCACCTCACAAGTTAAGACACACTGGTTTGGAATTCCAGCCAGCCAATGGCAACAGGCTGGAGTCTTCCTGAGAAAGGACCAAGTTCCCAGGGGGAGGGGCAGCCACCATCTCTGCAGTTTGGTAGACTCAGCAATTCCAGACTGCTTGCTTTGGAGAATACAAATGGTCCAGACGAGAAAGGATCCCCCACAAGCAGCACAGCTGCCTTAGCAGATCATGGCCAGACTGTATCTTAAAGCAAAACCCCGATCCATTCCTCCTCACTGGGCAGGACCCACCTGTGGGGGCTTCAGCCTCTCCAGCGAGGGTTCTATGGACAGAGCTCTGATCTTTCCCTTGGACAGAGCTCCCGGAGATGGGGCCACCCTCTCTGTGGTTCAGTAGCCTCAGCCGCTCCAGCCTGCCAGCTTCGGAGAATACAGATGGTCTGGAAGAGGAAGCTCACCTGCTCTACCAAAAAGCAGCCAGACTGATTCTTTAAGTGGGTCCCAAATCTCATTTCTCCTGACTGGGTGAGACCTCCCAACAGGGATCTCCAGCCACCTCCTACAGGCAGGTTTGGGCCAGCAACAGGTCAGTACCCACCTGGGACAGGGCTTCCAGAGGAAGGACCAGGCTGCTGTCTTTGCTGTTTTTCAGCCTTCACTGGTGATATCTCCAGGTACAGAAGCAACTAGAGTCTGGAGAAAACCCCCAGCAAACAACAGCAGCCCTATGGAAGAGCAGCCTGACTGTTAAAAGAAAAACAAACAAACAGAAAACAACAACAACATCATCAACAAAAAAGGCCCCACCAAAAAAAAAAAAAAAAAAAAAAACCCATTCAAAGGTCAGCAACCTCAAAGATTGAAGATAGATAAGCCCAAAAAGATGAGAAAAAAATCAATGCAAAATTGCTAAAAATTCAAAAAGCCAGAGTAATTCTCCTCCTTCAAATGACTACAACACCCCTCCAGCAAGGGCACAGAACTGGGCTGAGGCTGAGATGGCTGAATTGACAGAAGTAGGCTCCAGAAGGTGACTAATAACAAACTTCACTGAGCTAAATGAGCATGTTATAAACCAATGCAAAAAAAACTAAGCAGCATGATAAAACAATACAGGAGCTGATAGCAACAATACCCAGTTTAGACAGGAACATAACTGACCTGATGGAGCTGAAAAATACAACACAACAGCTTCACAATGTAATCACAAGTACCAATAGCAGAATAGACTAAGTGAAAGAAAGAATCTCAGAGCTTGAAGATTATCTTTCTGATATAAGACAGGCAGACAAGAACAGATAAAAAAGAATAAAAAGAAATGAATAAAACCTCTGAGAAATATGGGATTATGCAGAGACCAAAGCTACGACTGATTGGGGTACCTGAAAGAAACAGGGAGAACAGAACCAAGTTGGAAAACATACTTCAGGATATCATCCAGAAGAACTTCCCCAACCTAGAAAGGCCAACATTTAAATTCAGGAAATGCAGAGAACCTCAGAAAGATACTCCATGAAAAGACCAACCCCCAGATACATAATCATCAGATTCTCCAAGGTTGAAATGGAAAAAAAAGATGTTAAGAGCAGTCAGAGATAAAGCCCAGGTCACCTACAAAGGGAAGCCCATCAGACTAACAGCAGACTGCTCAGCAGAAACCCTACAAGCCAGAAGAGATTGGGGGCCAATATTTAACATTCTTAAAGAATTTCCAACCCAGAATTTCATATCCAGCCAAACTAAGCTTTATAAGTGAAGGAGAAATAAGATCCTTTTCAGACAAGCAAATGTTGACTGAATTCATTACCACCAGGCCTCCCTTGCAAGAGCTCCTGAAGGAAGCACTAAATATGGAAAGGAAAAATCATTACCAGCCACTACAAAAACACACGGAAGTACACAGACCAGTGACATTATGAAGCAACCACATAAACAACTCTACAAAATAACCAGCTAGCATCATGATGACAGGATCAAATTCACACATAACAATAATAACCTTAAATGTAAATGGGCTAAATGCCTCCAGTTAAAAGACACAGAATGGCAAGCTGGCTAAAGAGCCAAGACCCATAGGTATATTGTCTTCAAGAGACCCAGCTCATGTGCAAAGACACACATGGGCTCAAAATAAAAGGATGGAGAAAAATTTACCAAGCAAATGGAAAACAGAAAAAAGGAGGGGTTGAAATCCTAGTTTCTGACAAAACAGACTTTAAACCAAAAAAGATTAAAAAAAAAAAAGACAAAGAAAGGCATTACGTAATAGTAATGGGTTCAATTCAACCAAAAGATCTAACTATCATAAATATATATGCATCCATTACAGGAGCTCCCAGATTCATAAAACAAGTTCTTAGAGACCTACAAAAAGACTTAGACTCCCACACAATAATAGTGGGAGACTTTACACTCTACTGACAATATTAGAAACATCGAGACAGAAAATCAACAAAGATATTCAGGACCTGAGCTCAGCTCTCGATCAAGTAGACCTGACTTGATATCTACAGCACTCTCCACCCCAAAACAACAAAATATACACTCTTCTCATCACCACATGGCACTTACTCTAAAATTGATCACATAATCGGAAGTAACACTCTTCAGCAAGTGCAAAGGGACTGAAATCATAACAAACAGTCTCTCAGACCACAGCACAATTAAATTGGAACTCAGGATTAAGAAATTCACTGACAACCACACAACTACATGGAAATTGAACGACCTGCTCCTGAATGACTCTTGGGTGAGTAACAAAATTAAGTCAGAAATTAAGAAGTTCTTTGAAACTAGTAAGAACAAAGATACAATGTACCAGAATCTCTTAGACGCAGCTAAAGCAGTGTTAAGAGCGAAATTTATAGCACTAAATGCCCACATCAAAAAGCTAGAAAGATCTCAAGTTAACAACCTAACATCTCAAATAAAAGAACTAGAGAATCAAGAGCAAACAAACCCCAAAGCTAGCAGAAGACAAGAAATAACCAAGATTGAAGCTGAACTGAAGGAGATAGAGACATGAAAAACCCTTTTAAAAAATCAATAAATCCAGGAGCTGGATTTTTTAAAAAATTGATAAAATAGGTAGATTACTAGCTCGACTGATAAAGAAGAAAATAGAGAAAAATCAAAAAAACACAACCAGAAATGATAAGGGGGATATTACCACTGACCCCACAGAAATACAAACAACCATCAGAGAATACTCTCAACACCTCTATGCACATAAACTAGAAAATCTAGAAGAAATTGGTAAATTCCTGGACACATACACCCCCCGCCCAAGACTGAACCAGGAAGAAATTGAATCCCTGAATATACCAATAACAAGTTCTGAAATTGAGGCAGTAATAAATAGCCTATCAACCAAAAAAAAAAAAAAAAGCCCAGGACCAGATGGATTCACTGCTGAATTCTACCAGAAGTAAGAGCTGGTACCATTTCTACCTAAACTATTCTGAACAATTAAAAAGGAGGGACTCCTCCCTAACTCATTCTATGAGGCCAACATCATTCTGACACCAAAATCTGACAGAGATACAACAAAAAAAGAAAACTTCAGGGCAATATCTTTGATGAACATTGATGCAAAAATCCTCAATAAAATACTGCTAAACTGAATCTAGCAGCACATCTAAAAGCTTGTTAGACTTCTGGGGAAAATGGCAGATCAGAAACAGGACTAACTTGCAGCTCCCACTCGAATGGACAGCAGCATGTGGAGACCCACACTGTAAACTTTTGCTCCAAGAACTACCGCAGGAACATACCAGGAAAGCCAAGAGAATCCACAGACCCTTTGAAGGAGGTGGATTGCTGCTACAGTCTCTGTGGGACAGCCGAGGAACTGTGAGTCTTCTTGCTTTCTCAGCTGGGAGGCTGGTAGCCTGGGACAAGTTCTCTGCCCTGCTCACCAGCTGCCTGGAAATAAATTAGGTGATATTGGCGGGGCACAATGGGAATGAGACTGGCCTTTCAAGTTGCAGGCTGCATGGGAGCAGGGTCAGTCCAATGGCTGCCAGCTTTCCCCCACTTCCCTGACGACCTGTGTGATGCCTCAGAGGCAGCCATAATCACCCTGGGAACATAACTCCAGTGACCTGAGAACCACACCCCCATCTTCCCACAGCAGCTGCAGCAAGCCCCACCCCAAAAAAATCTGAGCTCAGACATGCCTAACCCTGCCCCTACCTGATGGTCTTTCTCTACCTGCCCTGGGTAGCTAAAGACAAAAAACATAATATCTTGGGAGCTCTATGGCCCTGCTCACCACCTGAGAAAACTGAATACTTACCCAAAGGCAAACCTAGGGCAAACTTGTTTCCTCCCTGTACAACCCCAGCTGATACACTCTTGAAAATGCCACCTCCTGGTTGGAGGACAACCAACACAAATCCTGTGCACTTAACAAAACTACAAACAAAGATCTTCACGGAGTCCACTTTACCTCCCTGCTACCTTCACCAGAGCAGGTGCTGGTATCCACAGCTGAGAGAACTGAAGACAGATCACATCACAGGACTCTTTGCAGACACTCCCCAGTGCCAGCCCAGAGCCCAATAGCTCTGCTGGGTGGCTAGATCCAGAAGAGAAATAACAATTACTACAGTTTGGCTCTCAGTAAGCCCCATCACGAGGGAAAAGGGGAGAACACCACATCAAAGGAGTGCCCTGTGGGACAAAATAATCTGAACAGCAGTCCTTGAGTCCCAAATCCCTCTGACAGAGTCTACCCAAATGAAAAGGAACCGGAAAAACAATTCCGGTAGTATGACAAAACAAGGTTCTTTAATATCCCCAAAAATTTACACTAGCTCACCAGCAATGGATCCAAACCAACACAAAATCTCTGAATTACCAGAAAAAGAATTCAGAAGGTCAACTATTAAGCTTATCAAGCAAGCACCAGAGAAAGGTGAAGTCCAACTTGAAGATACCAAAAAGGTTATACAGGACATGAATGTAAAAATCTCCAGTAAAATAGCATAAATAAAAAACAATCACAACTTCTGGAAATTAAGGACACATGTAGAGAACCGCAAAATGCACTGGAAAGTCTCAGCAATAGAATCGAACAAGCGGAAGAAAGAGCTTCAGAGTTTGAATATAAGGCTTTCAAGGTAACACAATCTGACAAAGACAAGTAAAAAAATCAAAAATAATGAACAAAGCCTCGAAGAAGTTTGGGATTAAACAACCAAACCTGAGAATAACTGGTGTGCCTGAGGAAGAAGAGAAATCTAAAAGCTTGAAAAACATATTTAAGGGAATAATTGAGGAAAACTTACCTGGCATTGCTAGAGATCTAGACATCCAAATACAAGAAGCTCAAAGAACACTTGGGAAATTCATCACAAAAAGATCATTGCGTAGGCACAAAGTCATCAGGTTATCTAAAGTCAAGATGAAGGAAAGAATCTTAAGAGCCATAACTCAAAAGCATCAGATAAGCTATAAAGGAAAACCTATCCAATTTACAGCAGATTTCTCAGCCGAAATCCTACAAGCTAGAAGGGATTGGAGTTCTATCTTTAGCCTCCTTAAACAAAACAAGTATCAGCCAAGAATTTTGTATCCAGTGAAACTAAGCTTCATAAATGAAGGAAAGATATAGTCTTTTTCAGACAAATGAATGCTGAGAGAATTTGCCACTACCAAGGCAGCACTACAAGAACTGCTAAAAGGAGCTCCAAATCTTGAAACAAACCCTGGAAATACACCAAAAAAAAACTCCTTAAAATATAAATCTCACAGGACCTATAAAACAACACAATGAGAAAACCAAAGTATTCAGGCAACAAATAATACAATGAATAGGATAGTACCTTATATCTCAATACTAACATTGAACATAAGTGGCCTAAATGCTCCCACTTAAAAGATACAGAATGGCAAAATGGATAAGAGTTCACCAACCTGTACTTGCTGTCTTCAAGAGACTCACCTGACACATAAGGATTCACATAAATGTAAGGCAAAGAAGTGGAAAAAGATATTCCATGCAAATGGACACCAAAAGTGAGTAGAAGTAGCTATTTTTAGACAAAACAAACTTTAAAGCCACAGCAGCTAAAAAAGACAAAGATGGACATTATATAAGGATAAAGGGATTAGTCCAACAGGAAAACATAATAAATGAAAACGACTATAGGCAGCAGAGATAGGTACAGGAAGTACCACACTACCCTACTGAGACAGCCTGGATCCAGAGTTCAGCAGACCTTGAGACAACGAAAATAAACTTGGTAATAATAATATTTTAAAAAATCAAGTTGGAAATTTAAAAATGTTTTGAACTGAATGATGATAGTAACACAACCTATCAAAACCTCTGGGATACAGCAAAAGTGGTGCTAGGAGGAGTGTTTACAGCATTGACCGCATCAAAAAGTCTGAAAAACCACAAATGGAAAATCTAAGGCCACACCTCAAGGATTTAGAGAAACAAAGCAAACTCAAACTCAGCAGAAGAAAAGAAACAATCAAGATGAGAACAGAACTAAATGAAATTGAAACAAAAAATACAAATGATAAATAAAATGAAAAGCTGGTTCTTTGAAAAGATAAATAAAATGGATAGACCAGTAGTAGGATTAACCAAAAAAAGAAGAGCGAGATCCAAATAAGCTCAATTAGAAGGGAAATGGGAGATATTACAACCGATACCACAGAAATGCAAAAGACCGTTCAAGGCTACTGGTATAAAAATAGGCAGATAGACTAATGGAACAGAATAGAGAACCCGTAAATAAAGCCAAATACTTACAGCCAACTGATCTTTGACAAAGCAAACAGAAACATAAAGTGGGGAAAGGACACCTTATTCAACAAATGGTGCTGGGATAATTGGCAAGCCACATATAGAAGAATGAAGCTGGATGCTTATCTCTCACCTTATAAAAAAAAAATCAACTCAAGATGGATCAAATACTTAAATGTAAGACCTGAAACCATAAAAAAATCTAGAAAATAACATTGGAAAAACCCTTCTAAACATTGGATTAGGCAAAGACTTCATGACCAAGAACGCAAAAGGAAATGCAACAAAAACAAAGACAAATAGATGTAACTTAATTAGACTAAAAATCTTCTGCATAGCAAAAAAATACTCAGCAGAATAAACAGGCAACCTACAGTGTGGGAGAAAATCTTTGCAATCTGTATACCTGACAAAGGACTGATATCCAGAATCTACAAAAAACTCAAACAAATCAGCAAGAAAAAAAAAAAACAATCCCATCAAGAAGTGGGCTAAGGACATGAATAGACGATTCTCAAAAGAAGACATACAAATGGTCAACAAACATATGAAAAAATGCTCAAGATCACTAATTATCAGGGAAATGCAAATCAAAATCACAATACGATACCACCTTACTCCTGCAGGAATGGCCATAATCAAAAACATCAATACATAATAGATGTTGGCATGGATGTGGTGAAAAGGGGACACTTCTACACTGCTGGTGGGAATGTAAATTAGTGCAACCACTGTGAAAAACAGTGTGGAGATTCCTTAAAGAACTAAAAGGAGAACTACCATTTGATCCAGCAATCCCACTACTGGGCATCTACCCACAGGAAAAGAAGTCATTATATGAAAAAGATACTTGTACATGCATGTTTATAGCAGCACAACTTCCAATTGCAAAAATATGGAACCATGCCAAATGCCCATCAATCAACGAGTGGATAAAGAAAATGTGGTATATATACATATATATACACACAATACACACACACACACCAAGGAATACTACTCAGCCATAAAAAAGAATAACATAATGGCATTTGCAGCAGCCTGGATAGAATTGGAGACCATTATTCTAAGTGAAGTAACTCAGGAATGGAAAACCAAACATCATATGCTCTCACTTATAAGTGGGAGCTAAGCTATGAGGACAGAAAAGCCTAAGAATAATACAGTGGGCTGGGGACTCTGGGAGTGGCATGAGAGGGGTGTGAGGGATAAAAGACCACACATTGGGTACAGTGTACACTGCTTGGGTGATGGGTGCACCAAAATCTCAGAAATCGCCACTAAAAAACTTATTCACGTAACCAAACACCACTTGTTTCCCAAAAGCCTATTGAAATAAAACATAGATTAAAGACTTAAATCTAAGATCTAAGACTATGAAACTGCTACAAGAAAACATTGGAAGAACTCTCCATCCAGGACATTGGCCTGGGCAAAAATTTCCTGAGTAATACCCAACAAGCATAGGCAATGAAGGCAAAAATGGACAAATGGGGTCACATCAAGTAAAAAGCTTCTGCACAGCAAAGGATACGGTCAACAAAGGGAAGAGACAACCCACAGAATGGTAGAAAATATTTGCAAACAACTCATCTGATGAGGTATTAATAACTAGAATATAGAAGAAGCTCAAACAACTCTATAAAAAGTCTAGTAATCCAATTTAAAAATGAGCAAAAGATCTGAATAGACATTTTTAAAAGAAGATATACAAATGGCAAACAGGCATATGAAAAGGTGCTGAGCATCATTGATCATCAGAGAAATGCAAGTCAAAACTACAATGAGATATCACCTCACCCCAGTTGAAATAGCTTCTATGCAAAAGATGAGCAATAACAAATGCTGGCAAGGATGTGGAGAAAAGGGAACCCTCATACACTGTTGGTGGGAATGTAAATTAGCACAGCTATAAGGAAGAATAGTTTGGAGGTTCCTCAAAAAACTAAAAATAGAGGTACCATATGATCCAGCAATCTCCCTACTGAGTATACACTCAAAAGAAAAGAAATCAGTATAGCAAAGAGATATCTTTACTCCCATGTTTGTTGCAGCATGGTTCACAATAGCCAAGATTTGGAAGCAACCTAAGTGTCCATCAACAGATGAATGGGTAAAGAAAATGTGGTACATATTCACAATAGAGAACTATTCAGCCATAAAAAAAGAATGAGATTCTGTCATTTTCAACAACACAGATGGAACTGGAGGTCATTATGTTAAATGAAATAAACCAGGCACAGAAAGACAAAAATCACATATTCTCACTTATTTGTGGGATCTAAAAATCTAAACAATTGAACTCATGGACATAGAGAATAGAAGAATAATTGTCAGAAGCTAGGAAGGGTATTAGAGGGTGGAGGAGAAGTGGGGATTGTTAATGGGTACCAAATAAAAGCTAGAAGGAGTAAGACCTACTATTTGATACCACAACCGGGTGAATACAGTCAATAATAACTGTACATTTTAAAATAACTTAAAAAGTATAATTGTACTGTTAATTACACAAAGAATAAATGCTTGAGGGGATGGATACCCCATTCTCCATGATGTGATTATTATGCATTGCATGCCTGTATTAAAACATTTCATGTACCCCATAAATATATACACACACATATACCATGGAATACTACTCAGCCATAAAAAGGAATGAAATCATAGCATTCACAGCAATCTGGATAGAATTGAAGACCATTGAGGAACCTGGATGGAATTGAAGACCGTTATTCTAAATGAAGTAACTCAGGAATGAAAAACCAAACATCATATGTTCTCACTCATAAGAGGGTCCTAAGCTATGAGAATGCAAAAGCATAAGAATGATACAGTGGGCTTTGGGGACTCAGGGGGAAGCATAGGAGGGGAATGAGCGATAAAAGACTACACATGGGGTACAGTGCACACTTCTCAGATGATGGGTGCACCAAAATCTCAGAAATCACTGTGAAAGAACTTATTAATGTAACCAAATTCCACCTGTTCCCCAAAAATGTATTGGAAAAAAAAAAGCTTATCCAGATCAATCAAGTTGGCTTCATCCCTGGGATGCAAGGTTGGTTCAACATATGCAAATCAATAAATGTGATTCATCACATAAAGAGAACTAACACAAAAACCACATGATTCTCTCAATAGATGCAGAAAAGGCCTTTGGTAAAATTCAACACCCCTTCATGTTAAAAACCCTCAATGAACTAGATATTGAAGGAACACATCTCAAAATAATAAGAGCCATATATGACAAACCCATAGCCAATATCATACTGAATGGGCAAAAGCTGGAAGCATTCACCTTGAAAACAGTGACAAGCCAAGTGTGCCCTCTCTCACCACTCCTATTCAACATGGTATTAGAAGTTCTGGCCAGGGCAATCAGGCAACAGAAAGACATAAAGCATATTCAAATAGGAAAAGAGGAAGTCAAACTATCTTTATTTGCAGATAAAATGACCCTGTATCTATTATAGAAAACCCCATCATCTCAACCCAAAAGCTTCTTAAGCTGATAAGCAACTTTGGCAAAGTCTCAGGATACAAAGTCAACGTTCAAAAATCACTAGCATTCTTATACACCAACAACAGGCAAGCCAAAAGCCAAATCGTGAATGAACTCCCATTCACAATTGCCAAAAAAGAATAAAATACCTAGGAATACATCTAACAAGGGATGTGAAAAACCTCTTCAAGGAGAACTAGTCACTGCTCAAGGAAATAAGAGAGGACACAAACAAATGGAAAAACATTCCATGCTCACGGACAGAAAGAATCAATATTGTGAAAATGGCCATACTGCCCAAAGTGATTTATAGATTCAATGCTATTGCAATTAAACTACCATTGAAATTCTTCTCAGAATTAGAAAAAACTATTTTAAAACTCATATGAAACCAAAAATGTGCCTGAATAGCCAAGACAATCCTAAGCAAAAAGAACAAAGCTGGAGGCATCACACTACCTGACTTCAAGCTATGCTACAGGACTACAGTAACCAGAACGGCATGGTTACGATACAAGAACAGACATATAGACCAATGGAAAAGAATAGAGAACTCAGAAATAAGACCTACAAGGACACACCTACAAACATCTGATCTTCAACAAACCTGACAAAAACAAGCAATGGGGAAAGGATCTCCTATTCAGTAAATGGTGCTTGGAAAACTGGCTAGCCATATGCAGAAAACAGAAACTGGACCCCTTCCTTACACCTTATACAAAAATTAACTCAAGATGGATTAAAGACTTAAATGTAAAACCCAAAACCATAAGAACCCTAGAAGAAAATCTAGGCAATAACATTCAGGACATAGGCACGGGCAAAGATTTCATGATGAAAACACCAAAAGCAGTTGCAACAAAAACCAAAATTGACAAATGGGATCTAATTAAACCAAAGAGCTTCTGTACAGAAAAAGAAACTATCATCAGAGTGAACAGACAACCTACAGAATGGGAGAACATTTTTGCAATCTATGCATCTAACAAAAGTCTAACATCCAGAGTTGACAAGAAACTAAAACAAATTTACAAGAAAAAAAAACCATCAAAGTAGGCAAAGTACATGAACAGACACTTCTCAAAAGAAGATATACATGTAGTCAACAAGCATGTGAAAAAAAGCTCAACACTGATCATTAGAGAAACGCAAATCAAAACCACAATGAGATACCATCTCACACCATCAGAATGGCTACTATTAAAAAGTCAAAAAACAACAGATGCTGGTGAGGTTGCAAGGAAAAAGGAATACTTTTACACTGTTGGTGAGAGTGTAAATCAGTTCAGCCATTGTGGAAGACTGTGGTGATTCCTCAAAGACCTAGAGACAGAAATACATTTGACCCAGCAATCCCATTACTGGATATATGCCCAAAGGAATATAGATCATTGTATTATAAAGATATATGCACACATATATTTCTTGCAGCACTATTCACAATAGCAAAGACATGGAATCAACTTAAATGCCCATCAATGGTAGACTGGAAAAAGAAAATGTGGTACATATACACCATGGAATGCTATGCAGCCATTAAAAGGAAAGAGATCATGTCCTCTGCAGGGACATGGATAGAGTTGGAAGCTGTTACCCTTGGCTAACTAACACATGACCAGAAAACCAAACACCACACGTTCTCACTTATAAGTGGGAGCTGAATGATGACAACACATGGACACATAGTGGGGAAACAACACACACTGGGGTCTGTTGGAGGGTGGCTGAGACGGGAGGGAGAGCATCAGGAAGAATAGCTAATGGGTGCTGGGCTTAATACCTAGGAGATGGGATGATTTGTGCCACAAACCACCATGGCACATGTTTACCTGTGGAAAAAACCTGCACATCCTGCACATGTACCCCTGAACTTAAAAGTTGAAGAAAAAAATTAGAAAAATCACAGACTGTCATCTCAAACTCTTCATTTTTCTGAATACGATATATATTTGTACCTTATAAAAGAAATCATACTAAGATATTTTTAATTGCTATTGTATGCTGTACATACCAGGGAAATAGTTGATAAAGCTTCAAAACAAGATAAAATCCAAAGTGTTTTAATTTTGTATTATTACCTGGTTATTATACCTATTATGTTTCTATATCTTTACTTTTCATATTTTTTCCCAAATAACCAAAATAACCTTAGAACATTTTTTAGGTAATAGCCCTCCTTCCATGTGATCTGTACTCATTTTGGGCCATTGAATGAGAAAATATTCTTTCCTTTCAGGATATTATCTCCAGGTGGGTAAAAAAAAATTAACACTAAAAATACTTCAAAAATAATAAGATCCCATGGGCAAAGTCCTGCCATGAGATATATGACAGCAACCTTTACTAAAACAAACAGGAATGGCATGTCTGTTCTCTAAACATTAAATTTAGCCCAGTGAATTTTACTCCAAGTGGACCACCCAATTGCTATAGAGTTGACTTGACACCAAGTGGCACCAATTAATCTATGACAATCTGGTTGGCTTAAAGGGAATTTCCCTTGATGTCTTGCCTTCCTGTATTTAATCCATAACCATTTGTCATTTAGTCTAGAAACAAAAGATATTTGAAGGGTTTTAAAAATAGAATCAGCTACTGGTTGTTTATGCATAGGGTTTTAAACGGATGGTCAACCTGTTCTGTCTTAACAATTTTGCCAGAAAATGAGGCTCCGGAAAGCGACCATGCGTATGCACGTCAGAGCCTTAACAAGCACTGAGGGTGCCAGGCCCCGACGCTGGGTCATGCAGGGACGAGGAAGGCCCTGCATGCACGGGACCCACAGCCTGCCTATAGCTCTGATCCTGTCTCTAACGAGCCGGGGTAGAAATAAATAATAATAAATAAAGAGTTCAGGAGCAGGAGACAGGCACATTCCTAGTGAGGCAGGCTCTGTCTGCTGAAAACCCGGTTGAAATACAAACAACGTTGTCCAGAAACACACAACTGGCACAAAGGAGATAGGGTCTGAGGCAGCCTCAAAGGGCAAGTAGGTTTTGACCAGTCAAAGGAGCAGGGGAAAAGAGCTTCCTAATAGAAGAGCACGAGCAAATGTAGGGGATGTGAAAACACACGGCACGTTCAGGGAACAGCCAGAAGGCAGCTATTAATCCTGGATCTTTGAGAAGGGAGTCGCATAGCACACGCGCACACTGAGAGCGGACCCGCATCACTCCGGTCCTCATCCCATTAATTATAAGAAGCTCAGCGTCCAGCTTCCTTATTCTCATTAGGTAAAAATGACAGAACTTTCTTAGTTAGGAAGAACGTTTCTCACTCCAGCTAGAATGGTTATTAGTCCAAAATTGCTATACTGTCTCCATGGTTTAACATACACTTTCAACATCATTAGCTTGTAGTATGTCTCAGCCTCTACATTAATTTACAGTTGTCAGCTCAACACAATGACTCTAAAATAATATGAGGAATGACTGCTATAGTCTAGGATCTGTAAGCAGGAAAACAGAAATGACTTTTTATTTACTAGAAGGGCTGTGATCCAGTTCAGCCAAGAACTCATCTTTGACAAATTTTATGATAAAAATTAAGTAAGAAAAGTCAAATTGAAATATGGACATGACAAGTATTTGTGAGTTAAAGACCAGATATAAGGCACGTGGGTAAAACACATGATTATCTAATTATAGTAGTCCAATAGATAAAGAGATTTCTTACAGTTCCCGAAATGATCTGAATAGATATTGTTATGAAGAAGTGAAAGGAGGAAGGGTGAAAATGGTTTGCTAGGAGGCCTCGTTCAGAAAACCACTGCCCAGCTTAACATCAGTGTGTGTACAGAGCTGCAAAAGGGGTTTAATTCTGAAGACTTTAAACAATATGCACTAATAATTTCCACACTGTTTATGGTAGAATATACATATACATGCATATGTTTCTGTGTATATGTATGTATATACATAAATCCTCCAAAAACAACAAAGAATTAAAGTGCCCAGAGCTGCTTAGAAAACACAGAATGGAGCCTCCCACCCAGAAACATCTTTAGCTTATCAATTAGCAGAATTAGCAGGAGGCAAAAAAAAAAAGCAACAGATTTTTGCTTTAAGAGAATATCTAAATTCTGCAGGTGAGTCCTACCACAAACAATCCTGCCATAAAATACCTTTGCCTAAGGACATCTGGTAAAACTCATCCAGCTAGAAAGGTGGGTAAAAGTGTGTGTTCTAAACACTGGGCAGGGTTTTCATTTTGAAATAATACATAAAGAATGATTATTCTTTACCTCCACCCGCAAAACAAACAAACATTTTTCCCTGATTTTCTGCATCTTTTATTGAACTAAATGACCGCCCCCCCCCCACCCCCGCCAACAAATGGTAGGATAGTTGCCTCGACACAGGAATTTCTCCTGGCTCTCCCCATGCCTACAAAGTGAGTCCAATTCTCAGAGGACAAAAGCTCTGGTAAGCACCAGGTCTAATGAGGATAATGGAGATGCCATAAGCACCTTCCGAAAGTCAGGGACCTGTGCTTTGTGTGTGCGTGTATAACCTCATGGGATCCTAAGGAAGCACTGGCGTGGGCCACTTAGTTGCCCCAACTTTAAGATGAGAAAACTGAGAATTAAAGAAAAATAACAGAGTTATTTTTATAGCCCAGAAGGCCACCCTCCTCTATAGCCCAAAAATGTCCTCTCAATGTCTTGAAAAGTGGCTATGATATACCAGCCTAAGACAGAATTTTTTTTTTTTTTAGAGACAGGGTCTTGCCCTGTCACCCAAGCTGGAGTACAGTGGCAAGATCAGAGCTCACTGCAGCCTCCAAAGTACGTGTCATATGGTTTGACTGTGTCCCCACCCAAATCTCATCTTGAATTCCCACATGTTGAGAGAGAGACCTGGTGGGAGGTAACTGAATCATGAGGGCAAGTTTTTCCCATGCTATTCTCATGATAGAGAATAAGTCTCGTAAGATCTGATGGTTTTAAAAAGAAGCAATCTGCTGCACAAACTCTCATTTTTCACCTGCTGCCATCCATGTAAGATGTGACTTGCTCCTCCTTGCCTTCCGCCATGATTGTGAGGTTTCCCCAACCACATGGAACTGTAAGTCCAGTTAAATTTCTTTCTTTCGTAAATTGCTCAGTCTCAGGTATGTCTTTATCAGCAGCATGAAAATGGACTAATATAACCTGGAATAATAGGTGTGTGCCACCATGCCAAGCTAATTAAAAAAAAAAAAATTTTAGAGACAGGGTCTCGATATGTTGCCCAGGCTAGTCCCAAACTCCTGATCTCAGGCAATCCTCCTGCCTTGGCCTCCCAAAGTGCTGGGATTACAGGTGTGAGCCACTATACCTGGCCAAGAAAGGATTTTTCTTAAATGCCTTATACTCACAGCAACGTGCAGCTGCATGTACTTATTGCCTGGCCTCAAGCTGCACATACACCATAGGGAGGGTGCACCAGCCAATGGGTCAGGCAGACCTGTGCCCCCACAAGGAGGACCTGTGCCCCCACAAGCTCCTCCACGTGCCTCCCACAACATCTTAGGGAGACAAACTGTGAGAGCAGGAAAGAATCAACCAATAAGCTAATAACAACAGCCAACATGCAGCAAACCCTTGAGATGGGCCAGGCAAGGCACTGAGTCTTCAATCACTGAGCCACACAGGACTCTTCTCACTCTAGGTGATGGTTGGTAACAGATGTCAGCCTGACACTGAGGGAGGCCCACACAGCTGGTGAAGCTCTGCTCCTGGGTGTGTCTGTGAGGGTGTTTCCAGCAAGGGCTGAGCATGTGCCTGCAGACTGCAGGAGGAAGACCTGCCTTCAATGTGGGCAGCACCGTCTTGTGGGCTGGGGGCCAATCTCGGAGAAAGTGGGAGGAAAGGGGGAGTGCTCAGCCAGCGCCCTTCCCAAGCAGGATGTCTTTTTCTCCTCCTGCCCTTGGACATCAGACTCTAGGTTCCTTGGCTTTTGGACTCTGGGATTTGCACCAGCAGCTTCCTGGGGGCTCTCAGGGTTTGACATCAGACTAGGGGCTGCACTGCCAGGCATCCCTGGTTCAGAGGCTTTTGGACTTGGACTGAGCCATACCACCAGCCTCTCCAGGAGCTGCACTAGGGAGCCAGGGACACAGCATTCAGATGGTCTGTCATGAGTGTATTAGTCAGGGTTCTCTAGAGGGACAGAACTAATAGGATAGATAGATATATAATGGGGAGTTTATTAAGGAGTATTAAACTCACAAGATCACAAGGTCCCATGATAGGCCATCTGCAAGCTAAGGAGCTAGGAAGCCAGTCTGAATTCCAAAGCTGAAGAACTTGAAGTCCAGTGTTTGAGGGCAGGAAGCATCCAGCACAGGAAAAAGATGTAGGCTAGGAGGCTAAGCCAGTCTAGTCTTTTCACATTCTCCTGCCTGCATTTATCCTAGCCACGCTGGCAGCTGATTACATTGTGCTCACCCAGATTAAGGGTGGGTCTGCCTTTCTCAGCCCACTGACTCAAATGTAAATCTCCTTTGGCAACACCCTCACAGACACACCCAGGATCAATACTTTGCATCCTTCAATCCAATCGACACTCAATATTAGCCATCATAATTGAGTCTTCACCTCTCTGATCATGTGAGCCAATCCCCTCTAATAATCCCCTCTCATGTATATACACATATCTCCTATTGGTTCTGTCCCTCTAGAGAACCCTGGCTAATATGTCCCAGTTCCTGCCCAGCTAGGAGTCCAAGCTCAGCAGGCTGGCCCACCCCTTGGCTCCTCACCCTGGGCTGGGCAGGATGTCCCACTGAGGCCTCAGGATGAAACACCTGCTGAGGGATGCAGGACTTGTTTCCTTTCTCTGCCATCCAGACATGCCACCTTCCTATTCATGAGGATGATGGAACAGACAGCCCTGCACACATATTGTGGCTGTAAAACATCAGATTTCCTGCAGGACCATGCCGATGATTAGCCTCAGCAAACTCTTGTCCTTTTTTATTACCTTTACAAGTGGAGCCTCCAGACAGACTCTTTACTCAAGGAGATTACATCGAAACAATAATACCATTAGCTCTGGGTGCTGGGATTCGAGGGATTATTTTACATTTAAAATGTTATGCTTTTCCAAATAATTTACACAATCAGCATGCACAATTTTTGGTTTTAAAGAAAAAGAAGACTCCATTTTCTTGAAAAAAATAATGCCTTTAGCACTTTCTTTTTCTTCTGTAGGTTTACTGATTAGACTATGTGACTTGTGAGTTCATCAGTAACATTTATACTTGAGTAATCTTCAATAAATCCTAAATACAAAGATTCTTTATGAGATTTATTGCCAGTGGAAAAGTCTATTACTACATGGATATGAACAAAATTTCCCGTATATTCACAGGACAAGGTCAAGATGGGCAGAGGCAGCCAAATCAAGTTCAGCCAAGCACATCTGCAATATTTATTGAGAGAATATTGAATGCAAAGCAATGCTAAATCCTGTAAGATCTTTGTCCTTTAAACAGTAGAGAACCATTGAAAGTCAGCTGCTTTCAGTGTGGAAATCCCAATCCTTGGCTTGGCATATTGCAACCTTCATAATATGGTCTCCATCATGTTTTTCAGCCTCAACTCCTAATGTTTCCAGCCCTGGACTACACCTCACCCACCTCACACTAGGTCCCACTGGCCAGATACACCATGCAGTGTCTCACTTTCTAGTCTTTGCTGTGATTGCTCCTTCTGCACAAAGGAAGCTTTGTGTCTCCTCTTAAGGCCAAATCCTCTCTCTGCATTCTGAACCCTGCCTAGAGCCACCCTGCATGAAATCTGACGAGCCCTTGCCCTATTCCAACTTCCTTGGACTGTCAAGAACATCTGTCTCTACTGATCCCAGTTCTGCGTCTTCTAGTACTCCACACCCTCCCGGTGTTTTCCCTTCCTCTCTGGAAGCTCCTTCTCAGCTCCCCTTTTATGCTCCTGTTCCTCAACCTAAGCCTTACAGGGTGATGCTCATCCGAATGCTAGTGTCTCTTCTGACCCCACTTTCACTTTCTGAGTGACCTCAACAAATCCCAAGACTATACCTCCAGCTGACCTTGTTATGGGTCAAATTGTGTCTTAGTTTATTCCTGCTGCTATAACAAAACACCTTAGACTGAGTCATTTAGAAACAAGAAAGATTTATTGCTCACATTTCTGGAGGCTGGAAAGTCCAAGATCAAGATGCCAGCAGGTTGTGTCTGGTGAGGGGTGGGAGTCTCTGGCTTCAGAGACGGTCCTCGCATAGAGGTGCCAACAGAGTGTGTCTGGTGAGGGGTGGCTCTCTCTGGCTTCAGAGATGGTCCTCGCATGGTGGAAGTCACAAACAGATCCCTTCCACATCTTTTCTAAGGGCACTACTCCCAATAAGGGCTCTGTCCTCATAACCTCATCCCCTCCTAAAGGCCCACTTCTTACTGCTATTGCATTTGCATTTGGACATCAATATATAAATTTGGTGGGACAGATATTCACTTTCTCCCAAAACACATTCTCCCAAAATTCAGATGCTGAAGTGCTAACCCTCAGCACCTCAGAATGTGACCTTATGTTGAAATAGGGTCATGGCAAATGTAATTAGCTAAGATGAGGTCATATTGGAGTAGGGTGGACCCCTAATCCACTATGTCTGTTGTCCTTATAAAAAGGGAAATTTTGGGCCAGGCGCGGTGGCTCACGCCTGTAATCTCAGCACTTTGGGAGGCTGAGGTGGGAGGATCATGAGGTCAGGAGTTTGAGACCAGCCTGACCAACATGGTGAAACCCTGTCTCTACTAAAAATACAAAAATTAGCCAGGCGTGGTGGCGTGCATCTGTAATCCCAGCTGCTCTGGAGGCTGAGGCAGGAGAATTGCTTGAACCCGGGAGGCGGAGGTTGCAGTGAGCCTAGATCATGCCACTGCACTGCAGCCTGGGCAACAGAGTGAGACTCCGTCTCAAATAAAACAAACAAACAAAAAGGGAAAATTTGGAGACAGACACACAGGGAGACCACTGCATGAACATGAAGGCAGCGACCCATAAGCCAAGGAATGCCACAGGTTTTCAGCAAACCTCCAGAAGCGAAGAGAGAGAAATAGAATGAGCCTCCCTCACACCCTCAGAAGGAACCAGCCCTGCTGACACCTGGATCTCAGACTTCCAGCCTCCAAAACCATGAGGACATACATATCCACTGCCTAAGCCCCCCAGTTTGTGGTTTTGGAGATAGGAGATTTGTGTATATACATGAAAGGAGATTTATTAGAGGGGATTGGCTCACAGTTTTTTATAGAAGCCCTAGCAAACTAATATAGTAACTCTTATGTTCAGCTGTCCCCTAGTCACCTCCACAGGCTCTCCCACACTAGGCATATCAAAAAATAAACTCCTTGCTCTCAGCTCCAGCCGGCTCCTGCTCCCATGCTGCCAGGGTTGGTGGGTGACTGTGTTGTTCTAGATGTTGTCCAAGCCAGGAACCCTGGTGGAACCCCTCATTGATTCTCTCTCTATGCCAGCTCCCACATCCACCAATGCCACGTTCTCCTGCTTATACCAAGTAAATGCACCTTGAGTTCACCCATTGTTCTCAGTTGCCACAGCCTTTATCCTCATCCAGAGCTTTATCCCACCTGGGCTACTCCACAGCCTCCAAAAACCTATAAACAGCCCCCAGACTTGCCCCACCCCTCCAATCTGTATTCTATCTTGCAGCCAAAATGACCTCATGGAACACAGACCTGACTCTCATCGCCCTGCCTAGCATACTTCAATGGCTTTCTGTTACTTTTAGGATAAAGCTCAAACCCTGTACCTGCCTGCAGAGTCCTGGATGATTTACCCCGGCTTCCCTCTGCAGACTCATCTCTCATCACCCTCGGAAGCCACACTAAACTGGCTTTGTTCCCAAACATCCCACATACTCCTTCTTATTCCCTTTGCAAATCTTTCTGCGCCCCCTGGAAAACTCCTCCTCTTTAGACACCCTGGTGGAGAAACTTCAGCCCAGAAATGCCCTTCTGAGACTTCCTCATTGCCTGCAATATGCTAGGCTCGTCCCATGATTTGATTAAATTGCAGTCGTGCCTTCCAGTGATGGAACTAGACTGTGAGCTCTCTGAGAGCAGTGTCCAGGTCTGCCTTTTTCTTTGTCGAGTCCCTGGAATAAGGCCTTGAACATATTAGCTATGCAGTACCTTCCTAGCTGAACTCAGTCATGAATGTACTTTTCCTCCCAAAGGCTGCGTTACATTCTGAAGACAGCATACACAGGGTGCTGTTCCTACCCTCGAGGCTGCTCCAGTCTAGTGGGAGAAACACATATTAAGGGAAAATAATATAAAATAACATACCTAGGGAGGTGTATTTGGCCTGATCTCAGATTATTACAGATGATTTTCTGGCTATTTGGAATAGGACCAAGAGTGGCAGCCTCTGTGTGCCTGTGATTTGTTAATGGAAGAGATGGAGCTCTGGAGCTGAGCGTGGTTCCTGAGCTGAGGTGGAAAAGGAGTGGGGTAGCCACCAGCCATATGTGGCTATTTAAATTTGTTAAAAATAAATGAAATCAAACACTTAGCTTCTCTGTCAACTCTCAACTTCTAGAACGAGGCGAAAGCAGGGAAGAAGTATGGATCTAGATCATTCAGAAGGTGTTGACACAAGAACCGGAGAGAGAGCCTCATCTCCGTCCACGAAGTGGGTCTGAACAGTCAGTAAAGGGCTGGGGAGAAGCGGCCTCTCCAGGGCAGGGGCAGGACTCCCAGTGACTGCAGTCCCTGCCAAGGAAGCTTTGATGTGGTTTTAAGCCTTCCTTCCCTCACCTGGAAAGTGGAGACATAACACCCCACAAAATAGTTACAAGAATAAAATCTTGGCCGGGCACCATGGCTCACGCCTGCCATCTCAACACTTTGGGAGGCCAAGGAGGCAGGATGGCTTGAGGCCAGGAGTTTGAGACCAGCCCTGGTAATAGAGTGAGACCCCGTCTCTACAAAAAATCTTTTTTAAAAAATTAGCTGGGTGTGGCGGCACGTGCCTGTTGTCCCAGATACTTGAGAGGCTGAGGTGGGAGGACTGTTTGAGCCCAGGAGTTTGAGGCTGCAGTGAGCTATGATCGTGCCACTGCACTGCAGCCTGGGTGATGAAACAAAACCGTGTCTCAAAAAAAAAAAAAGAATAAAATGTTATAATGTGCGTAAAAGTGCATCGTCACATACAAACAGCTATGCAGACTTCACTTACACTCTTCTTACCTGTTACTTTTACACTTAGGCTGTTAGATCTAAAAGCATGTATTTGTTTGTATGTATTCCAACCTATTAGAATAAATTCTCCACAACAGTCCCCAGAGTGTGATGTTCCCCTTCCTGCGTCCATGTGTTCTCATTGTTCAATTCCCAGCTGTGAGTGAGAATATGCGGTGTTTGGTTGGGGTGGGGGGAGGGGGGAGGGATAGCTTTAGGAGATATACCTAATGCTAAATGACGAGTTAATGGGTGCAGCACAGCAGCATGGCACATGTATACATATGTAACTAACCTGCACATTGTGCACATGTACCCTAAAACTTAAAGTATAATAATAATAAAATAAAATAAAAAGAATAAATTCTCCTTAAAGACGAGGACTCTGACTCAGGTCCATTCACTAAAACCCAGCACAAGCCTGGCACCTGGAGGGCATTTAATGAATGTGGTTGAATGAATGAGTGAATGAATGTTGCTTTTGTTACTCAACGGGAAACTAGTGCCTTTTCAAAATAAACTACTCATGTGTCTGATTTAATTTTATAACCAGACTGAAGTAAATGGTGAAATGTAGTTCATTAGATTGCATTCTCTGCCTAAGTCATTTAAGTTCCATGTTTGCGTTCCAAAGATTTCCATTTTCAGGGCTCAGGGATGTGTCCCTTAAGATGTGTGATGGCACCTAATTCCTCAAAGGTACCCACCCACTTATGTCACCAGAACTTTGGGATCAGGAGAATTAAGTTCCAACTGTGTCCTGAGCTTTTCCAGCCATTGGAAAAGCAAATAAAATGTATCTGTAAGTGAGTTGAGGAATGTTTTATATGCCGAATGCTGAGATAAAACTGACAGGAATACAGCTCATCGTGTTGAAACAACTGAGAAAAACATGTTGAAAAGAAGTAAAACAATATAAAATATAGCTAGAACTCGCAAATGATAAGTAATTTATTTTCCTCTCACACCATATTGGATCACAGAGGAGAGTGATGTCATTATTTTATTATTTATAACAACTGGGACTTAGCCATATGATACTTGGCTGAAGTATCTGGATTTCAGACCATTTTTTTCTTCTTTTATCATTAATCATTCCTCCAGCCAAACACTGAAGCTATGGAAATGCAGAGAGCCCAAACTCACAGCTGTTGTGAGTGTTGAAGACTGGCTGCCAAATACCATGCTTGCATGTGCACCATTTGGGCCAAAGACGGTGCAGACAGAGAACCCCATGCAGTGCTAGCAGCAGAAGGGACGTGAGAGGTCATCCAGTCCCACTACTCATCTCCCTGGTGGCCAGAGGGCAGATGAGGTGGGTGAGGACCCATTTTGCAGTGAGGACGTGAGCCTCCATCCTGACTCTACCACCCCCTAAATGCACGACTTTGGGTGAGTAATACAAATGCTCCTGGTCTATTTTCCCACTTGCCAAACCATCCTCCTCACCCTCACTCTCCTCCTCATGATGATACCCCTTTCCAACAGGTGCACTGCAAAGACAGAGATGGTTTGTATGAAACATTCTGCAAACTGCGCATCATGGCCTCAGTCTTCCTGTTATTGGAATCTTGCCCAGTAGTAAGAACTCGTCCAGCCATATCCTTTCTTGCCTTTTGTCCTTGAAACTTTTGCTGGCAATTTTTGAGCTTTCTGTGGAGGGTATCAT
The DNA here is from genome assembly GCF_000001405.40 of Homo sapiens. NCBI lineage: Eukaryota > Metazoa > Chordata > Mammalia > Primates > Hominidae > Homo > Homo sapiens. Next base: position 3,876,305 of record NC_000002.12, on the reverse strand, counting down.
TTAAAACAAGCATCCCAGAGATATTTAGAATCTTAGAACCAATGACAGAACTGGGTGTTAAGAGTTGAATTGTGTCTCCCGAAAAGATGTGTTTAAGTTCTCACTTCTGTTACCTATGCATGAGACTTTATTTGGAACAAAGGGTGTTTGCAGGTGTAATTAGTTAAGATGAGGTCAGATTGATTATGGGAGACCCTAAATTCCACAAACTGGTGTTCTTAGGAGAGGAAATACCACACAGAGACAGAGACAGCAAGAGTGGAGCTTGGAGAAACTGAAGAGGCTGACCGAGGAAGGCCGTGAATGGACAGCTAGCACCAGCAGCTGGAAGAGGCAAGGACGCCTTCTGCCCAGAGTCCCAGAGGGAGCACAGCCCTGCCGACACCTCAGTTTGGGAGTTCTGGCCTTCAGATCTGTGAAAGAATAAATTTCTACTGTTTGAAGGCACTCAGCCTGGGGTGCTTCATTCAGCAGCCCTGAGACACGAATACGTCAGGACCGGAGGCAGAACACCATGTGTAGTCCAGCATGCTCTCCCAGACGATGGAAAGAATTCATTTTGCAGACTCACACACAAATAACATGTTTCTGAAAAAATACATATTGTACCAGCAAGTGCAAAATGCCAAAAACAAAACATAAAGAGGACGTTCTGTCGAGTTCCACTTAGGAATATGTAATTGAGGGACAGAAAGCTGACCAGAGGCTCCCTGGGGCCAAGGGTACCACAAGGAATGAATGATAAGTGAACAGGAGGAACATCTGGGGCTGAGGAAAATGTCCTGCATTTTGACACTTGTGGCAGATTCATGAGTATATACATTTTTCAAAGTTCTTCAAATTACACTTTCAAATAAATATAGTTTATTGTCAAGTAAGTTGATAAAAACCTAAACATGGTATTACAATAAACTTTGATATTATGCTATAAATTTTAAATAAATGGTAAACTAACAGAATACTCAGTATCATGATTTGACATTAACAAAGGCACTGATAAGGTGTATAACTTCCACATGTTTAGCATGTAGAGCGGGTGTCTGTGCCGAGTCGTGAACACCATTAAACCTTGAGTTGCTGTGCTCATGGCATAGTTTTAAATTATTTTCAATTTAAGGAAAGATTTTAATGCTGAAGACAATATGAAAGAAATTGAAAAATTGTTAACAAAGAACATACTTTTAAAATTGCATTCAGGTAATAAATTTTTATAACATTTTTAATATATTCATAAATAGTTACTTTTTTCACTGTTTAAATATTTCACACCACGTATTGTGTAATTCTCACAGGTCACTTAACATTTCATTTACACTTTCTGAACCTTTTTTCACTATTGGTTTTTTAATCCGTTTGAAGTAACAAGTGGAAATAAGCAATGCAAATAAACCATCAAGTGTATTCACCTTTAAATCTCGTGCCTGGATGAATATTTAAGTCACATTATGAAAAATGACTAAACACCAGTACTTCATCTTTAAAAACTGCTAAAAATCAGAGGTTAATCATAAATGTTCTCAGCTTATCAACAGACTAAGTAAATGATGCAAAAAAATATTTTAAGTAAAATCAGATTTTGATGAAATTTTGGCTATCCAAGGCAGTTTTTCACAGTAAGACACACACATCCAATTTCCCCTAGCTTTGCAACAAAGACAGTGTCCACCACTGGTATAAGATCTAAAGAAGATTCCTGCACCCTTTCAGCTAAACAGTGACCCCATCTACAGGACTTACCAGTTGGCATCATGAGCCTTTGTTGTTGCCAATGCTCCCAGAAGAGCTATGGCACCTTTCAGGAATAAAAAGAAGAAGAAAAAAAAAAAGCTGTAGAAGGTCAGATAAGCTTTGATAAAATCTCCCTGAACATTATCGTAATCCAGGAATTCCAGTAAGCACGGTTAGAAATACCTTAAAGATTTTTTTTGAAAAAACAGAAAACATCTGGACGTAAAAGGATACATTTGACAAACATAATGATCTACAATGAAATTATTTACATGTTTCTGTTTTTTCTTCCATACTACACAATTTCACCTTGCAACTGCTTAACCAATTAGAAACTGGGAGAAGGTGGGACTTAAATATTACTTGGTAACTGATAGAATGACTGTTTGCTCCATAAATTGCCAAAATTATACATGCATTTCAATGTTTATGGAATTTCACCTACCCTATTGTTACACAAGCCCGATACTAAATTCAAATGTGCATGTCAGCATTATATTACTATGGTCAGATTTTTAAGAGATTTCACATAAGGTAGAATTCTTTTAAGTAAAATTATTTGTTAGCAATATCATACTGGATATTTAAAATGCATTAATTTTTCAATGGCCAATAAACCAATACCACTGAAACTTTCAAACCACCCCAGCCCCTAGAACACAGGGCACGGCTGGTCAGGACCTCCTAAGTTTGCTCACCTAAGTACACAAAACCAACCTAACCAGCTTTGGCTCTAATAAACAGAGCCTGTCATTAACACATAGGTTACCCTCCTTTACTTTGTGACTCACAGTTTTACTCAAATGAGCAAGACTCTGCCCAGAATTGTGTCTCTGCTGACGTTCATTTCACAGGACTTCTGAGTATGGCTATAGCTGCCCACCTATCATCTTAAAAAATTCTCACTGCTAGCTACAGTTCCTTCAGCATCTAAACAAAAGGAAATTCTTGGGCCAAACAAAGCTGATCTGATGGTTTTATCTTTACCCTGCGAAAGCTGTGCGGCCCAACTTCAGCAGCACAATTACCCTTGGTCACACTGATAGCCTGGCTGTAAGGAATTCTCCAGGGTGATACCATCCACAGGGGCTATCCTGATTCTCAGTGTGTCATTTTAGGATGCCTCTATTATCTTTTGAAATAAAAAACAAACAAGATTACAACCAAAATGGTGACATAAAAGCTCATTGTTTCCGTGTTTGGCAGGGAGGAAGCTAAGCTGAGTCTTGATCACAGTTAACAACTGCAAAACGGGGGCTCTTCCTTTCCTTGTTAGCTCACCATACCAGGAAAATACAGGGGAACCGTGACCTTGTCAGAAACTGGTTGGAATGAAATATAATTGGGAAGAAATAGGTGTCCTTACCCTATCTAGGGAAACTAACCTACCTATCTGAAAAGTCAGACAATGGAGGCTATTCTTGTGAGTAGAGTAGGAAAACAGGCCAGGGCCCTGATTAAAGTGCATTTAGAAGGAAGCTCGGTCTGTTGAGTGACTGTCATAAGCAGACCAATCAGCCTGCTCTGCTTGTCTTGTGGAAGAGCACTGCACACACATAACAGGGAGTGAACCCAGTTTTCATGTTTTAAATTACAAAGAGTGCAGTTTCCAAGACTTCACGTTGCCTCCATGGTGCCGGTTAATTAGGAACACCTGGATCAGTCCACCTATAAATCACCCCATTTTTGAGGATTATGAAAACCAGAGACTAATTCCAAATTTCCTGCTGATCACAAGCTCTGGCAGCAAGATTCTTGTATCTCTTCTTTACCCTGAATTAATACATACTCAGGAAATACAAACAGACTACAAAACAGAATAGAGCTAGCTTTTGCCACAGAATTGAGATGTCATCAGCAGAGACTCATTCAACAAATATTTATTGAGTGCTAATTATGTGCTAGACATGGTTCCGGATGCTGAAGATACAACAGGGAACAAAACAGACCAACATCCCTGCCCTCCGGGAGCTGACAGGAGGATGCTGTGTCTGGATCCAGCTATTAGGCCTGGGGTCCGGATCATATTAGAGATAGATTCCAAATTCAAGACTATGCATTGAGCACTTTCTGAATGCTTGGCACTAAGACAAAGACCCATTCCTAAAAAGCTTATTAAAGTCAATCAACTAGCCGCTATTTACTGAGCAGCAACTATAAACTCTGCTAGGCACTTTGCAGTTTATCATTTAATAACAGTGTTACATAGGTTTTATTATCCCCACTCAAACCTAGAGAGGTTAGTCAGCTTGCCAAAATGGCCAGGAGTGGTTGGACTAGAAGAAAAGAGCAAGTGCAGATCTTATGTCAGAGTCTGTACTCTGTTCCCTCACTACCACCGCCTTCTACCACAGGGGTCCCCAAGCCCAGGCCAGAGACCGGGACCAGTCCCTCACCTGTTAGGAACCAGGCTGCACAGCAGAAGGTGAACGGGGGCGAATGAGTGAAGCTTCATCTGTATTTACAGCCACTCCCCATCCTTCGCATTACCCCCGAGCTCTGCCTCCTGTCAGATCGGCCCAGGCATTACAGTCTCATAGCACAAACCCTACTGTGAACTGCACATGCGAGGGATCCAAGATGCGTGCTCTTTACGAGAATCTAATGCCTGATGATCTGTCACCGTCTCCATCACCTTCAGATGGGACCTTCTAGTTGCAGGAAAATAAGCTCAGGGCTCACACTGATTCTGCATTATGGTGACTTGTATAATTAATTCATTATATATTGCAATGTAATAATAATAGAAATAAAGTACACAATAAATGGAATGTGCCTGAATCTTCCCAAAACCATTCCCATCCCCGACCATCCATGGAAAAATTTTCTTCCACAAAACCAGTCCCTGGTGCCAAAAAGGTTGGGGAGGGACAACTGTTCTGTGTAAAGAGTGGGGGCACTTTACCTACGGTAGCCCATAGAAATACAGTCGACCCCTGAACAACTTGGAAGTTAGAGGAACTGACCTCCTGCGCACTCAAAAATCCAAGTAAATTATGGACTCCCCAAAAACTTAACTACTAATAGCCCACTGTTGACCAGAAGCCTTACAGAAAACATAAACAGTTGATTAACACACATTTTTAGATATGTATTATATGCTGTATTCTTACAATAAAGTAAGCTAGAGAAAAGAAAATGTTATTAAGAAAATGATAAGGAAAAGAAAGCACATTTAGAGTTCTGTCCTGTCATTATCAATCCTGTAAGTTTATGTCTCCTGCTTAGAAGATGAATTGTCTTTATGAAATGCTGGGCAACTGCAGCTACAGACCTCAAGCAATTCAGCTTTTTCTAATAATGTCACCACATTTCTGCTTCTTGGGACCTATTCCAGCATCACTAGAGGCACTTCCTGTGGGTCCCATAGTGTTACACAATGTGTTCGATATTGCATGAAGCATGAAGAAAAATATGCAAGACCTGCAAGGATCACTTCTTACTGCAGTGAGAAACTTACTGGAGAGACAGACTTCTCACACAGAGATGGTGCCTGTCACATGGTGTTTTCAGCAAATACTCCCGTCACTGCGACGGCAATAGGAGGTAGCTACAAAATTACCATGGTATGCACTACAGTTAACTTGATGCAGTTTTGATTTAATTTCACATCTTTATGTTTGTTGCATTTTTCTCAACTATGAATGGCACGCTGTATGGTCTGTGTTTCTACCCACAGGTTTTGAGATACTTTAACTTTTTATAATAGATTTGTACTTATTTATGGTAGTAAATGATAAAATAGAGTAGTATCTACATATATTTTATGCATTCATGACATCTCTAACTTTTACTTAATTTTTTCAATATTTCTAGGCTATGAAGTTTGTCTACAAGCTTTTCCAAATTGTCACAAATCTCCAAAAAATGTTCCATTACATTTATAGGAAAAAAATGCACATATATGTGGATCCACACGGTTCAAACCTGTGTTGTTCAAGGGTCAACCGGATATCTAAATTAGAAGTTTAAATCGAGGTCAGGAGAGCAAAAATGTAAAACTGAAAAAGTGTTTTCAGTTGTCAGAGCTGAGAGAAGAAGGCATACGTGCTTGAGGAGTTGAGGGGGGTTATGTGTGAAGAGCTGAAGAATGAAGCATAGGAGCTCAGACTCACAGGCAGGTGAGTCGCAGTGGCTGGGGGCGGTCAGGGAAGCACTCAGGCTGACGTCATTCACAAAGCAAGGACTCAAGAGCCCAGATGTCATGTGGGACAACAGGCATGCCGAGGTCAGGTGGCAAAGTTCATAAAAGGAAAGATGATTTAAAAAACAGCTATGGGATAAACATTCTCTTTCCTATAGGGCATTTCAGAAGATAAGTCCATTAACATTTGAAAAGTGTTCAACAGCGTAGAAGGGATACACAGTCCCGGCAGCACAGCTTATAATTATGCCAAAAGGCAAAGAAGGTGCTGGTTTATCTCTTGAAAGCCAAGGTACATGCAAGTAACCCTTGTATTATTACACCCACATCCAGACAACGGCATCATCATTCTCCAGGACAGCCCCACCAAACACCCTCCAGACCCACAATCCCCACAGGGTACTGAATTCATGTTCTCATTCTTATAACTACTTTCAAACCTGGAACAGCATCTACTCATTCAAATCCAACTCTCAGTAATATGGTTACAATTTTGGGTGATATTCTGGCATTTTTTAACTCACAAGTTTGAGATAATGGGCCATTCCTCAATATTCAGTTACTCAGCTAAGTAGCCACAATATTAAACATAGAAGAACTTCAATAGTTGAGATTGTGAAGCCAAATTACTGATTTTATAAAATTCAGATTTTTAAAGTTTATGTTTGAGTCTTGCTATTTTTTTTTTTCACTCTTGTTGCCCAGGCTGGAGTGCAATGGTGCAATCTCAGCTCACTGCAACCTCTGCCTCCCAGGTTCAAGCGATTCTCCTGCCTCGGCCTCCCAAGTAGCTGGGATTACAGGCATGTGCCACCACGCCCTTCTAATTTTGTATTTTTTTTTAGTAGAGACAGGGTTTCTCCATATTAGTCAGGCTGTTCTTGAACTCCCAACCACAGGGGATCTGCCTGCCTTGGCCTCCCAAAGTGCTGGGATTACAGGTATGAGCCACCACACCTGGCCTAGTCTTGCTATCTTAATATGTAAAATGTTTTGAAAGTACTTACACTTTTAAATAAGTATATCTCACTTTAGTCACTAGGTGTTTTACATATTAAAAATGTGTAAATTGAGCCACCTTCAAATGTTAATGGCCTTCTTTTCTGAAATACCCTATAGAAAAAAGAATGTTTATTCCATATCGCTTTTTCATCACCTTCCTTTTATGAACTTTGCTCACAGCAAATACAGCAGATGTGATCTCAAAGGAAAAATACATCTGAGCAGGTTTGCATTCCTGCTGCTCTCTCCCCAGCACCAACACAGAACAGGCTCCAAGAAATGGCTGATCAGGTCAGGCCATGCAGCAGAGCCCCCACCCCACAGGCCTGGCTCTGCCACCCTAGGACGAGGCCTGCAGAAAAGGTTACCTGGAGGACAGAGGCAGGTGGGTAGGGGCCAAGCGTCAGATCTGAGAGAAATGTCTGCCCCAGAGTCCAAAGCACTTGGTGCCAAGCTGTCCTCTCCTAAGTAGGATCCACCTTTCAGAATTCAGGGGTCCTGGTAAACCTGAACACAGGGTGGGGGTTTGTGCACAGGAGGGGCCAAAGTGAAGTCACATTCCCTGACTGGGACAGGCACGGTGAGCCCTGGTATCCGGGCACTCCCAGTCCATCAACACACACTGAAGGGGAAAGCAGGCTGTCGTGCGTTTGGAGCCATGACTTTCATTTTCTACATGTAGCCACTGTTAGGTTGATCCTAAAGCTACCACTTTACATATTTTAAACTCAGCCAAAGGGACTTTCTGTACTGGGTGAACTGTCACCTAGCTGGATGTGTAAGCAGACTGTGACCTACTCTTGTGCCCATCACCGAGTTTTGGCAAATCCTAGGCAGCTGACTGTTCAAACCGTGTTCCAATAAGACAAACCCTGAGCTGTAACCAATCCAGCTGTTTCTGACCTCACTTCCTTTTTCACCTCACTGTCCTTTTTCTGTCCATAAATCTTCCATCATGAGGCAGGCCGGAGACCCTCTGAACCTATCCTGGTTTCGAGGGCTGCCAGATTCACAAATCATTCATGGCTGGGTTTTCCTTTTAACACCATGCTAGAATTCAAAAGGATTTTTTCAAATCACACTGTAGGAATCCGTCTTATTTCCTCAACACTCACAGAGTTTCTGCAATTCTGTTTTTGGCCCTAAACGGCCGTCTGGCACAGCTGCATGGCAGAGAACAGGGATGGGCCAGGCCAGCACTTTCCAGCTGGGACCTCAGCGGGATCCAGGTCAAGCCCCTGTCCCAGGATGAACGCTGCGTGCCCAACACTCCTGGTCCCTTGCCCAGCCATCCTTTGAGAGAACAGGTGTGAGACAGGAATGTTGGGTGGTCATAGGCGACACAGGAAGATATCAAGCAGCGATCTTTCACAGCAGCAAGAAATGAGAGCTGTTAAATCAGCTACCAGGACAAGGGTGAGCCTGGGCTGATGGGGCCCTAACAAACAGGAAGGGGCTAAGCGGCTGAAATGGGCTGAGTCCAACATGGCATTTGGTTTGACCCATGCCCTACCCCAACCTAATTATATGCTCATTAACATCCTAAATCACACACCCTCCGGCACCAAGAGAGATCGGAGCATGGCCATATTTAGTATGGAAATGAGTGGCACCTGAATTCTAAGAAATCTCCACCTTTTTCCTAGAAGACCTCATGATTATTCCACTCCCTCATTAAAAGATCCCATAAAACTAGAAACCCAATCTCTCTAGTGCACGACTCACTCTCCCTAGCCAGCCTGCACTTCACTCTCAAGTGTGTGCTTCACTTTGCAATAAAAGCTTCTTGCCTTTGGCCTCATTCTGACTCGCCCCTGAATTCTTTCTCATGACAGTGTCAAGAACGTAGACACTGGCTGGGGCTAGGGTCTCACTGGCATGTGGGTACCCTCCTGAGCCCTCTGGAAACAGAGCCAGAGCCCTCATGATGCCAGAATAGGACTGAGCACTGCCTCTTGCGCTGAGGACGCATTGTTCATCCCTGTGCAATGTCTTCTTCTAAGGAAAAAGCAAGGCTCCCTAGATCCCACCTTGGTCTCTAATCTCCCAATGGGTTCTTCCTGCCCACTGCATAGACAAAAGCAATTCACTGGGACTGCACCATTGCAGTAGAGAAAGAATTGAATTGACAGGAGGCTGGCCCACGTGGGAGAACTGAGTTAACACTCAAATCAGTCTCCCTGAAGGCTCAGAGCTTGGAATTTTTATGGACAATTTGGTGGGCAGGGGGCTAAGGGATGGGTGCTGCCGAATGATTGGGGATGAAATCATCAGGGTGTGAAGAACAGTCCACACCCCCATGCGCTCATTCCACCTCTGGATGGGGCTACAGGATCAGCTGAGTCATAAATCACAAGTTTAGGGGGAATCAGCCTGAAAGCTCCAAACACCAATCTTAGGTTCTATGATAGTAATGTCATCTATAAGAGCAACTGGGAAAGTCACAATTCTTGTGACCTCTGGCCACATGACCCCTGAGCAGTAAGGGATTATGGAAACTATGCCTACATCTTAGCAGAGTTCAGGCCCCTCTCATAATCCTTACCTTATGGCCTTTTATTGGTTTTACAAAGGTGATTTAGATTTGGGAAGGGCTATTATTATCCTTGCTTTAAGGTTAAACTAGAAACTAAATTCCTCCCAAAGTTAGTTTGGCCTACACCCAGGAATGACCAAGGACAGCTTAGAGGTCAGAAGCAAGATGGAGTCAACCATGTCAGATTTCTCTTGCTGTCATAATTTTGCAAAGGCGGTTTCATATCTAGCATATATATCGAGGGTTGTTTAGTACAACAAGGCCTTTAGCTAAGGTAGACTTACTAATCTGTTGAAGAATCTTAGGGAAAAGACAGCCTCTTTTTCAGATGAGTAAACTGAGGCTCGGAGACTCTAAGCTGGTTGATGAAGTTCATGCAGCCAGGCATAGAGCCGGACCTGAAACCACGTCCTCTGACTCCAGGTCACTCCTTCCCACCCTGCTGCACTACAGCTAGATCAAGAGTGGAGTGTCCACAGCCTTCCCCTTGCTGAGGCCCCAAACTCATCTTCTCCCCACAGGTACAGCCATGAACAATGACACTCAAGGACTTCAGAAAGACCAACCCAAGGCCTCTGTCCTACTTGAATTGGGGGACAAGGGGCTGTCCAAAGGCCAGAACTGATGTCATTGGATGATCTGTTAGTTTCAGGTGCCCATGGCACTCTGACCTCATGCAAATCATAAACACAAGCAAAACCTCTGCATATTCAATTATGTCTCTAGCGGGACTAATGTAGCCTCTGTTAGCACAAAAACTCAGTTCATTTCATAAGACACGAGCAGCTCAGTACAGTGCCTCACTGAACGTTAGAAATGCAGGCAACAACTGAAGGGTAAAAGAGAGGCGAGAGGAAGAGACAAACAGACAAAAATGACATGCTTCATACCACGATTGGCGTTTTGTCAGAATGTGAATTGTTTCAAAATCTTTTCCATTCATACAAGTGGACATGTACACAGAGCAGCTCAGCCTAGGCTTACATTAAATTAGACTTCTATCTTGGTCTTTCTGATCTAACATTTCTAAACATCCAGAATGATTAACTATTTTTATTTTGTGGTGAGGTTCTAGAATATAAGCAACGAAGACAAAAGGCTGGTTTACCCTCGCAAAGGAAACCTTTCTGGCATTTTGCTCACTGCAATGCAATGTAGCATTCATTGAAATATTACATGCAGCTTGCCAGAGCAGCCCTGAATCAGAGCTAGCAATGCTTCAATGAGCCAGGGAGAGTCATAATTCCAAATTCCATTTAGGGAATCACTGGGAGCTGTTCTGTTATTTTCTCTGGAAACCAAATATTCTTGCCCTGTCTCTCTAGAGCTGCCTGCAATTACCTCACTAAGGCGAAAAAGGCTGAACTGGAACAGGAGGACTGACCCTCTCTTGTTATTCAGTCCTGGTGAAGGTCTATACAGCAAGCCCTTTCTGAGAAATTTCTCAAGAGATGTTAGCCAGCCAACCAGAGGGCAGTGCCTCCTCCTCCCTTCGACAATCCATGCCAGCCGTGGCCAAACGGCACAGATTAAAACTCAGAATAGCAATTTGTGGTGCTAAGCCAGATGGAGATGAAAAGGTCATTTAAAATTAGAGTTAACTCACATTCTTGCGAGAGATGGGGGTCAGGGCCGGCCCTGCAGAGAACAAGCACCAGGAAAATAACCGTATCCCAGCGCACAGAGAGCCTGAGTCCCAGGGGTCAGCAGAGCATTGGAGGCTGCTCTGCTGTGTAGGCCCAGGGAAGCAGGACCCACACCTCTACTGTTTATCCTCCAAACAAAGGCAGCGCACCTGAGTGCCCTGAAGGTGCGAGCTCTGCACCTGCCACGTCAGAGACTGGAGCCAGGACCCGAGCTGCACGGGGTTCAGGCCGCTCACCTGCCACACACTCCCTTGGAGAGCCTGAAGCTGAGCTCCTGCTGAGGCTTGTTCAGGTTATTAATTAGCATTGCATTAGCAACGGCTGTGCATGGGGGCTGAGGGCAATTCTGTAATATTCTGTAATATAAGCAATTCATATGACGCTTCAATCTGTCTATGTAGGTCTAAATTCACCATGAGGGAATTATAACACGGATTCTAGGTGTAGCATTCATCAAGTGTGATAATGATCTTTTATAACCAAAACTAGATACACATTAAACACTAGCATTAGGAAATGCATTCATTTTTATAAAGGTATTTAATTAAATTTTGTAAAAATTAAATTTTAAATTTTACTTTATTGGAATAATTTTGATTTTTGAATACTCATTAATTAAATTTTGCCTTTTAATTTTAATAACTTTAATTATTTTAAAAGAAAAATAGTACTATTGAAAAATATGAAAAATAACCTTAATTTTTTAAACTTAATTTATCTAAATTTATATTTTATTGGTGAAATGTTCAAATGTCCTATTATGAATGTAACTACATTTTCCTTTCTAATCCTTTAGATTAGGGATGGGTTGGCAAGCTTTCCCTGCAAAGGGCTTCACATCTGAAGAATGCATGAAAGTTGGTATTTTGCTAGAAATAGAAATTATAAAAATGCAGCTTAAAGAAAAAATGGAAATAGTAACAGAAAATATGCAGAGAGCAGCCTGTTTAGATTATTTAAAACTGAAAATAGTAAATATGAACAGACTTTTGTCAAGCATGACCCACACAAAATTTGAGAACAGGGCATTACAAGTTTATTTTGTGAAAATTTAGCTATTGATCAAAAGAGTAAATATGAGCAAGAAAATTATTCTAATCAAATCCACAATTTGAATGATTTCATATTTCCAACTTCAGTCATAAAACATATACTTTTACATATATTTTTATTTGGTTTTTATGAACAAATACTGATTATGGACAAATGTTAAGAATTTTTGTTGTAGTCATTAACAGGTTGGTTTATAACTTTTAAATGTTAAAAAATATATAGCTTGTGAGTCTCCAACTGCACCCCTATCCCAGGCCCTGCAATGCTGATGGCAGGCCTGTCATAAATTGCAGCAGAGGCTGTTTTCTGGATGAACATGGATAAAATCTGCACACTGTCATCAGATTGTTCTTCCTTAAAGACGGTTTTTGATCATAGAAATCCCAAACTCAGAAGGTTTCTATATATCCCCATTGTCTCTAGTTCAAATTCCTCAGACTGACAAGCAACAATGTCCAGTTTCTCCAGAACCTACTTTTCCTTCCTTACTTCTTGACATTCTCTACCCAAATTTTCTACTCTAGTAGACTGGTCTTCCCCAGGGCCTCCTGCCCAGGCATTGCACAGCCACGCTCATCTGCAATGGCTATTCCCGCCCACTCCACCCATTTCAACTCTCAGACCAAGGCTGCCTCCTTGATGACACCTTCCCAACTGCCCATGCATATGGGAGACTTCTCTCAATCCTGTGGCACGTGTTCTCTGTACCCCTCAGAGGTAGGTTGCTCTGTAGTTATGCTACCCATGAATAATGTCTTACTTGCCCAAGCAGATTATTTTCTTAGATTATAACCTGACATTTTTTTTGAGGCACTGATACATGCCAAGTACTGTAAGGAACTTACATTCACTATGAAAGCAAATTCACTGAACCGAATTGACAACTGTCATGGTTAAGTTTAGGTGTCAACTTGACTGGATTAAGGGATACCCAGATAGCTGGTAAAGCCGTGGTCCCCAACATTTTTGGCACAAGGCACCAGTGTGTGGAAGATAATTTTTCCATGGACCAACTGGGGGGTTAGTTTCGGGATTAAACTGTTCCAACTCAGATGGTCAGGCATTCGTTAAATTCTCATAAGGAGCATGCAACCCAGACCCCTCACATGCGCAGTTCACAACAGGATTCGTGCTCCTATGAGAATCGAATGCTGCTGCCGATGTGACAGGCAGCAGAGCTCAGAGGGGAATGCCCACTTGCCTGCTGCTCACCTGCTACTGTGCCTAACTGGCCATGGACCAGTTCCCAGTTCCTACCTGGCCAGGGACCAGTACCACTCTGTGGCCGAAGGGATGAGGACCCCTGCAGCAAAGCATTATTTCTGGATGTGTCTGTGAAGGTGTGTCCAGTGGATATTAGTGCATGAGTCTGAATGGACTAGGTGAGGAAGATCCCCTTCACCCAGTATGGGAGGGCACCATGCAGTCAACTGAGGCCCACATAGAACAAAAAGGCAGAGGAAAGAGAATGTGCTCACTTCTCTCACTTTTGGAGCTGAGACACTCTTCTTCTCCTGCCCTTGGACATCAGAACTCCACGCTCTTCAGCATTTGAACTCAGGAACTGACACCAGTGGCCTCCTCAGGTCTTCAACCTTGGACTGAGATTACACCATAGATTCTCCTGGTTCCAAGGCCTTCAGACCTGGACTGAGCGACACTACCAGCTTCCCTGGTTCTCCAGCTGGCAGAAGGCCTATCGTGGGACTTCTCAGCCTCTGTAATCCTGTGAGCCAATCCCCCTAATAAAGCTCATATATAGATATCTATATCTATACATATCTATAGATATACACACACATATATATATACACATCTATATATATATATAGAGAGAGAGAGAGAGATACATGCCAAGTACTGTATCTATATATATTCCTATATAAACCTATATAGGTTGCATATATAAACCTATATATATGCAACCTATATATACGTATGTTTATATATATACACTTATATTCATATATACATGTGTATATGTGTGTTTGTATATATATTTATATATATGTTTTATTTCTCTGAAAAACCCTAATACGACAACTGGTATCCACCACAATGCTACAAGAACCAAATTTTTTCCACTCTCTTATGTGTGTGTGTGTGTGTGTGTGTGTATATATATATATATATATAGAGAGAGAGAGAGAGAGAGAGAGAGACATGCATATATATAAACCTATATATATGCAACCTATATATATATACGTATGTTTATATATACATTTATATTCATATGTATGTGTGTGTATATGTGTATATATATTTATATATGTGTTTTATTTCTCTGAAAAACCCTAATACGACAACTGGTATCCACCACAATGCTACAAGAACCAAATTTTTTCCACTCTCTTATGTGTGTGTGTGTGTGTGTATATATATATATATATAGAGAGAGAGAGAGAGAGAGAGAGAGACATGCATATATATAAACCTATATATATGCAACCTATATATATATATGTATGTTTATATATACATTTATATTCATATGTATGTGTGTGTATATGTGTATATATATTTATATATGGTTTTATTTCTCTGAAAAACCCTAATACGACAACTGATATCCACCACAATGCTACAAGAACCAAATTTTTTTCCACTGTCTTATGTTCCACAAATTCCTGCTCGTCAAATCTGTGTCTTATACAAACCAACGTATTCCACAGCACCTCATCGGATGCTGAGAGCAGAGTGGTCACTCAATAAAAATGCAGTATTGTAGATGTCAAAGAAAAGGAAATCATAGCTAAGCTTCTAGGTAATCATGTAAAAATTACAGCTTATATGTGCATATTTCATTCATTAAAAACAAACTCCTAGACAACCTTACCCACTTATATATGATGCATACAAAATACTTATTTTTTTCTGCATCCAAAATATAGCAAGTCTTAGAAAATTATTTCTTGAATTAACAATTCTCCTATAAACTCATTAGGATCCTAGAAAACATAGTAAAAGATTAATTATGATATGTAGATATTATGCCATTTTTTTAAATTTCAATATACACAGATGAGACCAGAAACAGTTTAGACATCTGATTACTATTTCTCATTGACTGCTAAGCTAATTGTGGTAAAATATGAATGAGAACTCTAAAGTCTTGACTGTCTACAATCTGTAGGACTCTTCATTATTTTGTATAAGATCTCTCTTTACCATAGAAATATGAGTACTCACAGTAAAAAGATAGTTTGAGATCAACTGTTTCAAGATACACAGCCTTTAATCCGAAATGTTGAGTTTGCCCCACATTCAAGATATTTAAAAACTGTATCTTGAAATACATGGACCTTTGGGGAAATAAATACAAGAAGCTGTATTTTTCATCTATGCAATGATGAGCTGGAGCCTGCTCTATGGGACCTCAGAGCCAATTGCACACAGCTCTTCCCAACAGTGTGGTCAGTGATGTCACCTTGGTAGCTGGGTGTCCACGTGGGTGAGATGTTTAAACCACGGAGGCAGACAAATGTTTTAGCAGGGCTTCCCACCCCACCCTCAAAAGCTGGTTGTTAAACACTTACTTTTTGTTTTTTGCCAGAATATTTTTGGTGGGTAGAAACATATGGAAAGGAGTGAAGCAATGATATAACTATTTTGAAATAACTTCAGAACTCATTTAAAAAATATATAAAAGGAATTATCACAGGGAAGTTTGTAAAAGGACAATGAGTAGCCTCAGTGACTTTTGGTTAACAAACTAGGTTGTTGATAGGATAAATACAAAGTCAGTTTTCCATGCTTTCATTGACTCATGTCTTCCACCAACCCCAACCTCTGTATTGAAACTTTAATATTATCATTAAAAGTATAAACTATTTTTTGAGGTTTAAAGATATGAAAAAGTGAAAACATACCAAAAATAAGCATTTTGTGAGAAATTCTATGTTTTCATTGGTTTAATTTAAAAAAATGTTTAAGGGAGATGTCATGACATCCAGGAGCTGTGCCTTACAGGGAGCTCCTCTGCAGATCTGGGGCAGAGCTGGAGTTCCCTGGCCTTTCTACCACAGTGATATGGTTTGGCTGTGTCCCCACCCAAATCTCATCTTGAACTGTAGCTCCCATAATTCCCACGTGTCGTGGGAGGGAACCGGTGGGAGGTAACTGAATCATGGGGGCAGGTCTTTCCTGTACTGTTCTTGTGGTAGTAAGTCTCATGAGATATGATGGTTGTATAAATGCGAATTCCCCTGCACAAGCCCTCTCTTGCCTGCCACCATGTAAGACATGCCTCTTTCCTCCTTTGTCTTCTGCCATGATTGTGAGGCCTCCCCAGCCATGTGGAACTGTCAGTGCATTAAACCTCTTTTTCTTTATAAATTAACCAGTCTCGGGTATGTCTTTATTGGCAGCGTGAGAACAGACTAATATACACAGCCATCAGGAATTTGCCTACTATGCAGAACATCAGAAATAGGTCAAAATATGTCACCATGAGAAACAAGAAAAAAAATTGTCAATTTTTTAAAATTTTGAGTATTTCCTATATGTCCTTTTTTTCTCAATTTTCAGAGCAGGGATCACCTTAATCAGTATGTAAACTTGTTTTCCTACCTAAAAATATGAGGCATAAACTTTTAAGTTAATGTGTGTTGATAGTGACAGGTGAAGCCAGCTGGTTTCTGGGTCAGGTGGGGACTTGGAGAACTTTTCTGTCTAGCTAGAGGATTGTAAATGCACCAATCAGTGCTCTGTGTCTAGCTAAAGGATTGTAAATGCACCAATCAGCACTCTGTAAAATCACACCAATCAGCACTCTGTAAAATGGACCAATCAGCACTCTGTAAAAGGGACCAACTGGCACTCTGTAAAATGGACCAATCAGCAGGATGTGGGTGGGGCAAAATAAGGGAATAAAAGCTGGCCATGGGGGCCCAGCAGCACAACTGTCTTGGGTCCCTGTCCAGGGGGTGGAAGCTTAGTTCTTTCCCTCTTCACAATAAATCTTGCTGCTGCTCACTCTTTGGGTCCACACACCAGCAGGGTCTGCAGCTTCATTCCTGAAGTCAGCGAGACCACAAACCCACTGGGAGACAACTCCGTCCGCACCACCTTTAAGAGTTGTAAAGCTCAGTGCAAAGGTCCACGGCCTCACTCCTGAAGTCAGTGAGACCACGAACCCACCGGAAGGAAGAAACTCCAGACACATCTGAACATCTGAAGGAACAAACTCCAGACACACCATCTTTAAGAACTGTTACACTCACCACGAGGGTACTCGGCTTCATTCTTGAAGTCAGCAAGACCAAGAACCCACTGGAAGGAATAAATTCCAGACACGATATTACTGGTAAATGATGCCAGAGTCAAACCGTATCTAAAATTGCTTTTAAAAGTTATCTGGGAAGACAATTCTCAACCCCCAAGTTCCTATTCCAGCCTCATATTTTTTGTTAAGTATTTTATGCAAGCATTTAAAATGGGAAACGCTTATTATGGGGCAAACAAGGGATGAGCTAAATCCATGATGTGCACTTACAGCTGGGCTTCCTCTGCACTTTCTTCTCAATTGTTTAGCAGAGTCACCAGGTGTTAATTTTTCTAGATTCACCTTTTGAATGATAAGCACAGAGACCACTTAAAGTCAACCATCATCTTAGTGATAAATTTACCATCTCCAAATACAACTGGTATTTGACATCTCCAAATACAACTTGTGCCCAACCGTTTCTGAATCTATTCAGCCATTACTGGTATGTCATGAAAAGACACGACACACCTATGGACGGCCCCAGAAAGGCAGCAGGAAATGGCCAGGAAACCAAATAAAGCCAGCTGCCTATTTCGCACATACAGAAGACATACAACTTCCTCCTCTACTACGATTCATCCAAGATGCACCAGGCACGCCCCACAGCAGCTGCAACAGTGGACACAAAATCTATGTTTTACACAAATGAGAACTTCCCCTGCTTGCACCACCCAGTCTCTGCATTTACCCTGGTCTTCAGCACTCTTGATTTGCAGATCCATATAACAAATTTTGTTATCTTGTCTCTATTCCATATTGACTTGAAAGTAGCTAATTACAGCCAGGCAGAGGGACTATCTAGACAAGCATCATGCAGGTGTTGAGAAGAACTAGCTGGCAGGGCAGAGCCAGAAAAAGACCAGCTGAAAAACAGCAGACCAAAGCCCTGAAACACGCCATAAAACATTAATTTGTCTTTTTAGTATTCATCCTGAGTCAAGGCAATTATGTTTAATGAGGATGCATGATGCCTTTTCATAAAGACTCACATGCCAAGGGTTTACATTGTGTACAGGTGTGCATACAGGTGTGTGTGCAGGTGTGTGCACTCTGGTGTGAACAGAGCTCAGTGAAGAGATAAATCTCTACCCAGGGCTCTGTGTCCCACGTGTCTGCTGCAGAGTGATTGCCCTGAATTCGACTGCATTCGTGCCCACTCATGTTGTGCCTCTGCAGAGTGGCTGGACAGGTTCCAGCGAGGGTGGATTAACTGGGGAGAGGCATCCTCCCCTCTGATGCCTTCATCTCAGTTTCTCAGGGAAGAAAAAAAAACTGACTCAAATCACCCCAGAAAGAAAAATAATTACATATTCTATAATTGTTTATCTTTACTTGGCAGAATCTCTCCACCTACTTCTCAAGTATTTCTTACTCTACTTATCTATTATCCTCCAAATCCCCTTATCAAAAGGGCAAAAAGATAAGAGAATGTTCTATCTTTTGGACAGAGATATCTTGCCAAGAAATCAAGCTCTTTAAAACTACCTATCAAAAGGCAAAACCTAAGACATCCGTTTCAGGGAAAGATGGAGTCACAGGGACTGGATTTACTCTCTTTGCTTAAATAACTAGAAAACCAGACAAAAATATAAGATTTTCAGACAGTTGGCTTTGCAGGACCACACTCCCTAAGCGAAGGAAACAAAAAGAGAACCGAGGATTGCCCATCGGCCACCTGGAGGAGGTTCCAGGCCAAAGGGCAGGGAGGGAACACCCAAACAGACCCCAGACATCTTGGTGAGCAGCAAAGGCAGAAGACAGAGGGTCAGGGAGGTGATGGGAGCAGAAATTTTCAGGGCAGAATAGCAGGGAGGAGGCAGCTGTCTCAGGAGCAGGCTCTGCAGAGCTGTTTGTGGATCTGCACATCCACGAGAAATAACCACGCCCAGGAAAGGCCAGCCACCATGAAGAAGCGGGCAGGTGGGTTCTCAAAGCACACATGGGGCTTGGAATAGCTCGTGTTCCTACCAAAGTGGGAAGTCTGCATGACACACACACAGGGCATCGTTACTGCCCCCATAGTCTGGAAGGCCCAGCCAAGTGCCTGCCTGTGGTGCTGGCTTCGTTGGCCAGATGCTGTGCTTAGAAGCCTCTGCTCCAGACCCAGCCCACGGAGCAAAGGTGAGATAGTAGCCCAAAGACAGTAGCCTGTGTAGGCTGTCCAGGGAGCCATGAGGTGTCCCAGCCCTAAAGCTCCACCCTGCAGGGGCACTTGATACCCCATGGAAACTGGCCACATTATGACATCTTCTCCCTTTGCATCTCAACCATCAAACGATGGTTTTTCTAAGTTAACTTTGCTCCTTCTGAGCTTTCCTGCACAAGTTCAGAATGTGAAGCCACAGCTGCTGGTGCCCCAGCTCCAGAAGAAGAATATGGAAAGAGTTGAGTGTGCCAGTTTTGGATCAGTGTCACTACACACTTCAAACAGAAAATCAACTTAATTCCAATAGTGGTTTATTTTTCATTCAACTCACGGAATAAAATGAATGTTTTTAGAACTTGGTTCAGTTGAAGATGTAAGTACCTGATATGACTGTGAATGATATAGTAAGTTCAGTTAAGACATACGGTAAATTCAGTGAAGACCAAACTGTATGTTTTTGTAGGGATCTTAGGAAGCCACATTTAAGTGGAGCCCTGTGCTGTGGTTTAATAATATTTTTACCAAATTAAAAAACCTACAGAAAAGAAACATACTTGGAGTTGGTTGTGATATGCATGTATTTTTCTAACAGCCAGAATAGAAACTGTCATTGTCAAAACTGATATTTTTTATATAGCAAAGAGCACATGAACTACAAAATGTTTTGGTAATTTTTAAACAAAAAACAACTTCAGCATGACAATAGGCTCTTTTCTCTCTTGGCTTCCTGTTGTCTGTCCCATTGTAAAAATGTTTGCGCTTTGAAGAAACACTGTAAATCAAAATAAGGATTTTACAACGGATTAAATTTTTTTAAAGTTTTCCAAATTTTGGTTGCATTTTGTTCAAAATCAGTTAGGTTTTGATCAAATTATTAAACAATTAAACAAAACCTCCAACTGTTGAAGTTTTGGTAATTTGTAATTATAGGAAAGAAAGTTTGAAAATAGGAGTTCATTGAAATTTGTTCTTTCAAAAGCAAGTGAGGCATTCAACATATCCATAGAATGAGGAGAGCGCAAGTGGATTTTGAACTTCCATGATCTTGCCTGGAAATATTTCAACTTGTAGAATTTTCTGATAGAGCACCTATTTTTAATTGAATAAGTTCACGTTTTGTACCACAATCGGATAAAACTAAGAGGCTCTATGATTTTGCAGCATATAAATTTAATAGAAAATTAAAAGAATATCAATAGAAACAACTTCTTTAATTTTGTCTTGTAAAAACATTTGTCAATAAATGACATCTTAAATGGATATGCAAAGACAGTATCTACAAAAATATTTGCCTAAAATATTTACAATTTCAATATTTTTAAAATAGTATTGAGAGTTTCATACATTTAGCAAAATTTGCTCTGAGCTTACCAGGCCCCTCGGCACTTCCAGAGACAGTACTTCCTCAAATTAAAAATCTAATAGTAGAGCATAGAGAGGAGAGTCCATGGGAGATGTGAAACATTTTCAAATTTACTCATCACAAAATCCTACTTTGAAGAAGATTTCAGGAAATTTCATAAAAAATTAAAAATAATTAGACTATATTAAAGCATATGTCTTTGGGAAGAATACCAGAGATGCAGTGTTAAATAAAGATAATTTTAAGAATATAATAAACACGAGTATGTATACAGAATAGCTATTTTGCTTTTTTAAAATTTAGATAACCCATATTTAAAATGTCTATTTGTTTTGCCTTAATGAACATAGATATTTTGTACTTACTTTATATAAAAACTTGTTTTGGCCAGTCACACTGGCCCCCTCCTGTAATCCCAGCACTTTGGGAGGCCGAGGCAGGTGGATCACCTGAGGTCAGGAGCTCGAGACCAGCCTGGCCAGCATGGTGAAACCCAGTCCCTACTAAAAATACAAAAATTAGCCAGGCATGGTGGTGCACACCTGTAATCCCAGCTACTGGGGAGGCTGAGGCAGGAGAATCGCTTGAACTCGGGAGGTGGAGGTTACAGAGAGCTGAGATCGCGCCATTGCATTTCAGCCTTTGCAACAGAATGAGACTCAGTCAATAAATAAATAAATAAAAACTTGTAGTTTTAAAAAAAACTATCTTCAGAGGCACCAATGTTATACAATTGATTTGGTGGTCAAGAAATCTCTTTCCCTGTTCCCCTTTCCCTCTCTCCTTTTCTCTCTCTCACTTTTCACACACATACATAAATTATTTTCAGTATCCCCTTCTCACTATCAAAAGTATCCTGGTTCCAGTGATAAGTTATATAGTCATCCTAATCACTGGCTCGGTGGAGAGTGCTTCAACTTTCCCTTCCCTCTTTCCCATAAGCAGGGGGAGAAAATACCTACCCAATGTGAGGGGAAGGAGGCTGTCATGTATATCAGTCACAGAGATTGTGGGTCTGTGGGAGAGAGTACCTGATGTGTCATCCCCAGTGAAATTGCTGTCTGGGCAGCCGACCTGCCAATCTACTTCTTGTACTTCTATGAACCAAGAGAGAACAGAATTAAAAATATGTGGCAGGTACATCACCAAGGAAACCTGCATTCCCACCATTTGTCATGTAATTTCATGGGGAAGCACTTCTGAAACAGCAGAGTAATGACCACCCAAAGCCCACTCCTGCATAAAAGTAAGGAGAATACCAGATAAAAGGGCCCAAATCACCTTTTTTGGAACTCTAGAAGTTAATCGAAAGGTTACAGCTATCCAAGGAGAATTTACTTGAGAAAAATAACTGAATGTCAGTAATAACAGCAAGTTCTGTGACATTTTAACTTCCCTGTTCCAATCTCTCTCTCTCCAGCTCAAGGGTAGCCTTGAAAACTGGTAGCCTTATAAATACAGTAGCTGTGAAAACTGAAGCTCGGCACCCCCTGGGGAAAGAAGAGTGGGTTTGGAGTTCCCCAAGCACTCATACTCAGAAAACTGTCACTATTTGACCTGTCTGGCAGTGTTATGAAAGCTCCACTCTCAGGGCTTGTTTTTATTTGACCTCAGAGTTCTCTCTGTATGAACGGCCCTATCCCTGGGACATTTGTCAAAAACAATTAGTGGCAATTGTTTAAACATCACAGCTACCTGACAAGATAATACCAGTTGGAGCTAATAAGAGTCTGACCAAAAAAACTTTTTAGTACTAAGGAAAAACAAGGAAGTAAGGTGTTTACAGGGGGCTTTGCAAAATTCTGACATATCTTTGAGAATCGAGATGGGCATGTACCTGTGCATAGCTGTATGCATGCCCAGGAAAGACCTGAGAAGGCCCTAAACCCTCACCTCTAGCTGACCTTGAGGCTCTGCACAAGCAGGAAGTGAAGGCTAAGGCAGAGTTGTAAACTCACTGCTGGAATATTGAAGGTGTGCCCCAACACACATATGGAACCCCCTCAGAATAGACTAGAGACATTGAATCAAAACATTTCAGGAAATCTCTGTTCAATCATTAGCTTAATACTAAGCTCAACAAACTCTAAGTAGAATAAACAACTCAAAGGGATCTGTACCCAGACACATCATCATCAAACTATCAAAACACAAAGTGAGAATCTCAAAAACAACAAGAAGGAAGTAACTCCTCACAAACAAGGGAATCTCACTAAGATTCACACCCATTACTAAACACTATAGTAAAACCAGAAGCACAAAGAGAATCACCACTGGGACAGCGGTCACAAAAACAGTCACCATGAGCATGAAAATAAGAAATATCTGAAAAAAAAGAACTCCCAAACAGCAATCCTTGGACAACATATACTCCTCCCAGAACTTTGGAAGAAGGCTTCTGATTTTTCCCAGCCTTCCTCTGCCACTTTTATGGTAGCAAAAATAGTTTCTTTGCCCATACTTTTTTCTGTAAAAGGGAAATATATTTCTATTGTTTCTTTTCTTTCTGGTTTCTGCTGCTCAGCTTGGAAGGCTCAGCAGACATTTCAAATACCCCTCTTTACTTACTTTCTCACTTTCTCTTGTGTGCTCCAAGTAGGTTCTGACACTGTCAGATCAGGGTGCCTTCTTTGGTTCCCTTTTTTTTCTGACACAGATATTTGTTTTTTGACATTCTTCTATAGTTTTTGCCTTATGGGATCTCCCACAGTAAGACATGTAAAATTGATGAGTTTTCATGCTGCCAAGGCATCTATTATTCAAACACACTTTGTGTCTTTTCAACTCTGATGTTGTATAATTCCACCAGGAAATATTTGCTCACCAAGCCTCCCTTTACCCCAGGTGAGACTTAACCTATCATTATCCTGCCTGCCTCTCTTTCAGTAGCTCTCTTGCTGTCTGTACCTTTCCTTAGAACCCTAAGTCTATAAACTATCCATGCATATTTTCCAAGGGCAAATGCTAAATCTGATGCCCTGCCTAAAATATTGTATCATCTTCAATTCATGGAATAATACTTGAAGTACTCTATTCTTAGTGTCTCGGTCCTCTCAAATCTAACTTGATATAATCCTAAGTCTTTAAAAGATGATGTCCAACAGTACTTACTACTGACTCCATGCCAGTGGCTTCAAGGAGTGTCCTCCCAGAGGCTCTTCACTCAAGAATCCCTTTAAAGAAGTAATCCATATTATCCCCTTAAACTTTCTTTCTCTTCATGTTGTACTTCATTAGGCCCCATCATTTTTCCTGATATTAGCAACTTACAATCTTTTTCCTAGTCTTATATTTTAAAAGCAATTTTATAACTATCAACCCTAGCCTTCATTATTAAAATATTTCCTGAAATCTGAAAATATCACATACTCTCTTTCATGCCTCCCTAAGCTGTCCTCTAAGATTGCCAACTTTGTCTCAAAGAATGCTCTCTCAGTTTCCAACTTGATGAATTTATCATCCTTATTTTCCCTTCCATTTTTTCTTTTCAAATTGTCAGAGGCATTCAAACAAGAGCAACTCCATCTTGAATAGGGGTTGAGTAAAATGAGGCTGAGACCTACTGGGCAGCATTCCCAGATGGTTAGGCATTCTAAGTTACAGGATGAGATCAGAGGTTGGCACAAGATACAGGTCATAAAGACCTTGCTGATAAAACAGGTTTCAGTAAAGAAGCTGGCCAAAACCCACCAAAACCAAGATGGCAACGAGAGTGACCTCTGATCGTCCTCATTGCTACACTCCCACCAGCACCATGATAGTTTACAAATGCCATGGCAACATCAAGAAGTTAGCCTATATGGTCTAAAAAGGGGAGGCATGAATAATCCACCCCTTGTTAATAGCATATAATCAAGAAATAACAATAAAAATGGGCAATCAGCAGCCCCAAGGGCTATGAGTAGCCATTCTTTTATTCCTTTACTTTCTTAGTAAACTTACTTTCACTTTGCACTGTGGACTGGTCCTGAATTCTTTCTTGTGCAAGATCCAAAAACTCTCTGTTGGGGTCTGGATCAGGATCACTTTCCAATAACAAAATCTCAAGCTATAACTTTTAAATTGGCACTCATCATTGTCCATTTTTCTTATAAGTTTACTTAACCTTTTATTGCATGCCATTTGCTCTCTCTTAAAATTTGTTACATCCTCTCTTCACTCTCAATTGCTGACATGACTGTATGCTTCATTTGAAAATGTGAAAGCAACCAGAGAGATTACCACCATCTAACTTATGATTGTGCCTGCATCAGTATCAAGATCTCATTCTGTCCTGTTCAAACAGCAGTAGTACCAAGTGTCCATACAGCCCTCCCTCCACATTTTCTTATATCCTGTCCCTGTGGCTTTCTTAAGAATAGAAAATCTCACTCTTTCTGTGGCATATCATTCTAATAATTGCCTACAACATGTTCTAGTATCAATCATTGAGAGAAGACAGAAAGAAGATGAAAGAGGAAGCAAAGGGAAATTGAAAACCCTATCCTGAGATCCCATATCTTGGTCCAGCTGCTGCCCCATCTCCCTGCTACATTCATAGGATAATTTCTCCCAAAGTTTTATTTGTTCTTCTGCCACATTTTCTCTCTTCTCTCCTTCTGGGGCTCCAATTTTATCTATATTAAGCCTTTTCACGATGTCCACACGTACCTTATATTCACTTGGGTATTTTCTGTTTTTCTTTTCTCTTTCTGTGTTCAGTTTGGATATTTTCTATTGATCTGTTCACCAGTTTACTAATCTTGTTTTCTTCTGTGTTTGGCATGTTGTCACCTCCATTTATAATTATTCAGATATCATATGTGTCTGTTCTAAAATTTCTTTTGATCCTTTTTTGCAGATCCTCCTTCTTCAGTGAAAGTCTTCTATCTTCCTGAACATATTATTGTCATTTTAAAATTCTTTTTGCTAACATCTGTACACCTGTGTGATTGCTGCCTCACCTGTGTTTCTCTTGTCTGTTTAGTCTCTTGATTTTCAGTTATGTATTCCTGTGTCTCATCATACCTAATAATCTTTTATTGAATGCAAGGCATTGTATTTAAGACAATGATATCTTCCTCCAGGGAGGAGTCTCCCTTTTCTGATAAACTAGAGTGAGACTGATTATTTAATCCCATTGAGAACTAAGCCAAGAGGGAACTGGACTGCACTGTTCCTAAGACCCACCTACCTTTTCTCTCTCCTTCTAGAATATGAATTCTGTGAACACAGAGCTATTTTATATGTCTTGCTCATCATTTTCTTCTTTTGAGGGACAAACAAAATACTCCAAGGGGCACTACAGAGGCACACATCAATCAGATCATTGATTCAAATTATAGTTTCAAAAAGTGAACAACCAGTAAAAATAAACCATTCATTGTTCTGAATACAAAATTACAAGAAAAAAAGTTTATAGGTGACTTTCACCAACCTTCTCTAATTTAGCCATCAAGTTAATTCCTGAAAATACAATTACATTTTTCATACATGGCCTGCTGGTGGGCACTAAAATATTGAAATAATTTATGAAATAATTAGTTAAAAGTTTAATTTTTACCAACATAGCTTTACATCTTATTCCATTTCTATTCATTCAATTAACAGATAATTGAAAATTATATGTTGATAATTGAATTGAAATAATATCTGATTGAAATAATTATCTGATAATAATTGAATTGAAAGCACCTAGCAAACATATCAGGCAACTGAAAGGAGGAAGGTAACAGATTCTAGACATAATCGTGTTGGAAAACCAGGCACTCTGCAGCCTCACTTTCTGTGGGAAATCTTTCCAATGGTCATCTTGTAAGAGGCTAATGTGGTAATAAGATTTCCCATATTTTGAACTGCCTTTCCATGAAAAATAAAAGGTTTGATGAAAGAGAAAATGACTCATAAAATGTGCTAACTATTGCAAATGCAGGCTCAAGTATAAACCCAAAGGTGCAAGTTGGTTTCTTACCCACCAACTCCTCGGTGCAGAGTGGAATCTGTATGATTTCGATGAAATCAGTAAAGTGACACAGCAGTGCTTTCAGATACAGGCACTATGTAGAGACGTTCGTTAAATTGAAGAAAACAGCAAATGAGGCGCGTTGAGGAGAAATATTGTGTCCATGGTTCTTAGTGTTTTTGCAACTCAAAAGAAAGTTAATTATCTGCAAGTTTTTGTTAGTGAGCACGTGGTAGGCTGACCAGAGCAGGAATACATGCAACAGCATTCAAACCTGCTCCCCAGGCTGGCTCTTAGAAGACAAAAAGACTTTCCCATTTTAAGAATCTCTTTCCCACAAACATGCACCAATTTTAACTGTCCTATTAAAAGAGAAACAAAAGGGGATTGATACATTTTAAAGTTACAGAAACATTCCTAAAAGCCTTCCAGCATTTTCAAGTGCTTGAGATCTTAAGCCACTTGAGTGTGCTTAAAAAAGAAATTTCAACCTGTGTCGGGGCTGCGGCATTACTGCTGTGTCGGGGCTGCGGCGTCACTGCTGTGTCGGGGCTGCGGCATCACTGCTGGAGGTTTTGGGAACTAACACAGCAATCCTGAACAATCCCGACAAATGAAATTACTTTACGGGAGAAAAAAGCTCCCATTCAACTTTTTATAGAAGACTAGCTGGATTTAGAATATATGAACACAGGTTGTAAGCTATTGAAAGTCTTTAAAGATTTTGGAAATGGGTCCCCACAACACATAAAATCTGGCTATTTTCAAAAGTCCATATAAGTTTCAGAACAATCTAGAGTTAACACTTGGAGTTAAATAAAAATAAATTGTAAGGCAGATCAACTTTTAAAACACTTTTAAGCATCAGCAAAAATATAAGTTGCAACTATTGATCTTGCCGCCAATAGTTAAAACTATTGTAACAATAAATATAACAGTAAATATATTTAAGCTTTTAATATGACAATGTTCAGTGCCTTGGAGATGAAGACATTTAAGTTTCTATTGTGAATGTTTAAACTTGTTGATAGCACATAAATTTTTACCAAAACATAAAGGTAAACAATCCACACCATCTTTAAATATGACTAGAACACAAACAAAATAGAGAGCTAAAAGCTATATGTGTGTCTCAGCAAAACAATCTTCAAATTCCTAAGACAAACAGCAAATTGAAATCACACATAATTTGCTGAAAGGAAAATCTTTGCTAAAGACTGTTAAATCTCCCCAGACTGGTAGATTATATATGTGTGTGTGTCCCTGGGAGGGATATATATATATTAGGCCATGTGTACATACACACACACACACACACACACACACACACACACACACACATAATCTAATGAAGCCACATGGGTACTATTTTTTGCCTTCATAAAAATAAGTAAATAAGTTAATAAAATCCTTTTCCCAGCTGTATTAGTCTGTTCTCACACTGCTATAATGAACTACCTGAGACTGGGTAATTTATGAAGAAAAGAGGTTTAATTGGCTCACAGTTCTGCAGGCTGTATAGGAGGCATGGCTTGGGAGGCCTCAGGAAACTTACAATCATAGCAGAAGGGCGAAGGGGAAGCAAGAATCTTTTTCACATGGCAGAGCAGGAGAGAGAGAGTGAAGGGGGAAGTGCTACACACTTTTAAACAACTGGATCTCGGGAGCACTCACTCACTATCACGAGAACAGCAAGGGGGAAGACCACCCCCATGATTCAATCACCTCCCACCGGCCCCCTCCTCCAACACATGGGGATTACAATTCGACATGAGATTTGAGTGAGGACATACAGCCAAACCATGTCACCAGCGAACCCTGGATTTTTTTCCTTTTCACTTTGAACTAGTTATTCAGAAGGTAAAACATTTTTATACTTTGAACTTTACATAGCAAAGGTTATCAGTACCTGCTTTTGTGACAACCTCCAAGTTACATATAAATGAGATACCTTCCCGTACACATTCCAGGAAAAAAATATCATGAGGGGAAAATATACACACGTTTTTTCAAATTCTTCTCACTTTCTGAATGATCTTTTGGGGGCTTAATGATAAAGAACCACGTTTCATTCTTTAAAATGTTTACTAAAAAGAAATATCACTGAGAAAGGGAATAAGAAGAAATGGAGCTCAATTATGAAACCTCGTCTTTGGCTTTCGAGAAGACACCACTGTGTGGGGCTTTAGTTTCACCCCACATGTGATTTTCTTGCTGTTAAAATGTCCATATGTGACGTGGAAGCCCCATGGTTGAAGAAAAGTGGACTTCAGGTAATAATAAAGGTGGTTTTGTTAATCTACAGGTTTCCACTCCCGGGCCATCTGGAAGACATAGAAAAGCAGGTTAACAGAGAACATCTTCAAGCTGTGATCTGGCCACAGTTTGTTTCTGGTTCTCTCAGGAGCTTGCATTTCTGTTGGATTCTGGATTCTGGGTGTTGTTCCTGGGAGGGGTGGGGTGGGACCTGGGACCTGCAGCACACACAGCTCCTCACGGCACACCCAACGGCAACATGCCGCCGTGCAGAACCGCCGCAGGAAACCTGGACACTGATTTCAAAATTAGCTTTTGTGCAGTGCTGGTGGCCACTCCATTTCAGTTTATCTAAAACAACGCTTCACATTCCTCTGCCCCTTCCTTCATCTTCTCCCCCTTCTCACTCCACAGCCCCCATCCTGACCAACCAGCATTGAATGTGCTGAGTCTATAGCAATGTTTGAATCTGGATCATTTGGTTCAAACGTGGTGCTGAATAACTCTCTTGAAGAGCTATTTAAGCCATCCTCCTAGTACCAAGACCACTCTAAAACTAAGCCCCAAAATGTGAACATCATCTAGAGGCGACATTTTAAATTTTTTAAATTATGTATCCATTAAGTAAAATGAATCTCCTTTACCTCTAGTAAAATGTTCAGAGTGTTTAATTCCATTTGATTCATACAACAATTCTATACTAAGGAAGATAGAGTACTATAATAGACCTGAAATCAAATTTTATAAAAGAAGAAGCCTGGGCAACATAGTAAGACTCCCTCTCTCCAAAAAAAAGAAAAGTAGCCAGACGTGGTGGCTCATGCCTGTAGTCTCAGCTACACGGGAGGCTGAGGTGGGAGGATGCTTGAGACTGTCATTGTGGCACTGCACTCCAGCCTGAGCGACAGAGTGAGACCCTGTCACAAGAACAAGGAGGAGGAGGATGAAAAGGAGGAGAAGAAGGGAGTGGGGGAGGAAGAGTGGGGAGGAGAGAAGAAGAGGGAAGAACAGGAGGACGGGGGTGGGGAAGAAAGAAGAAGGAAGAAGATGACGAAGAAGAAGTAGGAGGAGGAGGAGGAAGAAGAGGACGAGGAGGGAAGGAGGGAGAAAGGAAGGAAGGAGGGAAAGAAAAACATGAGTTCCAGTCCCGTCCCTGCTCCCTCCAAGCTACAGGTCTCATGTGACTTCAGGCCAGCCACCTAACCCCTACAGGTACCTCACAGTAGAATGTCTGTTGGGAATTCTGTGATCTCTAAATTTGCTTCCAGCTCTAACAAACTATGATCCTACTATCATTCTCATTTTACAGAAGACAACTAATGTTCAGGGAGGAAAAGGAAATTGTTCAAGACCCTGTGGTCAACAAATGGTGGAGCACAGACCAGGGCCTGGTTCTCTTAGCCCTAATCCATTCCTTCCACAGCAGCTTGCTGGTCTAAATCACAGGCACTAGGGCAGCTGGAAAAGAAGTCACCAACGAAAGTAATTAGAAATGCAGTTTCAAAGTTCTTTTTCCTGCACTAAGACATATACTTAGAATGGAGCCAAATCAAAGTAGATGTGCTCTCTAGCAGAAACTTAACTAAAAATTGCTCAGGATGAGATGGCAATGGTTCCTATTTGATTACAAATGTCCCCCTTAAAGTGTTACGAGTGTTCTAGTCAAGTCTAACAACAAATCAAGAAGCCCAAATATGGTGAAATCATAGCTTTTCTTCCTCCTTCCATGTGCAACACTGTATATACCACTAATTGGCAGATGGTGTGAAACTGGTCTGATCTTTAAGAGGACTTGGACCATCCTAGAATCACCATTGCCATCTTTGTGCTAACCGTCAAGAAGCTCAGCCAACCTGGAGTCAAGTGCAGGCCTCATCTTAGTAGTGACTCTGCCTGTCTTCTCTCGCTTGGTAACAGAAACAAAAAGACAACTACCCAAATGGAGTAACTGGAGTCGCCAACATTTCTTAGTGCCTTTTGTGTGTCCAGCACGGTTCTGCTTATGGTAAGTAATTTTCCCAACAGCCTGTGAGTTCGTTATTATTATTAGCTCTAAACTGAGCCACAGACCTCGTGCATACCCTTAAAGAGGAGAGAAGCCAAAACTGTATATTGAGTTGAGAGTCCATTCGCTTAGCCACCAAAAATGTACATAGGATTCTACTGTCCATTTAGGACATAGAAGGCATATATATACCTATATCGGCAAATGCATGTACATAGATGCGTGTGTTGTGTATAGATAAAAATAGGTATGTATAATTATTATAATATGCCTTAATTCGCTTTTAAAAAGGGAGAACATGTTAGAGATAACTATGTAAACATGTGCCGTTCGCAAAGTGGCTAAGTCACTCTAGAATGCCAAGTGTGGGTTGACAGTGTAAGAAGGGAAGGTCGGCCCCAGCGGGCAATGATTCACCCAGTCTCGCTAACAACCCTCTTCCCTCCCAGACTTGCACAGTTAGGGAATAGAGGAAGGAATTCCACATGAATTTCGGCTTACAACATGTGTTTAAAAACTTAAAGTCTTGCCACCAAAATATGAAATTCATGATTTTAATATTCCACCAGCATACCTCTTTAGTATAATGTGAAAAAATGTCCGCTTTTATTTTCATTTGTCTTGCTATCCTTTCTAGTTTTTGACTGTTTCTTCACAACATGGTTCACATTTTGTTCTCATGGTGTTTGTTGTTTTGTTACCCCTTAATCATGTGTTTCTGAGACGGTTGTGCCAGGCATGGCTACATGGGCAACTCTGGCGTCTCAGGTGGCTGCTCTTGGCATGACTGTCCTGAGGACGGCTGCGTGGGGGACTCCGGCATCTCAGGTGGCTGCTCTCGGTGTGGCTGTCCTGAGGACAGCTGTGTGGGGGACTCCGGCGTCTCAGGTGGCCGCTCTGGGTGTGGCTGTCCCAGGCATGGCTGCGTGGGGGACTCTGGCATCTCAGGTGGCTGCTCTCAGTGTGGCTGTCCCAGGCATGGCTGCTCAGAGGACTCTTGTTCCTCAGGTGTTTATTCTTCTTGTCTTAGTGATGATTTTTCTTGTGATTGTCCCATCGGTGGTTCTCTGTGGGCTTCTATTTCTACTGGGGTTTCTAGTAGTACAGGTGTATTTTCTTCCTCTAGAATGTCATATGATTCTTTTTCTTGTTTTCAGTAAATAAAATAAAACAAAATCACCAATAAATCTAGTAGCCACCTAAGTCAACTGAAATAAATCATAAAAAGACAAACATTGCTGCTATATCATTGACTTAGTAGTGACAGTGATAATACTAACAAAAATACTTTTCACATAGGGTATTACAAGTGCAATGTGTTTTTGCATGCATTATCTCAAACAAGCATAAAATATGATGAGGTACCATCAGAGAAGCTAGAATCAAAGGTGTGTTACCAAATGCTAATTACACAGACACATTCCATTAGTCATTTAAAAATTGAAAAGTCACAGGGAAGATTCTTGCTCTTTCTGAGTTAGTGAAACAGAAAAGGCATTTTTAGTAAAATGAAAAAGAAAGAAATCAGAGTGCAGGAGAATCCAGAGGCCATGCCCTTCACAGTAGACCCCAACACATTAGAACCAACTTTCGGAGCTCAGGAAGAATACCCCATAGCAATCAACCTTTCACCGGCCAAACTACATTTCCTGATGCTAACATTACCTTTCCTATGGGGATGAATGCCATTTGGCAGAGGAAATTAAAAAGATGCTCCTGAAAACTGAAAACAAAACCATTTGAAATAACACTTGAAAAGAGGTCTTCAGCGAGAAGCCTTGCAGAGCCTGAGAGGGGCCAGGTCGCTCAGCTGACGTGGAGAACTCGGCACATTCACACACTGCCTTCCCCAAAACCTGCTCATCCCCTTGTTTTCAGAAGTAACGCGTAGACCCAAACCAGAAACCTCAACTCCAATTTCATTCTCGCCACCCATATCCACTTTGTGGCCCAGCGCGGTCCATTTTGTCCACTCCCAGGAATCTGTCACTTCCTGTCTGGGTCCCTGGGTCCCACCCCTGCCTGGGTCCAGGACTCCACACCTGAAAGAGAGAATACGATGCACACACATAATACTCTCATCCCTTTCCCTTCTCCCCCTGCTATCACAGCCACTTCTTAGAAACATAAATTTGATCACATCATCTCCCTGCTTTAGCATTACCTACAGGATAAAGACCAAAATCCTTACATTGACAGACGAGGGCATGGCGACAATGGCCAGGTGACCACCAAAGATGTGGACCTGCCCGAGACTGTGTTACCAGACAGAGAACAGCTAAACGGGGCCAGGCAACTAGTTCAGACCAAAGGGATGTGAAACGTGATGTGTCCCTTCTGGGCTGAGATGGCTGGGTATCTAATGTGGCTTCCTGTGTCTTTCCTTCTCCTCCTGTTGCAAACTCAGAGACCATGTGTTGAGGACAGCAGCATGACAAAATCAAGGATCCCTGAGTCACCGTGTGGAGGAGAGCCACCCAGGAAAGCCTCCAATCCACAGTAGGCTGCTGTGATCAAGAAATAAGGATTTATTGTGTAAAGCCACTGAGATTTGGAATTGATTTTTTTTTTTTTTTTTTACTGCAAATTAGCCTTGCTTCTTCTCACTGATGGACCTTAAAAGCTGAACCTTGTCTGTATCTCCATCTTCCTCACATACTATTCCTTCCTCAGGCACATTCACTTTTTGCTCCAACTGCCCCAAACTAGTTGCACTCCCCCAATGCACCCTCACTCTTCCATGCACTTGACTAAGCTGACCCCTCTGCCCACCACCCCCTTCCTCACCCTGTCAAGTTGGCAAATTCCTACAAGCCCTTCCCAATTCATTTTCGCAGTCCTCTCCTTTATAACACGTTCTATAAATTGCTGCAGCCTCCCTCCCAGGCCCAGACAGTCAATCGTTGTCTCTGTGGTATATTTCCAGGGTATCCAGTACACACCTCTATTTTAACACTTATCTCTCTTACGAGACTTTCTTGTCCATAGATCTGTGCCCAAACCCCAATTCACATGAGCTTCTTGAGAAAAACAAAACTGAGTCTCATTCCAATGGATTCCCTCCACATTCCGGACAGCACTTGGCCCAAGGTCAGCAGTTCCATATTGTCTATTTTTAAAAAATGATTAATAGCACATGAGTCCTGCTGCCTCCGTCCACTTGCAGATTCATCTTGAACAAGGCACCTTCCCTTCTGGGTTTCAAACTCTCTTTGAAAATAGGGGTAAAAATATGGATCTTTAGGAACTGTAGGATTAAGATGACATGACAATGAAAGCACATTTTGAATGGAAAAAATGGACACATACATGATATGATACTCATCATCACATAAAAGCTTAAACAGAAAAAAAAAGCGGGGGTTATAGAAGAAAATACAAAGACTGTCACACAGTGATGTATGACTATGTGCCAAGCAAAAGGCAGGGGTTGAGTGCTCTGAGGGCGAAGCGACTCTCTGCTAATCCCACAGGAAGACCTGCCCGGCCGCTCACGCCGCGTGCTAACTTAGCGCCCTCCTGCACCTGGGCATGATTCTCTGCATCAAGTCTGTCTCCCCGACTAGAGGGCAGGGATTGCGTTTACTCATCTTTGTTTCTGAAGTGCCCAGCTCAGCCTGGCACATGAAAGAAACTCAGAAAACGTTTGATAAATAAAAGAATAAAAAATAAATAATGAATGAACCAGCAGTCTGCTAGTCCCACACATAAGCACTCCCAAAAACACATAAAATTAGAATGTGCAGAATTAAAAAGATTTAGGATATCAAAATGTATGTATATGAATATTAATATATTATGTAATATAAAATAATATAAAATATTAATATAAAATAATATTTGTGCTGTTTAAAATGCATTTTCAAAAACTTCTGCGTTCACCTTGCCTTTTAAATCCAATCATCTACGAGACGTTCCTTGCCGTGCGTCTGTGTGCTCTGTTGGTTTTCTTTCAGAACTCAACCTGCAACCCACCAGGCACCTGAGTGTGGCTGAAAATGTCTCCCCTAAGGATACTCATGTGTGTCTAAAGCCTCCCGTCTGAAACTCGTACTTCTTATCACAAGTTTCACGAGCTTTTCTTTACAAAATATTATAAGAATAAATGCAGTGAAAGATTAAAATAATTGAACAATGGAAAATCTGCCAAAACCGCATTGTTGACTGAGAGATTGTGCCACCGTACGGTACGCCAAAATCTTCATTTGTCAGCTGACCTGGAACCTGCCATATGCAAGACAGTTTAGAAGGCTCCATGCATAGTCATGAGAGCATGGTTTACTCAAAGTCCACATGAGCACATGGGGAAGGCTGCCTGTCAGTGGGAAGCTTGGTGACACCCCTACTAGGTAGTGAATCACGGGGCCTCGCGGCGGACACTTTCACTGCGAAACTCGCAGAGCGGCCACCCGCACCGTGCCCTACATCACACAGAGGTCTCCGTGAGTGAGCACTGGTCATAGGTTCTCTTACCAGGAAACAGAACCACTTTTTTACTCTTGCTGAGGTTCTTGAGAGATACCAGAAACAAAGAAACAAACAAAAATCCAGACATTAGTAAGCTGACCAAAATGTGTAAAACCATGGTATTTTAATGTAAGATGTATGGATAAAAGAATTACTGGAAAGTAACCATTTTGACTAGTTTAGAGAGCATTTAGGGCCGATTTCAGTAAAAAATACAACTATGCTTTTATTACGCAGAAAGCCATGCCAACATTATGCAAATTGTACCTTCTGAAATTACAGGGCACTGGCAGAATTTTTATCTTATTTTTCTTCCCCCAACCCCCGCCGAAAAGCATATTTTACTTGAATTAGGTTTTCTTTCCCTTCTTCCTCATAGGAGTTCACAGCGGGCAGCGAGCTGCATGCAGTGGCATTTCCTCTGCTCTATATGAGATTTAGGAGGTGACAGGGTCTTTCCAGGTGACCAGTAAAATGCAGGTGCTGGGTGTTCTCTGCAAAACAACCAGCAAATGTAAACCAGCTCGGCTTACACAGCAGCTGCTTTGTAAAATCTCAATAGTAAATAGCAGTAAAAGTAGAATACTCAGTCTAAAATGAAAAATACCAAAACTAAAAATGTACACTTACATCAACACTCGCAAGATAAAACACACAAATCCACACGAATATAATATAAATAAATGCAATAAAACTTTTCCACAGATCTGCCCCATTGAACATCTTCTCCGACAATTCTGCCTTGATTTCAGGTATTGCGAAGTCCACGGGCTTCTCTGCCAATTCAGCAACTTAGCAGGAAAAGATTTGTTCTAGTCTAGATATATGCCCATAAGTGTATCTGTGTGTCAAAGTTTCTATCGGCATAATTAACATAGATATCTTCTGCTAATAAGCACTTCAGTTAACTGAACTCAGTAGCCAAATAATGAGACTGAGGCTGTTCTGCAGCCCTGACATTTTGGCGAGTGAGATGAAAAAGACGTGTGGGAGCAGATGCGGGAGCTGACAGCCAGGGAAGGAGGAATTCGAGAAGCCGTCAGAAGAGCTGGTTGGAGAGATTAAACTGCCAACAGCAGCAGCTGAGGAAATCTGAAAATTGGAGCAGAGGGAAAAACGAACAAGAATGAAGAGTTTCAAGAGCAGGCTGGTTTTGATTACAATCGTGTGAGGTCAGAGGCCACCAAGAATCAGACTTAACGATAACAGCTGGATGAGGTCAGAAAAACCACTGCCTTTCTCCACAAAGAATTTCCTCAATTGTACATTTTAAAGTATTATGTGATTTGAATATTATGTAAGTACCGTATTCAATACTCGGTTTAAAACCTAGTTTTTATTTTCATTTATTTTTGTAGCTGCCAGAAGCCCCAGCAGCTGCTAGTTATGAATTAAGATGTCAGGCTCAAATTTGTGAAAATAAATCCAATGTTTTGGTTGAAGGTATAATTAGTTTGTGAAAAGTTAGAAACCCGGAGATAGATAGCATTTAATTTCTGTATTTGGTAACTATTACCTAGGCAACTGATTTCTCTGTGGGTTAGAACGTTTTTAAATAAATCAGCAAAGACCTTACCAAGTCCTTACAGGGAACTGCAAGTTACATCAAAAAGTAGTTTGAATTCACAAAATCTCTGATGGTGGCTTGAAGGCTTTCCTGTCCCCCTGTGGCCCTAGATTAACAGGTTAACCTAATAATCTCTCTTGCAACCACTGTAGTTTTTTATTCTTAAAATATAAAAATAATTTTATTTTCTGTATTCAAACATGCTCATCATAGAAAATCTGAAAAACAGAGCAAAACCAAAAAACAGAAATAAATATAAATCATAAACCCACCATTTGATATAAGTTGCAACCTAAATAAGTCTAGCAATAGGGAATAAGAACTTAGTTCTAATTTTGTAGCCTTGGGACAAACTTCTAGAAGTGGATAGCTGGTTCAAAAGGCATACATGTTTTTCAGACTTCTAAGACATACTTCAGAGTGTGACTCTCCTGAGGACACAGCCCCACAGTACCCTCTCAAATGATGTCTTTCTCTTCCACACGCTTGAACCACCAGCCACGGAAGTGGGTAGGGGCCGTTCTTGCACCCACCACTGTCTCCAGATCTTTACCCCATCCTCCTCCCTAAAACCCTTCAGCCTCTTTGAAGTTCCTGTCATCAGATTGTACCATCCATCCCCCTTTCTTCTGAGTAGTTGTCTACTGAGCTTCAGGCCACACCTCCTACTCTTAGCCCATGTCAGCCTTTGGTGTTTGGTCTCTCTCTCTCTCTCTCTCTCTCTCTCTCTGTCATGATCCTTGGGGACCACAACAGTTACTCAATACAAAACTTCTAATTGTGGTTTCTCAGTGCCTTGGCCTCATCATATCTGATGATCCTGCTCCTTACCACAGACCATACCCTAGACCCTGCGATTACCAGGAATTCTGACCCACCTCATTCCAACCTCCCGTCTTTACAGCCCTCTCCCTCTAATGCCCCGCTCCAATTCTCCTACCTCATCAGCACCTCTATGCCACCAGCCCTGCCACCATTTCACCCTCCCACCCCTGACTTGTCCACATCCTCCTTTACCAACTCTGGAGCCACTGCCTGCCCCGGACATGCCTTCCACTCGCGATCACCACCTTCAAGGGCTCCTTAGTGCCACGACATAACCCCAGGTTATTTCTCCAGTTCTTTCAGTAGCTCACTCTTCCAAGTAACTATTTCTTGTTTCCTTTTTCTTTAAAGCTCCACCTCCCCACTCCACACTCATAGTTCATGGCCCTGCCTCTGTGTATGAAAATAAGAGCACTCAGAAAAGACGTCCACAGGCCCTACCCCACACTTCCTCACCTCCCGGGATATGTGTCCGCATCCTCTGCCCTCTCCTGTGCTACTCTGGAGGGGCTGTCCTGTTCCTGCATAGGACCAACCCTCCCACCACGCACGGACTCCACACGGCTGGCCGGCTGAGGAAGGTCCACCCAGCAGTTATCGCCTCTCTTGATACTCAAAGAATCATCCAGCCCAAAATTTCAATGGTGTTGCGCTTGAGAAACCCTGGTCTAGCAAAATTGTTGCTAGACTAGGTATGTAGGTGTGACAGAAAGGGGGAGCCAAAGGCTGATTTCTTCCTCAGTTTCTTCCCCTTTAGATGAGAACAGACGTGCTGTAATAGCCACAACTCCTCAAAAAGAACCCAGCCTTCACCATGGGCCCCCCACCCCCAGAAAGAACCTAGCCTTGACCATGTGCACCTATAGCCACTGCCCCAGTGTGTGCTCCCCTACAGCCTAGTTCCCTCCGAGTGTCCCCTGTGCCTGGCGTCTCCATTCCCACTACTTCCATTCTTTGGATCAGCTCCTATCAGGCTCATGCTCATCTTTCTACAGGAAACATCTGTTGTTAGGCTATGAATGACTTCCATTTGGCCAAATACAAGCCGGTTCTCAGCTCTCACTTTGCCTGATCAGCAAAATTCAACTCGATTGATTGAGTTCTCTGATTGCTCTAATGCCACTCCTTAGCAGATTTAGCAAAACTCCGAATACCGTTTTCACCTGAAGAGGCCCTTAAGAGATTGGCCAGTGTACTTGTGTTCCTACTGAGCTCCATGGTGCCCTCATGTTCCTCAGAAGCGTCTCAGGGGTCCAGCAGGAGGGCCCCAAAGAGACGGAAAGGAAGGCTGAAGGATTCCAACCAAACAATTCCTTTTTCCTCCGCTCTGTAGACAGCAGGTCCTTAATTATATTCCACTTGGGGAAAAAGGAGTTCTGGTCCTCCTTTTAACGTTTTACTTTGAAATAATTTTAGATTTATAAGATAGTACAGTATTACAAGATAGTTGCAAAGATAGTACAGAGAAGACCAGTGTACTCTTTTTTTTTTTTTTTGAGACGGAGTCTCGCTCTGTCGCCCAGGCTGGAGTGCAGTGGCGCGATCTCGGCTCACTGCAAGCTCCGCCTCCCGGGTTCACGTCATTCTCCTGCCTCAGCCTCCCGAGTAGCTGGGACTACAGGTGCCCGCCACCGTGCCCGGCTAATTTTGTGTATTTTTAGTCAAGACAGGGTTTCACCCTGTTAGCCAGGATGTTCTCAATCTCCTGACCTTGTGGTCCACCCACCTCGGCCTCCGAAAGTGCTGGGATTACAGGCGTGAGCCACCGCGCCCCGCCGACCAGTGTACTCTTTAAGCAGCTTCCCCTGATGCTAACACCTTACAAAATCATGGTACTTTATCAAAACCAAAATTAGCATTTGTGTGATACTATTTAACTGTTAATACTATTTAACAGACTTTATTTGGATTTCCCCCGAACTAACGTGTGTTTGCTGCCCCAGGATCCAGTCCAGGACAGCATGCTGCATTTGGTTACTGTGTCTCCTAGTTACCTCCAAACTGTGACAGCTTCTCAGTCTTCCCTTATTTTTCATGGCCTTGATATTTTCAAGGAGTACTGGTTGGGTATTTTGTAAAATGTCCTTCAATTTGGGTATAGCTGATATCGTGTCATAAACAGACTGGAATTATGACTGGAGGGGGACAGTTCCACAGAGATAAAGTGCCTGCATCATACCAAGAGTTATATTACATCTACATTACTTCATCACTGGTGAAATTATCCTTGACCACAGGTGGGTGGCGCTGGTCAGATTTCCCTACCATAATGTTTTCTGATGGTTTCTTTCAAATACTAAAAATCAATGATTTTGGCTGGCCACAGTGGCTTATTCCTGTAAACCCAGCACTTTGGGAGGTCAAGGTAAAAGGATCATGTGAGGCCAGGAGTTCGAGATCAGCCTGGGCAACATAGCAAGACCCTGTCTCTACAAAAATAACAAAAATTAGCCAGCCATGGTGGTGTACACCTGTAGTCCCAGCTGCTTAGGAGGCTAAGGTAGGAGGATCACTTGAGCCCAGGAGTTTGATGCTGCAATGGGCAATGATGGTGCCACTGCACTCCAGCCTGGGTGACAGAGTCAGATGCTGTCTCGAAAAAAAAAAGGATCTTGTCCTTACCTTTTATTTTAATATAAAAAATGAGACTCAAGGCCTCAAATCAATGACCTGCACAGTTTCACTGTGTATTAATCTTAGTGGGACTAAAACCTCGATGGTTTCAGACATCTAGTTCACTGTTACTTCCTTTCACCAAGTAGAAACTCAAATATTCAAAAATGATTAAACCTAGAGACAGATACGGAACAGAAATGCCGCAGGGAACTAGAGATTTCCACGGGAAGTGAGAGTCACGCTCCCATCTGAACACTTCCTCCAGGATGTCGCCTGATGTCATTTATTTCACACAAATGCCCTGATTTTCCCTCTCTCTGACTTTCGAATTTATTGCTTGGTGTTTGTATTCTTCTTTTAAAGGATTTCCATGTTCTTTTATCTCTATTTTTATTGCAAACCACCTCAAATCTCCTTAGCAATAAATAAAAATTGCTTTAATAATTCAAAAAAGAGAAAGAGACTCAAGAACACCACGAGTGGGCTTGGCTGTCCTCTTCACACATTCTTAAAAGTAAGGGAACGCCCCGCATTTCTTAGAAAGATTTTAAAAATTCAACCCAAATCATGCCTGTGTGAGCCTTAGAGTGGCTGGTGTCACAGATGGATTACATGGCAAGTGGAGAAGCACTTCCATTGCCTCTGGGAAGGCAAACTCGTGTATTTATGGGAATAATGGAAGCTTTGGAGCAAGACAAATCTGGATTTAAAACCTACTTTCTAGTTATGTGGCCATGGGAAAGTAATTTACCTCTCTGAGTCTCTCTTAGTTCAAATTTAGAAAACTAATACCTACCATTTCAACAGCAATCCTCACATGAGGATAAAAAGAAAGAATATGAATACGATGCTCAGCACTGTTCCCAGCACATAATATGTGATGCTCCCTCCCTTCCTCAGCCATCCTCACTCCATCCCACTTGATGGACATTTGATGTTCCCCAGGGCCAGACTCTTTTCATTCTGTCCAAGTTATTCACCAATTTATAGATTGCTCCCT
Source organism: Homo sapiens (assembly GCF_000001405.40). Lineage (NCBI taxonomy): Eukaryota > Metazoa > Chordata > Mammalia > Primates > Hominidae > Homo > Homo sapiens. The sequence continues at coordinate 3,834,741 of NC_000002.12, read as the reverse complement.
CCCCAGCCCCGGCAACTAGTCACTTGCTTAATAGCCCTTTGACATGTTGACAGAGCACTGGAATGGGAATCTTAAATACTAGGTTAAGTTACAGATCTTCATGGAAAACTGAGTGAGCTCACAATGATGCCAACCTCAGTTCCCTCATGTGCAATGCAAGTGACCTCCCAGGTGATCTCTGCATTTCCTCCCACAGACCCTGAGCAGGCAAAGACAATAAAGATATGTGGAGCAGAAAGATGTCTGGAGGAAGTTCCCGCTAAGCGTTTATAGTCTGAAAGGTACACACTGTATGATTCCAACTCTATGACATTCTGGAACCGGTGAAACCATGGAGGTAGTAAAGAGACCCATTGTACAGTGATTACAACAGGTTTGTAGGGGACAAGGGAGTGGATGGGGGGACACGGGATTTTTAGGAGAGTGAAGCTACTCTGCACAACACTATAATGGGGAATGCATGTCATTATACATTTGTCCAAACTTGTAGAATGTGGAACACCAAGAGAGAGCCCTAATGTGAACTGTGGACTCGGGTGATGATGATGTGAGGGGTCAGTGTTGGTTCATCAGTTGTAACAAATGTACCACTCTGGTAGGAGATGCTGACAGCAGGGGAGGCTTGGGCCAGGGATGGAGGTAGGGGGGGCAGGAGGGGGAGTAAACAGGAAATCTCTGTACTTTTTGCTCAATTTTTCTATAAAACTAAAACTGCTCCGAAACATAAAGACTATTTTAAAAACAAATAGAAAATAAAGAGAGATCAGACTCTTTCAAACATTCTGTACTCAAAATCGGTGTTGTCACATAGGAGCAAACCCTGAAAAGATAGAGAAGACTGCTACTTATCTCCACTCCTTAAAGCTAACAGACTACAGCCAAGCAATGATGCCTTATGATAGGAAAGAGCTTCTGAACATCTAACCTCAGCTCTCTTCTGCAACTTACTATGTTTCTTTTTATTAAAACCTTCAATATACATTTCATTTATTTTCATTAGTCCTAATGATAAAGAAGTATTTAAGTAAGCTAGACCTCCTACATGGCTGGATAAGCTTTATGTTCATCTTTTGGCTGCAGTAACATTTCTAAATTGAGCTGATAATCAATACATAGTCTCAGTTTGGGTACACTTCCAAAGGACCTTATGCTAGACATGCTCATAAAATGAGGCTTAAAAGGTGAGCCAATATTTTGAAAGACAAGCTCTGAGCCCTGAAAGGCTGACACAATGGCAATGGAAATGGTATATGGCACACAGCACACAAAACGTGTAGGACAAAATGTGTCAGACGCAAATGAAAGACCTACTTGTGTCCAAAACCTCAATTTATGTGACTACAAGATACAGAAGCTTAGCACATATAAGACTCAGTGGGTAAGGTAGGCAGAATAACGGCCCCCAAAGATGATGACATCCTAAGCCCAGAACCTGTGACTATGTTAGGGTGCATGGCAAAGGGGAATCAGGTTGCAGTGAAATTAAGGCTGCTAATAAAGAGGGCGAGTATACTGGATCATCCAGAGTGCCCAACATAATCACAAGGATCCTTAAAAGTGGACGAGGAAGACAGAAGAGAAGAGCCAGAGGGCAACGTGATGGCAAAAGAATGCTCAGAGGGATGCAGGGTTACTGCCTTTGAAGACAGAGGAAGGGCCCACAAGCCAAAGGATGTGGATGGCCTACAGAGGCTGGAAAAGGCAAAGAAACAGATTCTCCCCAGAGCCTCCAGAAAGGAATGCAGCCAAGCCAGCAACTTGGCTTTAGTCCAATGAGACCCGTGTTGAATTTCTGACCTACAGAACTGTAAATCATAACCTTGTGCTGTTTTAAGCCACTAAATTCATGGTAATTTGCCACAGTAGCCATTGGAAATTAATAAAAGCACTCCTGCCATCTCCAACGTCCTCTGGGGAAGTGCAGTATAGGGAGGTATACACTAGACATTGGGGGAGAGAAACTGCATGGCTCACTCTCACCTTGAGCCCTGCGCTCAGTGCTGGGGCCACACCATCAGAGGCATTTAAATAAATGTGAAGAAAATGACTACAAATCAGGCCATATGCCTAATATTGGAGGGACTCGGGTGTTTGACTTGGTTTGGAGAAGAGAAGACTCAAGCGGAACATAAAAGCTCTCTTCAAATACAAGATGGATCTGCCCTAATGGAAACGAAGCTTTGATAGGAAGAGTGGCAGAGCAGCCAGCTTCACTGTGTATGGCCTCGAGCGGCTTTAGTTCTATGTTATCAACAATCTCAGAGCACCCAACACTCTCCTACAAACACAAAGGTTGCTTCAAGGAAGAATGAAGCAGTGGGACCACCTATCTGAAGAGAAAGTGCAAAGGAGACGGGTAGATTGGCTACAGGATCTTGATGGTTCTTTCTTAGTCTGAATTTCAATCAGGTGATAAGCTATTTATTATTCCTTTATTCACACTGACAAAAACATATTGGAGTCTACTTTTGAATGGAATGAAAACTTGTGCTATAGGTGATTTTTCCTATGAAATTTGCTGGGAAATTCAACACAAATGTATGGTGAAAACAGACAAGAATACTTTCTGAAACCATTTAGTGTTGGCAGATGTTTTGATTTCGATATTGTTTGACATACAGTAACCATCCAACGTCAAAGAGATGCACAATCGAAATCAGGTGTGCAGAGGGGACTGGAAATTACATTAGGACCCAGATGAAGATACACAAGTAGAAAGAGCCCCTCGCCATGCCAGGAGACACTGATTCCTGCACATGACGCAACAGAACCGACATAGGGAACTCAAGGAAAGTCCAGAAGAGGAAAGTGAAGAAGGCAGGGCTACCTTCCATTCGCGCATGGTTTTCATTTTCAGCCTTTAGATCCCTTTTCTCATTCAACATCACAACACTGCCATGTGCAGTTCCTTTTGTAGATGAGGGAAATAACATTCAGAGAGGCGGAGCGCTCTGCCTTAGACATCACAGATGTCAAGCAGGAAGGGCTGGTGTTTGATCCGAGGACTCTGACTTCTACACGTTCCACCACACACATGGCTGAATTCAATTAGGCAAGTTTGTTTGGGTGCTGAGTTCCTCTGATTAACATTTTGCTTCTCCTCTTTCCATTTTCAAGCATTCTTAAATGATTTTTTAAACACTGTCATATGCAGCATAATGATGTTTCCATCAACAAAAGGCCACATGTCCAATGGTGGTTCCTTAAAATTATAATACCATATTTGATTGTATCTTTTCTATGATTAGATATGTTCAGATGCACAAATACTCACCACTGCGTTACAGTTGCCGATGTTATTCAGTACGGTCATTTACTGTACAGGTTTGCAGTCTGGGCAATAGGCAATAGGCTACACCACATAGCCGAGGTGTGCAGTAGGCTGTGCCATCGAGGTTTGTGCACGTCGCTCTCTGACGTTTGCACAAGGGCAGAATCATCTAAAGGAGCATTTCTCAGAACACACCCCATCATTGAGCAATGCACAGCTGTAAGTACATGTTAAAATCCTCTTGGCAATTTTAATGCATCCAGTGACAACTTCTTTAGGATCATTTGGAAGAGGGCTGTCTACAAATAGGAGAAAACCACCCCAAGTTTTTACGGCTGCCAGGAAGGCAAAGGAAATGTTCCTTCTCGGTGCAGTCATATGTCCAAAGCACACGATCTTTGATCACTACTGAGGAAAGTCGCCAAGTAAATCCTACTCGGAATTGCTCAGAAACAATTTTACAAAACTCAAAAGATCATTTTATCAGGCTGAAATTATCCACCCCAAGAGACTGAAGAAAGGCTGTGTTTAAATCAAATGCCATACAGGAAGTGAGTGAGTTCGGCCAACAAAGAAAGAAATAGAAATTTGAGATTCTCAGAAAAGAGTTACATTTAGTAGTAAGCAAAGTATCTGAGGCAAAGAAAAATGTAGTGAACACTCTTCTAGAATTGTTTGGATCTTGTTCTGTCTGAAGGCGAAGAGTCTGTATTCAGAGTTCAAACAACCACCCACCGTGAGTCAAGGTCAATCCCACCACAGAGCCCAAATGGACCACTAAGCCTCTGGTCCCATGGCTCCCCTTTAACCTGCCCAGCCACATGGAGTGGGGTCGCGACTACGGGGTGCAGCTTCCTGCTCATGCCCATCAGGCTCAAGAAGACAAGAGGAAGGGCTGAACCTGTGTGGAGTTCACAAATTTCCCAAGAGCTGGAACCAAGAAGGAGCATCTAATTCCTTGGCCTCATCTTACCAATGAGGACATGGGGCCCCTGCAATGGGCCTGAGTGGATACAGCCCCTCGACAGCAGGTCCAGGGCTACTGGCAGGTCTTGTGGATGCAGGCCCAGTGCTTGCTCTCCTCTGCACCACACTGCAGTACTAGGCATCATTTTACACCTAAGCAAAAGATCACAGAACATCACTAATGGATGAACAAAAAAAAAAACCTCCAATAAAAGCACTCGTTATTTCCAGGATCACAAGAAATACCAAGTGGCTAGGTTGTCACCTACCAAATATTTGGGAAACTGCAGAGATGCATTTAGGTAAGCTGATTGATATGTAAGCACAAACATCAGGGCCTGAACCACCAAGCAAACATTAACCATTGGGTTTTCTGTCAGCTCTCCTTATCCTTGGGTAAAATAAGATGCATATTCAGTGAAATAATTTTCTGCACGGCCAACATCCTTATCTACAGCCCAGGGCTGCCCTCCCAGCCTATATGGCACTAACATTCAGATGCCCTGACGGCTTCTTCACAGAGGGCAGCCACTTCCATTCCACAACAGAAGCTAAGACTTAGAGCGGCAAGCTTCAGAAGCTGACACTGACTTAATTTCACATTATGTGTCAATAACTGATAACAGCCATCAAAAGCAGAGGTTTTATCCACCAGCCACCTAATAGGAAGAGGAAAAGCAGGGACGAAAGGATTCTGTGAGTGGTGAGAGAGAACCGAAGGCCCCGAAACCCAGAGATTTTCTACTCTGCTTGGGGTGGTCTTAACGAAAATCATAAAAACAGCAGGGAAAATGAGCAGAAGCCTGGTTCAGGGGAGTAAATCTCTGTAGCTTTACCCAAAGATATTAAGAAAGAATTAAAAAATAAACCATTGTGATTAATTTTGCTTGGAGCAGGCTGTTATCACAAGTCAAAAGAGGCTGTCCAAATAGACAGGAAAAGATTATAGGAACCGCGCAGCACGACCAGGATGTGCTTTTGAACTGGGAACATGTGATCAAAAAGGCAGGTCGGGCAGGCAACTGTGTGCTCCACTCTCCACGAGGGCCTGCCCTGCCTGCTAAACTCTGTCACCAAGTGCCAGTAGCTTTTTGAATGACAATCAATAACAGTTCCTCACAGAGCCAAGCTAATTTATGATCATAAAATGTTAAAAATTCATTTTTAACCATTCCTTAGTTGCCAGATTGACTAAAATCAATGCAAAAAAAAAAAAAAAAGAAAAAGACATCTAATGAAGCCTTACGGAATGAGAATCCAGCCTGAAAATGCTATGCATCCGGATTCTCAGGCTCACAGCACACAAAGAAACTGAGAAGAAGCGGTGAAGCGGTTGCGTTGCACACACACTGCAAAAGAAGGAGGTTTCTAAAGCCAGCATCACAGGCCCTGTGCAGCGTGACCGTGCGTTCCTGTGCCGGGGCCACTGGAAGTGTGAACACTTCGAAGCAAAGTAAAGCAGACTGAAAAATGATAGTGAAAATAATTGGTATTTTTTGGTTTCTTGTGTCCCCTCTTTTTGAATACCCCTCCGCTTCCTAATTCTCAAAAACAAACAAAAATAACTTCAACAAAATAGCCAAAAATGATTTCCAGTGAGTAAAAGAAAAACTTACTACTGCCTTGAATTAAACTTCAAGGACTTAACATTGCCTTATTCTCCCAGAAAAATGAAACTTGCAAACTCACAAAATATCAGAAGGCACTGCAATGTTTCGGAAACAAGGTGTTGCAAGTGGCAAGAATTCCAGGACTTTGAAGCACCTGATTCTACAGAATTTGGTAGGATTGATGGCCACTAACAGCCATAAGCATTCAGCAGGAAAGGCAACATGTTTTAAGTGAAGTGTGAAATGGGCTCATTCCCTCCTCCCAAATAAATCTGCCTGCTGGGCCTCAATTTCTGGTGGCCTCAAACTGGCTGATGAACTTCAACAGCCCTGTGTAATGCAGCATAGTGAGAAACGGCTCAGAGACTTTGAAGGCTGTAATTGGACTATGATGCTGTTGGGTAGAGCCCAAAGGGTTGCTGGGCACTTGGAAACAAACTAGTGAGCTTATAAAATAACTCACTGTCACCTCCCCAGGCTGCCCAGAGCTGACATGATGAGGCAAGCCCACAGAGAGAGGGCAGCCCCGGGTGAGCGGCACCCGCCCTGCACCCAGCACACCACTTTCCTGGCCATGGAGTGTAGGTAGGAAGAGGAGGCAATCTGCTTCAATTTCTGCTGTTTCTATTGTCACCTTTGTCACCAAGCACAAGACAGGTAATCACTGTATTGAGAATAACCATCTGGCAAGGTTGTTACCGTGAAAATAAAAATCAAAAGGAAATGTCTACAAAGGCAGTTTATAATCCACACATATTTTTAAATTATTATGGCAGATGGTTCCATGTATGTTTTATAAACTGAAGGCTCAATAAAAGTCTGCAGACTTTCATGTGATTTTTGAAAGTACTCAGAATTTTGACTTGAAAGGGCAGAGGAAGGGCTGAAAGGAGAAAAGAGGTACAGTTTGCCCACTGATATTTTTTTCTGGGGCAAATTGTCACCTGAAGAGCATCCTTCAGTTAAAAATCAAGTAACAAAAAGAGAAGAGACCCACATTCTAAAACTGGATGGACACCCATCAGACTTATTGGTTATGCCCAATGGGTTCTTTTCTGGTCACTAGGTGGCGATCTGGGGCCCAAATGCACTTCTGCTCCAATGTGGTGAAAATAGCATCTTTATATTTTAATATCTAGGGGAACCACTTTTCTTGAAAGCAGAAAAAGCTTCTCTGATAATCTAGTTGGCATTTATCACACTGAATGATGTCTTTTCTCTTAAGTTACCAGCAAGAGGAGAAAATCAGAAGGTAAACATTCCCCAGGATTCAATGGAAAGTATATTTCCCCAACATTCAAAACAAATTGTTGAAAGATGTTGACTGAAGTAATATCAACAATTAAAATGAAATTTTGAAGCTGAAACCCCAATTAGCATAATGTATGATGGGTCCCAAGTAAGCCAGGGTTACTCCACCTTTTTCTCCCAGTCCACAGAAGAGAACAGCATGAAGATCACCACCCAGAGAGCTCTCACTCCAGCTTGGGACCTGAGAACCACCTGACCCTCTTGTGTTCCTGTCTCCCCGGTCCCAGGCTGCTGCTTCCAACACACCAAGTGGACCCCCACCCCCATCCCTGCCCCTGCTGCCTCCCCTTCCACGTGGCTTTGCCTTTTGGTGTCCAACAAGGCCCAGATGTCCTCCACTCCATATGTAGCCTTCAGGCAGCTCTGAGAGGATCTCTTCCCCTTCCAGCCTCCCCTCAGGGTTAATTTAATCTGATTTTAATCAAGTCTGAATTCTAAGAGATGTCAACCACTGTGATGGGTGATGGGCTGGGGTGTGGCTTGTCTGCCTCCCCGTGAGCTAGCAGAGCTCCTCTCAACCTCTCCTTTGGTCAAGACTCCTTCTATATTTGTCTTCAAGAGGAAGAACATTCAGGTCCTCACACATAGGTCCACTTAATAAACAATTGGAGGGAGGAAGGGAAGAAGAGAGGGAGGGAGGCAGGGAAGGGAGGGAGGCAGGGGAGGGAGGGATGGAGGGACGGAGAGAGGGAAGGAGGGAGGAAGGCCACAGAGATGCAATGCACATGGCATTAGGTAATCCTTACTATCAGGTAATCTCATAGGACATATTATCTCATAGGATCTTAATTACCATACTTTTTAATGGGGGCTGCAGGTGCTTTATTTGGGGGACTAAATCACATCCAAGGAGATAAAGATCTTAGACACCACGCAAAGCTGTGGAAGGAGCTGTTGGGATTTCCATTCCTACCCACAGAGAGGGGACCTTCGAACCTCAGAAGATGCAGCCTGTCAGCGAGTGCCAGCTAGCACGCTTCAAGATCAGCAATGTGGGAAATGACCTGTGACCTCGTGGGGCAGGGTACCCCCTTCTCTATGCCTCAGTTTCCTCATTTATAAAATATCTGACATACATAATTTAAAAAAAAAAGCTAATACCTACAAAAGATTTTTACAATTTGCAAAGCACTTTCCCAAGCATTATATCAATTAATACTGTGATATATCATTTTTCTTCTCTTTATGGCTAATATGTTACACCAGAAAGTCATATACATGAAAACTCTTTATAAACTGATTTTAAAACTATAATTGGAAAAAGAATTATGGTAACAAATAAAGAGCCATGAAAAACTTTAAAAATTTGTATCTGGTGATATTATTATGGGGTTTTTAATGGGGAGCAAGGAGGAGGTGGTGGATGGAAAGGAAGATCTTTTCCCTACTGAGTGTTCTCTGCATATTTTAAACTATATTTAGCCTACATTATGCCAGCTGTTTACAAGAGGATCTTACAAGTATTTTCATCCATGGCTGGGTTATTACAGAATATATAAATTTCTATTTCTTTGACATATCTTTTTTCTTTGTGGTGTGTCTTAAGGGCAACTTTTTCTTAAAAGACCCTCGTGAATTGTTTTCCTGAAACAGAAACCATCAGTGTTAGCAGCTGAAACTCTTTTCTCTGAACAATAAACAAGAGTCCTCAGGACACGAAGGCTCAGCTACTGCTGGATCCTGAGGCATGAGATTTATAGCAAAGGTTAGTCCACTGAAGATGTGAATGCACTCAACGATGATTTGCCAAGACACGAGAGCCGGGCTAACCCTAGCAGGCCACCCACCTCTCCTGGCTACAGCAGTGATCAGCTTCATTCTGCCCTGGAAGTCCAGACCCAGATATATGAAGCCCCCAGGATCCCCACTGTCTAAATAAGCTCTGCTAGTCAACCTTCAGCCTCCATCCCAGGTTGTTGAACTCAAATCAGGGCAGTGCCATGACCACACTGGAGACCAGGAGCTACAGACCCGTTTCATACTAATCCCCATGGGTCACTGCAAGCTCTCCACTGCCATCCTGTCTCCCTAAACATTTTCCATATCAAAAATGACCCAGCTTTAACTTGGAAAGAAAACTACTGTAATGACAAGCTCCTGCCTTACCAATAAGAAAAAGCCAGACAATCTACAAAATTATAACCCTCTTGAACCCATCAGAGAGTTCAGGTCACAAGGCAACCAATTAGCCTGAAATCTAAAGAAAGATAAATTCCTCCTAGAAGGCACAGGATTCGAGCCTGGCTTCCCTAGGGCAGGGCCTAAGAGAAAGACAAGACTGTGCCAAAGAAAGGCCTAAGAAGATTTCTGCTAAGAGTTTTGGTGCATATAGGTGACTGCAGAAGCTGCAGGTACAGGAGAGCTTGTACTGACTCCCAGGGTATTTTCTGCAGACTTCACCGATTGCTCACAAAAGAGATGAGGGGCTAGGGCAGCAGGTAAGGGAAAGTGTCCCCCATGATGCAAGGCTGGAAAGGAGCCCACTGCCGCAGGAAACCTCAGGGCCCTCCCTAAACCCTCCCACTAGGGGACAAGGCTTTAGCTTCTGAGAGGAAGACAGCAAAACCGGTCACTGCCAGGGAACTGATGAAGACCCACTGTGGCTGGAGAAGGGAACAGAATAAAACCCTCCACTTCTGGGAAAGGGGCAAGAAATCATTCTGGGTCCAGATTTTGATAGGTCCTCTACTGCCAGAGAAGAGGCAGGACCACTGAGAAATCCCCACTTCCAAGACCCAGATACAGAAATCCTGCCTAAACATGAGGCTGAAACAGAAAAAAAGAGAAACCTCAGCAGGCAACAGGCATCCAGTGACAAGTATCAGAAGTCTACAGCTAGGGAAGGGGCAAGAGCACGGAGCAAGACTGCTCTGGGGTCGGGGGGAAGAGAAACCTAGAGCTGAAGGTGGGACAGGAGCAGTGAGAAAACCTGTTGAAGGAAACCAGCCCCAACCCTAAGCAGAAAGTAATGAATTTGAAGCCAGTGGTGCACTGAAGGTAGCCATAACAACAAACCTCAACTAAACTCCTCTCTAGGCTGATTCAAGCCCCCGCAAAAAGGCCTAGCAGAAAAGGAGGTATGCACATTGCATGGCATACAGACTGTTTACCTCAGTCTCTACAGCCTGTGTATCAAATCCAGCCCACCATCTGTTTTCATACGTAATGGTTTATTGGGACACAGTCAAGCCTTTTCATTCAAGATTTGTCTATGTCTGCAATAAAACAGAGTTGAGTAGTTGCAATAGAGTTGGTATAGCCTGTGAAGTCTAAAATACTCCCTCTCTGGCACTTTGCAGAGAAGTTTGCCAATCCCTGCTACATATGATATCAAGCTTTTAACCAAAAGTTTTCAAACACATGAAAAAGAGAAAAAATAACTCACCACCAAATCATACAACAATCAATGGGACCAGATACAGATATGATCCACATCCTGGAACTATCAAATAGGGAATTCTAAATAACTCTAATAAATACATTTGCAACTTCAGACCGGGAGTGAGCAAGCTACAGTCCATGGACTGAATCCAGGCTTCTGTCTGATTCTGTAAATATTTCACTGGAACATGCCATGCCCATGTGTTTACTTATTGTCTATGACTGTTTCCTCACTACAGCAGCACAGCTGATGAGTTGCAACAAAGACCACATGGCACACAGCCTAAAATACTCACCATCTCCCTTCCTGGAAAGCTTTGCCAAATCCTGCTCTAGTGGAAAAGGTGAACACCATGCAGTAACTGCAGACACATAATATAAAGAGAAACAAAGATGAAAATTACAGTTGAATTTGATGAAAATTCAAAAAAATTCAAAAAGATGAAAATTCTCACTTGAAACAATGGAAATCAGAAGTCAATGGGAATAACATTGATAAAGATATAAAAGAAAAAAAACTATCAACACAGAATTCTATATCCATGAAAATATCCTTTATAAATGAAGAAGCCTAACATGAGTCCCAAAATACATGGAGCAAAAACTGACTGAGTTGAGAAAAGAAATAGATAATTCAACATTAACAGTTGGAGAATTCAATACTTTACTTTTAACAACTGGGTAGAAGATAAAGAAATTAAAAACATGAACAACATAAACCAACAAGACATAAGACACTCTACTCTACCCAACAACAGCAGAATGTGTATTCTTCTCAAGTGCATAGAGAACATTACTCAGGATAAACCAAATATTAGGCCATAAAACAAGTCTCAATAAAGGTAAAAGGCTTGAAATTACATGTTCTCTGAACACAACGGAATGACGTTAGAAATCAATAATAGAAGGAAATTGGAAAACTTACAAATATGTGAAAATCTAAAAACATGCTCTTAAATGAAAAAAAAATAGATCAGAGAGGAAACCACAGAAAAATTAGAAAATACTTTGAGATGAATGAAAACTAAAACACAATAAAATTTACAGGATACAACTAGAGCAGTGCTTAGAGGGAAATTGTATTAGTCTGTTTTCATGCTGCTGATAAAGACATACCCAAGACTGGGAGATTTACAAAAGAAAGAAGTTTAATAGACTTACAGTTCCATGTGCCTGGGTAAGCCTCACAATCATGGTGGAAGGCAAGGAGGAACAAGTCACACCTTACACGGATGGCAGCAGGCAAGAGAGTGTGTGCAGGGAAACTCCCACTTATAAAACCATCAGATCTCATGAGACTTACTCACTATCACAAGATCAGCATGGGAAAGACCCACCCCTTATGATTCAATTACCTCCCACCAGGTCCCTGCTACAACACATGAGAATACAAGATGAGATTTGGGTGGGGAAACAGCCAAACGATATTAGAAATGTATAGCTTTAAATGCCATATTAAAAAGGAAGAAAGAGCTCAAATCAGTTACTGAAACTTCCACCTTAAGAAGCTATACAAAAAGGAAAGAGCAAACAAAACTCAAGGCAAGCAGAAGGAAAAAATAATAAAGATTAGAGTGGAAAAAGTAAAATAGAAAATTTTAAAACTAGAGAAAATTCAGTGAAACCAAAAGCTAGATTTTTGGAAAAAAAAAAATCAGCAAAATTGACAAACTTTTAGCTAGACTGATCAAGAAAAAAAGAGAACACTAAAATTGATAAAATCAGAAATGTACAGGGAATAACACTATTGACTTCACAGAAATAAGGTGATTATAAGAGACTACTATAAATAATTGTTTGCCAATGAGTTAAATAACCTACACAAAATTTATAAATTCTTAGAAAGACACAAACTACTGAAAGTAACTCAAGAAGAAACATAAAGTATAAATAAAACTATAACAAGTAAAGAGACTGAATTAGTAATCAAAAAACTTCCCATGAAAACAGAAAAAGCTAAGCACAAATGGCTTCACTTGTGAATTCTACCAAACATTTAAAGAATTAACACACAATGGAATACTATTCAGCCATTAAAAGAATAAAGTACTGATACATGCTACAACATGGAATAACCTTGAAAACATTATGCTGAGTAAGAGAAGACAGACATAAAGGGACACATTATTTGATTCAATTTGTATGGAACACTGATAATAGGCAAATCCACAGATACTGAAGGTCGATTAGTAGACTAGGGGTAGGGAATAAGGAGTGACTGTTAATGGGTACATAGTTTCCCTTTAGGGTGATAAAAATATTCTGAAATTAGAGAGTGGTAATGACCATCCAACTCTGTGAACATAATATAAAGCATTTAATTATACTTCTAAAGGGTCATTTTGATGGCATGTGAATTACAGAGTTACATAAAATTATAAAAATAAAGGAGATTTGATTTCTAAATACCTTTCTTCAATTAAAGGAACCAGGCCTCCTTGGATAAACAGCTGATTCATGAACAAGTGGGGTTTACCCCAGGAATGCAAGTCTGGCTCAACATTTGAAAAATCAATCAATGTAATAATCTGGTATCTCAAGCAACACACTGGAAAAGAAAACCACATGTTATCTTAATAGACGCAGAAAAGCCATTTTACAAAATTCAACATCCATTCATGGTAAAACTCTCAGCAAACCAGGATACAGAGTAACTTTCTCAAGCTAATAAATGGCATCTATAAAAAATGTATATTAATCTATGCATACAAAGTCTGAATGTTTTCCCCTTATGATCAGGAGGAAGTCAAACATGTCTGACATCACCACTCCTACTCAGCATCTCACAGGAGATCATAGCCAGTTCAGTAAAGCATCCACATAGGAAAAAAAAACATAATATGGTCTTGATTTACAGACAACTGTCAGGTCTCTGAGCCCAAGCTAAACCATCATATCCCCTGTGACCTGCACATATACATCCAGATGGCCTGAAGTAACTGCAGAATCTCAAAAGAAGTAAAAATGGCTAGTTCCTGCCTTAACTGATGACATTACCTTGTGAAATTCCTTCTCCTGGCTCAGAAGCTCCCCCACTGAGCACCTTGTGACCCCCGCCCCTGCCCACCAGAGAACAATCCCCTTTGATTGTAATTTTCCACTACCTACCCAAATCCTATAAAACGGCCCCATCCCTATCTCCCTTTGCTGACTCTCTTTTTGGACTCAGCCCGCCTGCAACCAGGTGAAATAAACAGCCTTGTTGCTCACACAAAGCCTGTTTGGTGGACTCTTTACACAGAAGCACATGACATTTGGTCCCAAAACCCAGGACAGGAGGACTCCTTCTGGAGACTGGTCCCCTGTCCTTGCCCTCACTCCATGAGGAGATCTACCTACAACCTCAGGTCCTCAGACCAACCAGCCCAAGGAACATCTCACCAATTTCAAATGAGGTAAGCAGTCTTTTCACTCTCTTCTCCAGCCTCTCTTGCTACCCTTCAATCTCCCTCTCTCCCTACCCTTCAATCTCCCTCTCTTGCTACCCTCCAATCTCCCCGTCCTTCCAATTCCAGTTCTTTTTCCTCTCTAGTAGAGACAAAGGAGACACATTTTATCCGTGGACCCAAAACTCCGGCACCGGTCACGGACTTGGGAAGACAGTCTTCCCTTGGTGTTTAATCACTGTGGGGACACCTGCCTGATTATTCACCCACACTCCATTGGTGTCTGATCACCACGGGGCTGCCTGCCTTGGTCATTCACCCACATTCCCTTGGTGGCAAGTCGATTGCGGGGATGCCTGCTTTCGCTGCTCACTAACCCCCTTCTCCGTGTCTCTACCCTCTCTTTTCTCTGGGCTTGCCTGCTTCATTATGGGCAACTTTCCACCCTCCATTCCCCCTTCTTCTCCCTTAGCCTGTGTTCTCAAAAACTTAAAACCTCTTCAACTCTTGCCTGACCTAAAACTTAAGCGTCTTATTTTCTTCTGCAACACCACTTGGCCCCAATACAAACTCGATAATTGTTCTAAATAGCCAGAAAATGGCACTTCTGATTTCTCCATTTTATAAGACCTGGATGATTTTCGTCAAAAAATGGGCAAATGGTCTGAGGTGCCTGACGTCCAGGCATTCTTTTACACATTGGTCCCACCCTAGTCTCTGCTCCCAATGCAACTCATCCCAAATCTTTCTTCTTTCTCTCCTGTCTGTTCCTTCGGTCTCCACCCCAAGCTCTGAGTCCTTTAAATCCTCCTTTTCTACAGACCCATCTGACCTCTTGCCTCCTCCCCAGGCTGCTCCTCGCCAGGCCTAGCCAGGTTGCAATTCTTCCTCAGCCTCTGCTCCCCCACCCTATAATCCTTCTATCACCTCCCCTTCTCACACCCAGTCTGGCTTACAGTTTCGTCCCGTGACTAGCCCTCCCCCACCTGCCCAACAATTTCCTCTTAAAGAGGTGGCCAGAGCTAAAGGCATAGTCAAGGTTAATGCTCCTTTTTCTTTATCCTATCTCTCCCAAATCAGTAAGCATTTAGACTCTTTTTCATCAAATATAAAAACCCAGCCCAGTTCATGGCTCGTTTGGCAGCAACCCTGAGATGCTTTACAGCCGTAGACCCTGAAAGGTGAGAAGGCTGTCTTATTCTCAATATGCATTTTGTTACCCAATCTGCTCCTGACATTAAATAAAGCTCCAAAAATTAGATTCCGGCCCTCAAACCCCACAACGGGAGTTAATTAACCTCACCTTCAAGGTGTACAATAATAGAGAAGAGTTGCAATTCCTTGCCTCCACTGTGAGAGAAACCCCAGCCACATCTCCAGCACACAAAAACTTTGAAATGTCTAAGCTGCAGTGGTCAAGCATTCCTACAGGACCTTCTCCACCAGGATCTTGCTTCAAGTGCCGGATATCTGGCCACTGGGCCAAGGAATGCCCACAGCCCGGGATTCCTCCTAAGCCACGTCCCATCTGTGCAGGACCCCACTGGAAACTGGACTGTCCAACTCGCCTGGCAGCCACTCCCAGAACCCCTGGAACTCTGGCCCAAGGCTCTCTGACTGACTCTTTCCCAGATCTTGGCTTAGCAGCTGAAGACTGATGCTGTCCGATCACCTAGGAAGCTTCCTGGACCATCACAGACGCTCTGGGTAACTCTTAGAGTGGAGGGTAAGTCCATCACCTTCTTAATCAATACAGAGGCTACCCACTCCACATTACCTTCCTTTCAAGGGCCTGTTTCCCTTGCTTCCATAGCTGTTGTGGCTATTGACAGCCAGGCTTCTAAACCTCTTAAAACTCCACAACTCTGGTGCCAACGTAAACAATATTCTTTTATGCACTCCTTTTTAGTTATCCCCACCTGCCCAGTTCCCTTATTAACTGAAACATTTTAACTAAATTATCTACTTCCCTGACTATTCCTGGGCTACAGCCACACCTCATTGCCACCCTTTTCCCCAGTTCAAAGCCTCCTTCACATTCTCCCCTTGTATCTCCCCACCTTAATCCACAAGTATAAGACACCTCTACTCCCTCCTTGATGACCGATCATGCACCCCTTACCATCCCTTTAAAACCTAATCACCCTTACCCCACTGAACACCAATATCCCATCCCACAGCAAGCTTTAAAAGGATTAAAGCCTGTTACCACTCGCCTATTAACAGCATGGCCTTTTAAAGCCTATATAAACTCTTCTTACAATTCCCCCATTGTACCTGTCCAAAAACTGGACAAGCCTTACATGTTAGTTCAGGATCTGCCCCTTATCAACCAAATTGTCTTGCCTATCCACCCCGTGGTGCCAAAGCCATATACTCTCCTATCCTCAATACCTCCCTCCACAACCCCTCCATAACCCATTATTCTGTTCAGGATCTCAAATATGCTTTCTTTACTATTCCTTTGCACCCTTCATCCCAGCCTCTCTTCGCTTTCACTTGGACAGACCCTGACACCCATCAGGCTCAGCAAATTACCTGGGCTGTACTGCCACAAGGCTTCATGGACAGCCCTCATTACTTCAGTCAAGCCCTTTCTCATAATTTACTTTCTTTCCATCCACCTGCTTCTCATCTTATTAAATATTTTGATGACCTTCTACTTTATAGCCCCTCCTACAAATCTTCCCAACAGGACACCCTCCTGCTCTTCCAACATCTATTCTCAAAAGGATATCTCATATCCCCCTCCAAAGCCCAAATTTCTTCCTCATCCATTATCTATTTTGGCATAATTCTTCATGAAAACACACATGCTCTCCCTGCTGATTGTGTCCGGCTAATCTCCCAAACCCCAACCCCTTCTACAAAACAGCAACTCCTTTCCTTTCTAGGCATGGTTAGGTACTTCCACCTTTGGGTACCTAGTTTTATCACCCTGACTAAACCATTATATAAACTCACAAAAGGAAACCTAGCTGACCCCATAGATCCTAAATCCTTTAGCCACTCCTTTCTGTTCCTTAAAATAGCCCCAAAAGCTGCTCCCACACTAGCTCTCCCTAACTCATCCCAACCCTTTTTCATTACACACAGCCAAAGTGCAGGGCTGTGTGGTTGGAATTGTTACACAAGAGCCAGGACTGCACCCTGTAGCCTTTCTGTCCAAACAACTTAACCTTACTGTTTTAGCCTAGCCCTCATGTCTGCATGTGGCAGCTGCCACTGCTTTAATACTTTCAGAGGCCCTCAAAATCACAAGCTATGCTCCACTCACTCTCCACAGTTCTCATAACTTCCAAAATCTATTTTCTTCCTCACACCTGATGCATATATTTTCTGCCCCACTCCACTACCTGTCAGCAAGCCAAACTCATTGCCTTAACTCAGGCCCTCACTCTTGCAAAGGGACTGTGAGTCAATATTTATACTGACCGTAAATATGCCTTCCATATCCTGCACCACCATGCTGTTATATGGGCAAAAAGAGGTTTCCTCACTACAAAAGGGTCCTCCATCATTAATGACTCTTTAATAAAAACTCTTCTCAAGGCCGCTTTACTTCCAAAGGAAGCTGGAGTCATTCACTGCAAGGGCCATCAAAAGGCACCAGATCCCATCACTCAGGGCAGTGCTAATGCTGATAAGGTAGCTAAAAATGCAGCTAGTGTTCCAACTTCTATCCCTCACGGCAGTTTTTCTCCTTCTCATTGGTCACTCCCACCTGCTTCCCCACTGAAACTTCCACCTATCAATCTCTTCCCACACAAGGCAAATGGTTCTTGGACCAAGGAAAATATCTCCTTCCAGCCTCACAGGCCCATTCTATTCTGTCATCATTTCGTAACCTCTTCCATGTAGGTTACAAGCCGCTAGTCCGCCTTTTAGAACGTCTCATTTCCTTTCCATTGTGGAAATCTATCCTCAAGGAAATCACTTCTCAGTGTTCCATCTGCTATTCTACTACTCCTCAGGGATTATTCAGGCCCCCTTCCTTCCCTACACATCAAGTTTGGGGATTTGCCCCTGCCCAGGACTGGCAAATTGACTTTACTTACATGCCCCAAGTCAGGAAACTAAAATACCTCAAACTGCCACCCTTAAGTCTCTCTTAAAGTGGATAGATAATCTTTGCTGACAGGGCACACTCCAATACTTTCACCCTGATAAGTCCTATTCTTTACTTTTATACTCACTCTTATTCTCGTTCCCATTCTTATGCCACCCTGTACCTCTCCTCAGCTATCTCCACCACACTATCAATCTCACTCACTCTCTCCTAGCCGTTTCTAATCCTTTAACAAACAATGGCTGGCTTTGCATTTCTCTTTCTTCCAGAATTGCTGAGGCCTCAACTTACTGCTAAAAAAAGGGGACTGACTCTGTATATTTTTAAATAAAGAGTGTTGTTTTTACCTAAATCAATCTGGCCTGGTGTATGACAACATAAAAAAACTCAAGGATAGAGCCCAAAAACTCACCAACCAAGCAATTATGCTAAACCCCTTGGGCACTCTCTAATTGGATGACCTGGGTCCTCCCAATTTTTAGTCCTTTAATTCCTGTTTTTCTCCTTCTCTTATTCGGACTTTGTGTCTTCCATTTAGTTCCTCAATTCATACAAAACCACATCCAGGCCATCACCAATCATTCTATGTGACAAATGCTCCTTTTAACAACCCCACAATATCGCCCCTTACCACAAAATCTTCCTTCAGCTTAATCTCTCCCACTCTAGGTTCCCATGCCGCCCATAATCCCACTAGAAGCAGCCCTGAGAAGCATCACCCGTTATCTCTCCATACCACCCAAAAAAAATTTTTGCCACCCCAATGCTTCAACACTGTTTTGTTTTATTTTTCTTGTAAATATAAGAAGACAGGAATGTCAGGTCTCTGAGCCCAAGCTAAGCCATCATATCCCCTGTGACCTGCATGTATACATCCAGATGGCCTGAAGTAACTGAAGAATCACAAAAGAAGTGAAAATGGCCTGTTCCTGCCTTAACTGATGACATTACCTTGTGAAATTCCTTCTCCTGGCTCAGAAGCTCCCCCACTGAGCACCTTGTGACCCCTGCCCCTGCCAGAGAACAACTTCCTTTGATTGTAATTTTCCACTACCTACCCAAATCCTATAAAACGGCCCCATCCCTATCTCCCTTCACTGACTCTTCGGACTCAGCCCGCCTGCACCCAGGTGAAATAAACAGCCTTGTTGCTCACACAAAGCCTGTTTGGTGGTCTCTTCACATGGATACGTGTGACAACAACACAGTTGTCTAAGTAGAAAATCCCAAAGAATTTGCAAAAAGTAACCAGAAGGGGCGGGGTCAAGATGGCCAACTAGAAGCAGCAGCATTCGGAGGCTCCCATTGAAGAAAACCATAATAAGCATGTGAATCCTTCATCAGCAGCCAAGATATCCAGGTTCTCTCATCAGAACTGACTAAGAGCTGGAGGGAAGAGGAAGAAGGAGAGAAGGAAGAACAATGCAGTGCAGCGGCTCACCTGAGAGCCACACAGGGCAGGGGAGCCCCCTCCCCACCAGCAAAGGGAGGCAGTGAGTGAGCGTGCTACCCAGCTGGGGAAACCGTGCTTTTTCCATGGAACTGTGCAACCCTCAGATCAGAAGATCCCACTTGTGAACCCATGCCACTGGGACCTAGCGTACCAATCCTAGAATGTGCAGATGCATGTACTCTTAACAGCCTCTCAGCTGGAATCTGCTTAAGCCTACTGAACTCCCAAGAGGAGGGGCAACCAGCACCAGCTGCAGCTGCCTGCTGTCTAAGCCATTTGAGCTCCTTCGGGTAGGGGCAGCAGCCAGCACTGGGACTCGCCACTGCCTAACACGCTATGCTCCCTGGGTGGGAGAAGGGTATCCATCTCTATAGCCCCAGGCTGTGCTTTTCCCCTGATGGAGCCAGGGAAGCTGGATGCTTGGTCCCAAGACTTGTCCCCTACAGCCCAACACACTGGCTGTGCCAGTCTGTGGCCGGAGTGCCTCTTTAGGCCTGACCTGACCCATCCTTCCTCATTGGGCAGGGCTTCCCTGTAGGAACTCCAGTAACTCCAGTCAGAGGCTCAGGGACAAAAGCCAGATCCCCTAATGGGAGGGGTGGCCACAGTCTCTGCAGACCAGCAGACTTAGCATTTCCTTCTGGTAGTTCTGAGAAAGAATCAACATAAAAATGCTGAAAACCCAAAAGGCCAGAGTGCCTCTTTCCTCCAAATGATCACAACGTCTCTCCATCAAGGGCACAGAACTGGGGGACAGGAGGATGATCAGATGGACGAATTGACAGAAGTAGGCTTTAGAAGATGGGTAATAAAAAACTACACTGAGCATGTTCTAACCCAATGCAAAGAAGCTAAGAACTTTGATAACAGGTTAGAGGAATTGCTAACTAAAATAACCAGTTTAGAGAGGAACATAAACAACAGGATGGAGCTGAAAAACAGCACAAGAACTTTGTGAAGCATACACAAGTATCAATAGCCAAATTGACCAAGTGGAAGAAAGGATATCAGGGTTTGAAGACCACCTTGCTAAAATAAGGAATGCAGACAAGACTAGAGAAAAAAGAATGAAAAGGGATGAACAAAGCCTCCAAGAAATATGGGACATCATCAAAATACTGAACCTACAATTGACTGGAGTACCAAAAGGAGGTGGGGAAAATGGAAAAGCTGGAAAACACACTTCAGGATGTTATCCAGGAGAATATCCTGAAGGAATCACTAAATATGGAAAGGAAAAAACATTACCAGCCACTATAAAAACACACAGAAGTACACAGACCAGTGGCACTGTGAAGCAACCACATAAACAACTCTGCAAAATAACCAGCTAGCATCATGATGAGAGGATCAAATTCACACATAACAATAATAACCTTAAATATAAATGGCCTAATGCCCTAATTAAAAGACACAGACTGGCAAATTGGATAAAGAGTCAAGACTCATCAGCATGTGGTATTAAGGAGACCTATCTCATGTGCAAAGACACACATAGGCTCAAAATAAAGGGATGGAGGAAAATTTACCAAGCAAATGGGAAGCAAAAAAAAAAAAAAAAAGCAGGGGTTGCAATCCTAGTCTCTGATAAAACAGACTTTAACCAGCAAAGGTCACAAAAGAGAGGCATTACATAATGGTAAAAAAAAAAAAAAATTCAACAAGAAGAGCTAACTATTCTGAATATATATGCACCCAATAGAGGAGCACCCAGATTCATGAACCAAGTTCTTAGAGGCCTACAAAGAGACTTAGACTCCCACAAAATAATAATGGGAGACTTTAACACCCCATTGTCAGTATTAAACAGATCAACGAGACAGAAAATTAACAAGGATATTCAGGAGTTGAACTCAACTCTGGATAAAGTGGACCTATCAGATGTCTACAGAACACTCTACCCCAAATCAACAGAATATACATTCTTTGGCCAGGCCTGGTGGCTGACGCCTGTAATCCCAGCGCTTTGGGAGGCTGAGGCAGGCAGATCACGAGGTCAGATCGAGACCATCTTGGCCAACATGGTGAAACTCCATCTCTATTAAAATACAAAAAATTAGCCAGGCATGGTGGCACATGCCTGTAATCCCAGCTACCTGGGAGGCTGAGGAAAGGGAATCGCTTGAACCCGAGAGGTGGAGGTTGCAGTGAGCTGAGATCATGCCACTGCACTCCAGCCTGGGAGACAGAGCAAGATTCCATCTCAAAAACAGCAAAAAAAAAAAAATATATATATATATATATATATATATATACGTTCTTCTCAGTGCCACATAGCACTTATTCTAAAATCGACCACATAATTGGAAGTAAAACACTCAGCAAATGCAAAAGAACTGAAATCATAACAGTCTCTCAGACTACAGTGCAATCAAATTAGAACTCAGAATTAAGAAACTCACTCAAAAGCACACAAATACATGGAAATTGAACAACCTGCTCCTGAATGACTCCTGGGCAAATAATGAAATTGAGACAGAAATCAAGAAGTTCTTTGAAACCAATGAGAACAAAGAGGAAATGTACCAGACTCTCTGGGACACAGCTACAGCAGTGTTAAGAGGGAAATTTATAGCACTAAATGCTCACATCAGAAAGCCTGAAATAACTCATCGATACCCTAACATCACAGTTAAAAGAGCTAG
This sequence comes from Homo sapiens, assembly GCF_000001405.40. NCBI lineage: Eukaryota > Metazoa > Chordata > Mammalia > Primates > Hominidae > Homo > Homo sapiens. The sequence continues at coordinate 3,812,649 of NC_000002.12, read as the reverse complement.
AGAGGCAAGAACAAACTAATCCAAAAGGTGGCAGAAGACAAGAAATAACTAAGACCAGAGAAGAATTGAAGGAGATATAGACACAAAAAACTCTCCAAAAAATCAATGAATCCAGGAGCCGGTTTTTTGAAAACTTAACAAAATGATAGAATATTATCTACACTAATAAAGAAGACAAGAGAAGAGAATCAAATAGACACAATAAAAAATGATAAAGGGGATATCACCACTGACCCCACCGAAATACAAACTAGCATCAGAGAATCCTATAAACACCTCTATGCAAACAAACTAGAAAACATGGAAGAAATTGATAAATTCCTAGACACATACATGCTCTGAAGACTAACCAAGGAAGAAGTTGAATCCCTGAATAGACCAATAACAAGTTCTGAAATTGAGGCAGTAATTAATAGCCTACCAACCAAAAAAAAAAAAGCCCAGGACCATATGGATTTACAGCTGAATTCAACCAGAAATACAAAGAGGAGCTGGTACCATTCTTTCTGAAACTACTCCAAACAATTGAAAATGAGGGAGTCCATCACTCATTTTATGAAGCCAGCATCATTCTGATACCAAAACCGGGAAGAGACACAACAAAAAAAGAAAACTTCAGGCCAATACCCGTGATTAACATCGATGCGAAAATCCTCAATAAAATACTGCCAAGCCAAATCCAGCAGCACGTTAAAAAGCTTATCCACCACAATGAAGTCAGCTTCCTCCCTGCGATGCAAGGCTGGTTCAACATACACAAATGGATAAACATAATCCATCGCATAAACAGAACCAAATATAAAAACCATGTGATTATCTCAATAGATGCATAAAAGGCCTTTGATAAAATTCAACATCTCTTCATGTTAAAAACTCTCAATAAACAAGGTATTGATGGAGCATATCTCAAAATAATAAGAGCTATTTATGACAAACCCACAGCCAATATCATATTGAATGGGCAAAAGCTGGAAGCATTTCCTTTGAAAACCAGTACAAGCCAAGGGTGCCCTCCCTCACCACTTCTATTCAATATAGTATTGGAAGTTCTGGCCAGGGCAATCAGGCAAGAGAAAGAAAGAAAGTGTGTTCAAATAGGAAAAGAGGAAGTCAAATTGTGTCTGTTTGCAGATGACATGACTGTATATTTAGAAAACCCCATCATCTCAGCCCAAAAATTCCATAAACTGATAAGCAACTTCAGCAAAGTCTCAGGATACAAAATAAATGTGCAAAAATCACAAGGATTCTTTACACCAACAATACACAAGCAGACAGCCAAACCATAAATGAACTCCCATTCACAATCGCTACAAAGAGAATAAAATGCCTAGGAATACAATTTACAAGGGACGTGAAGGACCTCTTCAAGGAGAACTACAAACCACTGCTCAAGGAAATAAGAGAGGATGCAAGCAAATGGAAAAACATTCCATTCTCATGGACAGGAAGAATCAATATCGTGAAAATGGCCATACTGCCCAAAGTAATTTATAGATTCAATGCCCTTCTCATCAAACTAACATTGACATTCTTCACAGAATTAGAAAAAACTATTTTAAGTTTCATATGAAATTGAAGAAAACTCTGCATAGCCAAGATAATCCTAGGCAAAAAGAACAAAGCTGGAGGCATCACACTACCTGACTTCAAACTATACTACAAGGCTACAGTAACCAAAACAGTGTGGTACTGGTACCAAAACAGACATATAGACCAATGGAGCAGAACAGAGACCTCAGAAATAACACCACATGTCTACAACCATCTGATCTTCAACAAACCCAACAAAAACAAGCAATGGGGAAAGGATCTCCTGTTCAGCAAATGGTGGTAGGAAAACTGGCTAGCCATATGCAGAAAACTGAAACTGGACCCCTTCCTTATACCTTATACAAAAATTAACTCAAGATGGATTAAAGACTTAAATGTAAAACCCAAACCATAAAAACCCTAGAAGAAAACCTAGGTAATACCATTCAGGACACAGGCATGGGCAAAGACTTCATGACTAAAACACCAAAAGCAATTGAAACAAAAGCCAAAATTGACAAATGAGGTCTAATTAGAAGAGTTTCTGCACAGCAAAAGAAATACTCATCAGAGTGCACAGGCAACCTACAGAATGGGAGAAAATTTTTGCAATCTACCCATCTGACAAAGGTCTAATATCCAGAATTTACAAGGACTTAAACAAATTTACAAGAAAAAAACAACCCCATCAAAAAGTGGTAAAAGATATGAGCAGACACTTTTCGAAAGACATTTATGTGGCTAACAAATACATGAAAAAAGTTCAACATCGCTGATCATCAGATAAATGCAAATCAAAACCACAATGAGATACTCTCTCACACCAGTCCAAATGGCAATTATTAAAAAGTCAGGAAACAAGGGATGCTGGTGAGGCTGTGGAGAAATCAGAATGCTTTTACACTGTTGGTGGGAATGTAAATTAGCTCAACCATTGTGGAAGACGGTATGGCGATTCCTCAAGGATCTAGAACCAGAAATATAATTTGACCCAGCAATCCCATTATTGGGTATACACCCAAAGGAATATAAGTCATTCTACTATAAAGAAACATGCACACGTATGTTTATTGCAGCACTATTTACAATAGCAAAGACTTGGAACAAACCCAAATGCCCATCAATGATAAGCTGGATAAAGAAAATGTGGTACATATCCACCAAGGAATACTATGCAGCCATAAAAAGGAATGAGATCATGTCCTTTGCAGGGACATAGATGAAGCTGGAAGCCATCATCCTCAGCAAACTAACACAGGAACAGAAAACAAAACACCACATGTTCTCACTCATAAGTGGGAGTTGAACAATGAGAACATATGGACAACAGAGAGGGGAACAACACACATCAGGGCCTGTTGGGGGTTGGGGGTAAGGGGAGGGAGCTTAGAGAACAAGTCAATAGGTGCAGCAGACCACCATGGCACATGTATACCTGTGTAACAAACCTGCATGTTCTGCACATGTATCCCATTTTTTTCTAGAAGAAATTTATTTTAAAAAGCGACCAGAACTCATCAATGAGCTTATCTCATCAAGATTTCAGGATTCAGGTCGATATAAAAAAGTCAATAGTTTTTCTATATGTTTGCAATAAACAATAGGAAATGTAAATTTTAAGTGCCATGTACAATAGCTACAAAACCAAAATATTTATGCATAAATCTGATTTAGAAAAGGTCAGGATACTAAATGCTACAAAACACTCATTTCAAAAATAGACATGAATAAATAGAGAGATAGAACATGTTCATGGTATTTTATACCCAATATCATTAGCATGTAGATTCTCCCTGAATTGATCTATAGATCAATGGAATCCCAATCAATACTAGCAGGATTGCTACAGAAATTGACAAGTCACATCTAACGCTGACTTATTTGTAAAAGCAAAAGATCTGAAATAGCTCAAAACAATGTTGAAAAGGAAGAATAAAATTGGAGGTTCACATAACCTGATTTCAAAACTGCAGTAATCAAGAAAGCTTCATATTGGTGAAAGGAAAAACACATAGATCAATGGGATAAACATAGAGTCCAGAAACAAACCAACACAAATATGGTTAGCTGGTTATAAAAAATGCAAGTAACTTTAAAGCAGAAAGTGTAGTTCTTTTCAACAGAAGGTACAAGAACAATCAGAAATTCATATGCAAAATTTAAAAAAAAATCCTCATTCCTACACTGCACTACCTATAAAAATTAACTCAAAATGGGTCCTGGACATAAATGTAAAACATAAAACCAAACTTCCAAAATAAAACAGTAGAAAATCTTTGAGACTTTGGGTTAGGCATAGAAATTTTAGAAAGGACACAAAAGGCACAATCCGTGAGAGAAAAGATTGATAAATTGGACTTCAAAATTAAAAGCTTCTGCTCTTCAAATACAATGTTAAGAGAATGAGAAGACAAGCCACATACTGGCAAAAAACATTTGCAAAACATCTGACAAGTAATTTTCCTTTGGGAGGCCGAGGCAGGCAGATCACCAGGTCAGGAGATCGAGACCATCCTGGCCAACACGGTGAAACCCCGTCTCTACCAAAAATACAAAAATTAGCTGGGTGTAGTGGTGTGCCCTTGTAATCCCAGCTACTCAGAAGGCTGAGGCAGGAGAATTGCTTCAACCTGGGAGGCAGAGGTTGCAGTGAGCCAAGATCACGCCACTGCACTCCAGCCTGGTAACAGAGCGAGAACCAATCTCAAAAAAAAAAGAATTTTCAAACAGAGCTCTCAAAACGTGACAAAATGGAAACAATCCATTAAACAAACAGGTCCCCAAAGATGAAATGTGAATGGCAAATAAGCGTATGAAAAGATGCGCAATGTCATTAGTTATTAAGGAAATGCAAAGTAAAATCACAAATGAAATACAACTCCAAGACAAATTACTAAATAAAAATGTTTTTAATTGATAAAGAAAGCTGCTGGTGAGGCTGCAGATCACCTGAAACTTCCATTCACTTCCATCCACTGTACAGTTGCAAAACTATATATACAGCTGCTTAGCAAAAGTTTGCCAGCTTCTTACACAGTGAAAAATGCATTCACTGCATGACTCAGCGATCCCACTCTTAGGTATTACACAACCTTTACATCAATGGATAGCAGCTCTTTTTAAAATATTCAAAAGTTGGACCCAAATGTCCTTCAATGGGGAATGAATAAACTAGTTCTGGTACAACCGTAAAATGGAGCACTACTAGGCAATTGACAGGAATGAGCTGTTGTGCACACAGATGGGTGAACCTCCCACGAACCACAGTGAGTGACAGAGGCGCGTATGCTCCATAATTCCAGCCTATGACACTCTGAAAAGGGTAAAACCAGGGGACAGAAAACAGACCAATGGCTGCCAGGGCATGGGGGTGGCATGGGAATAGAGAGGTGACCACAGAGGGGCCCAAGAGAATTTGGGGGATGGTGGCTGTTCCATACCTTGACTATGCTGGTAGTTATATGACTGTGTGTTCCCAAAACTCCTGGAACTGGACACCGAGAAGGATGCATTCTACTGTGTATAAATTATAGCTCAATTTTTAAAAAGAAGATAAAATGACCCAAGAAGGAAAGGGTGGCATGAAGTGGTGGTCTGGGTGATTCTCCTGCATATGAGAATCATAAAACTGAATAAAATTATTACAAGTATTGAAAGCACCCATGAAGGCCCTTGAAAACTCCCAAGAGAAGAGAACAACACAGCAACACAGGAAGAGTCGACTGTTTACAGACTTTACAGAGCTATACACCTCCAGCCCCCTGCCTGGGCACACTTCGCCCACCCCTGCTGCAGCTGCCAAAAACCACAGCCTTTCTGCTCAAGGCAGCAGATGCCTGTGTAAGCAGCTGAGCATCTAGAAAGGCAAGGGGGGAAATTTGGAAGTGAGAAAGCGCAGAAAGGCTGAGATGCCCAATCTGATAGGGAAGATCCCGGCTCTCCTTAACCACAATTACATATTTGTATACATTTGCCAAAACCCCTCAAGTTCAAGCAGATGTAAATTATATCCTCATGCTGTTAAAAAAAAAAATAGCTTTCTGAAGAAAAAAAAGTCCCAAGATAATACACTCTGGAGCTGGACAACCAAGGTGCTGGCTGGGGCAAGCAGAGCCTATGCAAGACCACCCCAACGCCAGTCATCTTCAGAACGCAGTCCAGGAATTCACCAAGGACTCCGTCGCAACACCTCACCCAACTGAAAATCACAATGCCTGGAAGCATCACCTACCCAGAAAGCAGTCACGAGCAACAAAGAAACTCAAAGATGGGCCAGGCGCAGTGGCTCAGGTCTATAATCCCAGCACTTTGCAGGGCCAAGGTGGGCGGATCACAAGGTCAGGAGTTGGAGACTAGCCTGACCAATATGGTGAAACCCCATCTCTACCAAAAATACAAAAAAAAAAATTAGCCAGGCATGGTGGTGCGTGCCTGTAATCCCAGCTACTCAGGACGCTGAGGCAGGAGAATCGCTTGAACCCAGGAGGCGGAGGTTGCAGTGAGCTGAGATCACGCCATTGCACTCCAGCCTGGATGACGGTGAGAGACTCCATCTCAAAAAAAAAAAAAAAGACACTCAAAGATACATCACAAGCCCACGTGTTGAAGCTCATGCACTTTGTCAATGAGGATTTCAAGAGATGGGTCTCTACTCACACATTGCAGGCTCTCATACAACGCGGGCACTCACAGAACACAGGCGAGCTTCGCTCTGTTTCCCTCTCTGCTGCAGAACAGAAGTCACCTGTCAGAAACGGGTGAGGGAAGCTGATAGAAGCACACCAGTAGCAACCGTGGGGATTCCAGGGAGAGGAGAGACCAAAACACTGCAGAAAGCACAGCAGGCTGGAGCCGTTTAGAACAAGACAAAACCCCAGATGCCAGCCGTCCTTGAAAGCATCAAACAATGCAGCAAAGGGAGTCATGAAGTGCAAAATCATGACCGATTCATCAGGGAACAGGACTTTACAAATGAACTGAAGGCCAGGCATGGTGGCTCACACTTGTAAACCCAGCACTTTGGGAGGCCAAGGCAGGAGGATCACTTGAGTCCAGGAGGTCAAGACCAGCCTGGGCAATGCAGCAAGACCTAATCCCTACAAAACAAAACAACAAAAAATTCGCCAGGCATGGTGTCACATGCTGGTAGTACCAGCTACTGGGGAGTCTGAGGGTGCAGTACAACCCGCACTCTAGCCTGGTTGACAGAGCAAGACCCTGTCTCAAAAAATAAAAATGAAGTAATTGTAGATTAATCACAGGGACATCAGATATATGAAAATTTCACTTTTGCAAAACATCGTTGCTTAAAAATGAGACAAGTGAAGCATTGCTGCATTTGCATTTCATCACACTGTTCTCACTAAAACCATTCAGTTTGGCATGCAGCATCATCCGAAGCATGTGGTAAACAATTCGTAAGTCCTAATCACCACCTCTAAAATTAAACACTAAAAACGTATTTGCGAAAACCTAATTACTTCTTTTAAAATGTCATAAAATACGCTGTGAAACATTTCACAGAAGCACTAGACTGGAAATACAGGCACAAGGTGACACATTATTTGTTGCTGTTTTTTCAAGGGTCACTGCAGCTGATGCAAGGCAGCACTAATAAAGCCCCTCTTTAGACTTTGCTCCATTTACCACTGAAGAAATAGATTCTCCAGAAACATCCACCTCAGTCACACACACGACTCAGTATGGCAATGAGAGAATGAAGTTGCTGGGTGTTTCCTCCTATCCGCTGTCAATCCTATCCATTGTCAATCACACTCTGAGCCTTTCTCCACCACCAGGGGTCGGACTCATCAACCTGGCAGGTTTCCCCGAGTGCCAGCCGGGAGCTGCTGCCGGATTCGAATAGCACCTCTCTCCATGGTTCGCCCTAAATTACTTGGACCTTTCATGCAGTTTCTGAATTAACTGTCTGCAACTTCCACTTTCTCTTGACCACACTGCCTTCTAGAGACTGGACAGAGGGAGTAAAAAGTGTCAGTTGTCATTGGCCCTGCACATGATTCTTGTAGCTGAGGGAAGGCAACATTTCAATTAGGTGAGGATATTTGGCAATTTTCTTGATTTTCAGTTATCCAGGTTATCAATAAAGGGAAAACAGAAGGTAATGCTACATACATCAGTGTTCACATTCATCTCCTACTTTAGTTTATATTTCTAAGGTATAAGTAAAAATCTAGTCTTGACAAAATAGACCTAGAAAGGAAATGGCACCAATAATTCAATAGAAGGTGCACTTTTCCTCAATCCGCATTACCATGGTTTAGGAGGCCAGAATGGGGGTAAGAGCTGGTCACAGTAAAGTGTTCACTGTAAAGACTTCCTTTGTTACGAGTGCAGCACGGGTAGAAGTACTCTGAAATTATGTGAAGACCATGTCTGTTATAACAACTAATCACTCTTCCTTATGCATCATGCATGCATTCAACAGAGAAATCATTTCCTTTTCTATAGGATAAAGGAAATGAGATCTTTTTAAATCAAAATGCTTACTTTTGATTATCAAAATCATTTATCAGTAAGATAAGACTTCAGTAAATATTGATGATAATGTAATAATTAGAAAAATCAAGTGTAAGCATGACAATAAAATGTTTCTAAAAAACATTTGAGGAGGAGGACTACTAGGTCCTTCCTTTATGAATTGACTGTCATCTTTAAAGTGGAGCTCTTCAGAATCAGAAACTAGGAAATTAAAAGCAGGAAATGAAATAATGGGCAAGGCATGAGGCAGAATAGAAAATAGTTCTTCAATACATTAGGCACAAAGGAAGAACAAAGGAAAATAGAGCTCTTTTCTAAAAATAGAGGAAAATTTCCATTGCAGAGGCTGAAAACTAAAGAGATCCAGATCCTGGTTTTAAACTTCCTGCAAATGTCAAATATCAGCCAATCACCAATTACCTTTTGAGTACCTACTCTATGACCAGGGCTCTGCAGGTCAGCGTCACTGGCTACCAGGGAAATATAAGGTGTGGTCTCTGCATTCAGAGAACTTGCAGCCATACTGAGGGGATAATGAATAAATTGTAAACACATACCTCCAATTATGTTAATACAGACCAAGTTTTTCAGGATTTCAGAAGCTACCAAAGTTTGGAGTGGTCGAGATAGTTTCACAGAACACATCAGACTTAGGTGGGGACAATACAGGTTTCAAACAGAGCAGTGACATAATTAAAGGGGAAAACACGGAAGAGTCACCTGCATGCAAGGGTACATGAAGTCAGAAGAGTGCAAAGCCAGGGGCTGACCTGCACCAGCCAGTGCTGAGGCCATGAGAAGGGAGAGGGAGGACGTGGTGCACTTGAAGGAACCTGCAGAATGGCTGGCTGGAAACAGGTGTGCAGTGAAGGGAGGCACTGAATACCAGGCTCAGGCCTCGAGGGCCTGAGCAGCTGAGAGAACAAAGGCGTGATTGATGGAGAAGAGGACGAAGGTGTCTGCTGGCTTAGGACACTGGACTTGAGATGAAGCAGCATCTTGAAATGGAAATGCAGAGGCACATAAAGACCTAAGTTCAGACTGCATGCTGCAGAAGCAAAAATCAAAGTTAGCAGAGGTTTCACTGAAAAGGGACTGAAATAGCATTTGGAAACAGAAGTGGGACAAACAAGACAACTGAGATTATTTTCAGAGTCTTCAGGGTAAACCCACCCACAAAGTGAAGCAGTGAGGAGGAGAACCCACGAAGATAGGACGCAAGGTCTGTGCTTGGGACTGGAGCCAAGATGGAGAAGCCAGCACTGAGATGTGAACAAGGGCGTGTCACACTGAGGAATGGAGGAGTTTGAGTCCAACAGATGGACAAGCAGTATACAAAAACAAACAAACAAAAAAACCCAGAGGTTACAAGGATAGAGTAGATAATGAAATCATCACTGAATTCAACCATTAAAGGTGAAAGATTACGAGAAAGAAAGGCAACACGAGAATATCAGGGGTAGAGCCACATCTCAAGGGCTGATGAGAAAATAGGGAGAAAGTAAAATTATTATATATCAACTATTGGCATGGAAAAGCAACTGAAAGACATCTTCACATGGAACTAGTCACAAAGCAAATGACAATAACTATTTTAGGTCAATACATGAATATAGGTGGGAAAACAAGATGGTAGGTACATATGCTGGAAAGGCCAGGAACAGCTTTTCAAAGTGGATGATGCCTCTGCTGACTGGTGAGTAGAACCAAAGTCCTGAGAGAGTAGGGAAGACTCATGACACTAACAAGGCAGGATAGACAGAGGCCCAGGGACCCTTGAGAGTTAAGGAATGAAGACTTTTGAGAGGAAAATGGAGATGGGTCATTTAGGAAAGAAGGATCTAACAGTTCGTCTTCTCCCAAAATTTATGTGTTGAAATCCTAACCCCTCAAGTGATGATATTAGGAGGCTGGGCCTTTGGAAGGTGATCAGCCCCTTCTAGAAGAGACCCCAGAGAGCTGATTTGCCCCTTCCACCACATGAGGACATAGGAAGAAGCCATCATCTATTAACCAGGGAACAAGCCCTCCTCAGACCGAGCCTGCCAGCACCCTGACCTTACACTTCCCAGCCTCCCAAACTGGAGGGAATATATTTCTGTTGTTTTTAAGCCTGCAACTCTATGGTATTCTGCTATAGCAGCCTATACTCAGTGTCCCCAAGTGTTTTGCTATAGACAAAACAAAGGGGAACTTGTTTACCTCCAGGGCTGAAAGAAGCCATCTAACTTAAAGGTTAACCACACCTGGAATGCTGAGCAAGAGGCCATCTCAACATCTTTCCAAGGCTGAAACAGTCAAACCTACACTGTTTGCAGTACCTGACTTTCACCCCAGAGTTCAGAAAAATTGCCAGAAGGCGTTGAAGGACAGCTTTTATTTACTTACAGCAACCCCAGGATTGGCTAAAGATAGAAGAAAGGGATGACATGGCAGCAGTTTATTTGGAGAATTGCCTTGAACAGCATCAAGGGCTTGGGGACTAAGCATAACTTTCCATGAACGACAAACCACACTCACTTCATCTCCACACAGGAAAAACAAATGACCTCTTTCCTAGGGGAGTTCTTCTGAATTGATCTCACATAGCATTTCCATCAAGAACTTAGGAACATGACATTGATGGGACACTGAGGAAGGAAAAGCTCAGCTGAAGCCCAAGAGTTCCTGCCTCCCCTTCCAGGAAGGGTCAACAAGGACAGCTGAACCTCAAAGTGGGCTACCCCCAGTAGTGTCCCGTCAGCCCAGGGCTGGGAGCCCAGGAGTCCTGAGGGAGGCAGAGGGTATCTGGAGAACCGTGATCAGAAAAGGAGATGCACTGAGCAGAGCTGGGTCAGCATGCATGCTGCAGGGAAAGGCAGGCATCTCAGCCTCGGAGGAGTCTGTAAGCTCCCAGTACAGAAGCCAAGGAGCAGTTAACAGGGAGCCCACAAGCTCAGGCTCTGTGCTGGGCTCCGGGCCAGGGGCCACCCAGGCCAAGACTCTGATGCTAAGTGGACACAGCTTTCCACAGGGATTTGATCCCTTTTGTCCTAAACATATAAATACAACTGTCATTTTTCTACTGATGTGTTACAGTTTTAGAGATTTTTTCTTCTTAATTTCTGACTCATAAACATTAAGAAATGTGTTCTACTTCTAATATTTTCTCTTGTAATTTCTCAAACAATGACAACAGCTAATGATGACTGAGTTCTTCCTTTGTGCCCAGCACTCACCATGGATTCATCTTATGCACCCCTCCCAGCAGCCCTTCAGGGTGCTGTCACCCTTGCAGAAGAATGAGGAAGGCCACGGCCTGGGACAGGTTACGTACATAGGTCACAGAGCCAGGAAGCGGCACAGACCTGCTCTCGCCCTGCTCTGCAATACCTCTGTCCACAACCTGGTACTCAAGGATATTAGCAAGAGCTTGAGGAACTCCTCCTTCAGTGAGTCCTGCTGGGATGCGATACTGTTGTTGAAAGTGACTGTTTTCATTCTGTGAATGTAAATGCTATCACCACCATCCTCATCTCATGCACAACTTCCCAAAAGGTGGTTGTGGATTCCTGGGGGATCTATAGAACCTCCCAGGGATCAGTGAAGTTGAAACTATGCTCATTGTAGAACTAAGAGTCATTTGCCTCTCCTTCCAGGGGTCAGTGAGGTCAAAACTATGCTCATCATAGTACTAAGAGTCATTGGCCTCCTTCCCTGTGTGGCATTTGCATTGACGCTACAAAAACAATGGCAGGTAAAGCTATGGGTGCCTGAGGACTAATCAAAGCCACTGCTCCCAGCCGTACTCACTGCCACCAAATCACTCACTTCAACACACTTGCAGTGTTTGAGAAAATGCCAATGTCACTTAAAATGTCCTTCATGAAGGAATGAAAACTATGAATGTTATTAAACACTGACCTTGAGCACATGACCTTTGTAATATCCTGTGTAAGGAAATGAGAAGAACTCATGAAGCACTTCTGGTGCGCATTGAAGCCACACGATTATCTCAAGAAAAAGCACTTATGTGATTGTGCACATTGCAAGCTGAACTAGACACTTGTTTCATGGAACTACTTTACTTGAAAGAATAAGTAACCTACAAACTATAGTTGCTAATTCTTGGGGGGCTGGCAGGCATTCTCCCAGAATGAGGCTATTATGTCTATAAAAACAACTGATAGTGTTTGGGTTGAACAATAAAATTTGAGCATTCAAAAAACTTCAAATTTGCAGAGGGAGGAGCCAAGATGGCCGAATAGGAACAGCTCTGGTCTACAGCTCCCAGAGTGAGTGACACAGAAGACGGGTGATTTCTGCATTTCCATCTGAGGTACCGGGTTCATCTCACTAGGGAGTGCCAGACAGTGGGCGCAGGTCAGTGGGTGCGCGCACCGTGTGCGAGCTGAAGCAGGGCGAGGCATTGCCTCACTCGGGAAGCGCAAGGGGTCAGGGAGTTCCCTTTCCTAGTCAGAGAAAGTGGTGACAGACGGCACCTGGAAAATCGAGTCACTCCCACCCGAATACTGCGCTTTTCCAACGGGCTTAAAAAACGGCGCACCACGAGATTATATCCCGCACCTGGCTCGGAGGGTCCTACACCCACGGAGTCTTGCTGATTGCTAGCACAGCAGTCTGAGATCAAACTGCAAGGCAGCAGCGAGGCTGGGGGAGGGGCGCCCGCCATTGCCCAGGATTGCTTAGGTAAACAAAGCATCTGGGAAGCTCGAACTGGGTGGAGCCCATCACAGCTCAAGGAGGCCTGCCTGCCTCTGCAGGCTCCACCTCTGGGGACAGGGCACAGACAAACAAAAAGACAGCAGTAACCTCTGCAGACTTAAATGTCCCTGTCTGACAGCTTTGAAGAGAGCAGTGGTTCTCCCAGCACACAGCTGGAGATCTGAGGACGGGCAGACTGCCTCCTCAAGTGGGTCCCTGACCCCTGACCCCCGAGCAGCCTAACTGGGAGGCACCCCCCAGCAGGGGCAGACTGACACCTCACATGGCCAGGTACTCCAACAGACCTGCAGCTGAGGGTCCTGTCTGTTAGAAGGAAAACTAACAAACAGAAAGGACATCCACACCAAAAACCCATCTGTACATCACCATCATCAAAGACCAAAAGTAGATAAAACCACAAAGATGGGGAAAAAACAGAGCAGAAAAACTGGAAACTCTAAAAAGCAGAGCACCTCTCCTCCTCCAAAGGAACGCAGTTCCTCACCAGCAACAGAACAAAGCTGGACGGAGAATGACTTTGACGAGCTGAGAGAAGGCTTCAGATGATCAAATTACTCCAAGCTACAGGAGGAAATTCAAACCAAAGGCAAAGAAGTTGAAAACTTTGAAAAAAATTTAGAAGAATGTATAACTAGAATAACCAATACAGAGAAGTGCTTAAAGGAGCTGATGGAGCTGAAAAACAAGGCTCGAGAACTATGTGAAGAATGCAGAAGCCTCAGGAGCCGATGCGATCAACTGGAAGAAAGGGTATCAGCAATGGAAGATGAAATGAAGGAAATAAAGTGAGAAGGGAAGTTTAGAGAAAAAAGAATAAAAAGAAACAAGCAAAGCCTCCAAGAAATATGCGACTATGTGAAAAGACCAAATCTACATCTGATTGGTATACCTGAAAGTGATGGGGAGAATGGAACCAAGTTGGAAAACACTCTGCAGGATATTATCCAGGAGAACTTCCCCAATCTAGCAAGGCAGGCCAACATTCAGATTCAGGAAATACAGAGAATGCCACAAAGATACTCCTCAAGAAGAGCAACTCCAAGACACATAATTGTCAGATTCACCAAAGTTGAAATGAAGGAAAAAATGTTAAGCACAGCCAGAGAGAAAGGTCGGGTTACCCTCAAAGGGAAGCCCATCAGACTAACAGCAGATCTCTCGGCAGAAACTCTACAAGCCAGAAGAGAGTGGGGGCCAATATTCAACATTCTTAAAGAAAAGAATTTTCAACCCAGAATTTCATATCCAGCCAAACTAAGCTTCATAAGTGAAGGAGAAATAAAATACTTTACAGACAAGCAAATGCTGAGAGATTTTGTCACCACCAGGCCTGCCCTAAAAGAGCTCCTGAAGGAAGCACTAAACATGGAAAGGAACAACCGGTACCAGCCGCTGCAAAATCATGCCAAAATGTAAAGACCATCGAGACTAGGAAGAAACTGCATCAACTAACGAGCAAAATAACCAGCTAACATCATCATGACAGGATCAAATTCACACATAACAATATTAACTTTAAATATAAATGGACTAAATGCTCCAATTAAAAGACACAGACTGGCAAATTGGATAAAGAGTCAAGACCCATCAGTGTGCTGTATTCAGGAAACCCATCTCACGTGCAGAGACACACATAGGCTCAAAACAAAAGGATGGAGGAAGATCTACCAAGCAAATGGAAAACGAAAAAAGGCAGGGGTTGCAATCCTAGTCTCTGATAAAACAGACTTTAAACCAACAAAGATCAAAAGAGACAAAGAAGGCCATTACATAATGGTAAAGGGATCAATTCAACAAGAAGAGCTAACTATCCTAAATATATATGCACCTAATACAGGAGCACCCAGATTCATAAAGCAAGTCCTGAGTGACCTACAAAGAGACTTAGACTCCCATACATTAATAATGGGAGACTTTAACACCCCACTGTCAACATTAGACAGATCAATGAGACAGAAAGTCAACAAGGATACCCAGGAATTGAACTCAGCTCTGGACTGAGCGGACCTAATAGACATCTACAGAACTCTCCACCCCAAATCAACAGAATATACATTTTTTTCAGCACCACACCACACCTATTTCAAAATTGACCACATACTTGGAAGTAAAGCTCTCCTCAGCAAATGTAAAAGAACAGAAATTATAACAAATTATCTCTCAGACCACAGTGCAATCAAACTAAAACTCAGGATTAAGAATCTCACTCAAAACCGCTCAACTACATGGAAACTGAACAACCTGCTCCTGAATGACTACTGGGTACATAACGAAATGAAGGCAGAAATAAAGATGTTCTTTGAAACCAATGAGAACAAAGACACAACATACCAGAATCTCTGGGACGCATTCAAAGCAGTGTGTAGAGGGAAATTTATAGCACTAAATGCCCACAAGAGAAAGCAGGAAAGATCCAAAATTGACACCCTAACATCACAATTAAAAGAACTAGAAAAGCAAGAGCAAACACATTCAAAAGCTAGAAGAAGGCAAGAAATAACTAAAATCAGAGCAGAACTGAAGGAAATAGAGACACAAAAAACCCTTCAAAAAATTAACGAATCCAGGGGCTGGTTTTTTGAAAGGATCAACAAAATTGATAGACCACTAGCAAGACTAATAAAGAAAAAAAGAGAGAAGAATCAAATAGACGCAATAAAAAATGATAAAGGGGATATCACCACCAATCCTACAGAAATACAAACTACCATCAGAGAATACTACAAACAACTCTACGCAAATAAACTAGAAAATCTAGAAGAAATGGATAAATTCCTCGACACATACACTCTCCCAAGACTAAACCAGGAAGAAGTTGAATCTCTGAATAGACCAATAACAGAAGCTGAAATTGTGGCAATAATCAATAGCTTACCAACCAAAAAGAGTCCAGGACCAGACGGATTCATAGCCGAATTCTACCAGAGGTACAAGGAGGAACTGGTACCATTCCTTCTGAAACTATTTCAATCAATAGAAAAAGAGGGAATCCTCCGTAACTCATTTTATGAAGCCAGCATCATCCTGATACCAAAGCCGGGCAGAGACACAACCAAAAAAGAGAATTTTAGACCAATATCCTTGATGAACATTGATGCAAAAATCCTCAATAAAATACTGGCAAAACGAATCCAGCAGCACATCAAAAAGCTTATCCACCATGATCAAGTGGGCTTCATCCCTGGGATGCAAGGCTGGTTCAATATACGCAAATCAATAAATGTAATCCAGCATATAAACAGAACCAAAGACAAAAACCACATGATTATCTCAATAGATGCAGAAAAGGCCTTTGACAAAATTCAACAACCCTTCATGCTAAAAACTCTCAATAAATTAGGTATTGATGGGACGTATTTCAAAATAATAAGAGCTATCTATGACAAACCCACAGCCAATATCATACTGAATGGGCAAAAACTGGGAGCATTCCCTTTGAAAACTGGCACAAGACAGGGATGCCCTCTCTCACTACTCCTATTCAACACAGTGTTGGAAGTTCTGGCCAGGGCAATTAGGCGGGAGAAGGAAATAAAGGGTATTCAGTTAGGAAAAGAAGAATTTAAGTTGTCCCTGTTTGCAGACGACATGATTGTATATCTAGAAAACCCCATTGTCTCAGCCCAAAATCTCCTTAAGCTGATAAGCAACTTCAGCAAAGTCTCAGGATACAAAATCAATGTACAAAAATCACAAGTATTCTTATACACCAACAACAGACAAACAGAGAGCCAAATCATCAGTGAACTCCCATTCACAATTGCTTCAAAGAGAATAAAATACCTAGGAATCCAACTTACAAGGGATGTGAAGGACCTCTTCAAGGAGAACTACAAACCACTGCTCAATGAAATAAAAGAGGATACAAACAAATGGAAGAACATTCCATGCTCCTGGGTAGGAAGAATCAATATCGTGAAAATGGCCATACTGCCCAAGGTAATTTATAGATTCAATGCCATCCCCATCAAGCTACCAATGACTTTCTTCACGGAATTGGAAAAAACTACTTTAAAGTTCATATGGAACCAAAAAAGAGCCCGCATCGCCACGTCAATCCTAAGCCAAAAGAACAAAGCTGGAGGCATCACGCTACCTGACTTCAAACTATACTACAAGGCTACAGTAACCAAAACAGCATGGTACTGGTACCAAAACAGAGATATAGATCAATGGAACAGAACAGAGCCCTCAGAAATAACGCCGCATATCTACAACTATCTGATCTTTGACAAACCTGAGAAAAACAAGCAATGGGGAAAGGATTCCCTATTTAATAAATGGTGCTGGGAAAACTGGCTAGTCATATGTAGAAAGCTGAAACTGGATCCCTTCCTCACACCTTATACAAAAATCAATTCAAGATGGATTAAAGACTTAAACATTAGACCTAAAACCATAAAAACCCTAGAAGAAAACCTAGGCATTACCATTCAGGACATAGGCATGGGCAAGGACTTCATGTCTAAAACACCAAAAGCAATGGCAACAAAAGACAAAATTGACAAATGGGATCTAATTAAACTAAAGAGCCTTCTGCACAGCAAAAGAAACTATCATCAGAGTGAACAGGCAACCTACAAAATGGGAGAAAATTTTCGCAACCTCCTCATCTGACAAAGGGCTAATATCCAGAATCTACAATGAACTCAAAACAAATTTACAAGAAAAAAACAAACAACCCCATCAAAAAGTGGGCGAAGGACATAAACAGACACTTCTCAAAAGAAGACATTTATGCAGCCAAAAAACACATGAAAAAATGCTCACCATCACTGGCCATCAGAGAAATGCAAATCAAAACCATAATGAGATACCATCTCACACCAGTTAGAATGGCAATCATTAAAAAGTCAGAAAACAACAGGTGCTGGACAGGATGTGGAGAAATAGGAACACTTTTACACTGTTGGTGGGACTGCAAACTAGTTCAACCATTGTGGAAGTCAGTGTGGCGATTCCTCAGGGATCTAGAACTAGAAATACCATTTGACCCAGCCATCCCATTACTGGGTATATACCCAAAGGACTATAAATCATGCTGCTATAAAGACACATGCACACGTATGTTTATTGAGGCATTATTCACAATAGCAAAGACTTGGAACCAACCCAAATGTCCAAAGTGATAGACTGGATTAAGAAAATGTGGCACATATACACCATGCAACACTATGCAGCCATAAAAAAGGATGAGTTCATGTCCTTTGTAGGGACATGGATGAAATTGGAAATCATCATTCTCAGTAAACTATCACAAGAACAAAAAACCAAACACCACATATTCTCACTCATAGGTGGGAATTGAGCAATGAGAACACATGGACACAGGAAGGGGAACATCATACTCTGGGGACTGTTGTGGGGTGGGGGGAGCGGGGAGGGATAGCATTGGGAGATATACCTAATGCTAGATGACGAGTTAATGGGTGCAGCGCACCAGCATGGCACATGTATACATATGTAACTAACCTGCACATTGTGCACATGTACCCTAAAACTTAAAGTATAATAATAATAAATAAATTTAAAAATAATAATAAAAAACTTCAAATTTGCAAAACATGCACATGTGTTTGACAGTGTCACAATACTAAAAGTCTTTTCTAAAGATGTTGATGAAAATATTAATGCATGTGATTTTTTAAGTATTGTATAATTAAATGTGTCATACATTTGCATAACTCATTGAACATTTGCATAACTCAATGAACCAATATTTTCCAAATGACCAATGCATCATGTTGTAAAATGCTGCATGGGTAAAAATGCATTCAAAGTACAGAATATAACAATAGATTTTAATGTAACAGGGAATAAAAAGTTCATTGATATGGGTTCTGATTCCACATTGTAACTAACCTTTAAGAAACTATCACTTGTCAAGTTTTGGTGTAGTACCAAAGAATATCCACAATTATCAACAAAGTCTATTCAAATATTCCTCTCTTTTTCAAGTACATATTTATGTGAGATTTTTATACATCACAAGCAAAAATAGAAAGACTGCATTAAAAACATGCTTCAAGCCCCCTTGCCCATGACCTGGCCTCTGCCCCCACACCCACCACCTTTCTGCACAGCCTCTTGTCTCTGAGGAGCACAGCAGCCTAGACGCAGTGACCTGGTCTACACCTTGCTGCATCTGTGTCTGAACCTGGCATAGAATGTGGCGTGCCTGATAGACACTGGATGCCTGCTATTTGGAATTCATTTAAAACATTTCTATTGTAACAGAGAAATGACTGAACATTTTTAAATTACAGTATTGATATTAGCAAAGAGACACTTCCATTTCCCCTCCATTCATACAAAAGCACTGGAGAGGAATAATTTCCAGTGGTGTTTCTGGCTCAGAATTGTAAGATCCCACAGACTCAGTCCATTCTGCTGATGGACAGCAGGACAGGGAGCCAGGCCATCTGGCACAGGCGCATTTGTCAGCTGCAGGTGCACAGAGTATGTGACACACATTTGGACAGCAGTGACAAAGTCATGTGGCAAGAATGCTGCACAGGCTTCCGATGCAGAAGGCGGCACTGAAGGATGTTTAGGAGCATTTTCGTCCATCCCAAGTATACAGACGGCTTGTCAAGTTCATATGCAATCTGTGCCTACAATATTTACCAATTTGTGAAATGTATTCTTAAGTGTAAATCAAGGTGTAAATTTGCGTTTGGGTATACTACAACTTTTTTTAAGGCCTGTCTTTTACTTTTCATTCTATTTACAAACAGCAAATGCGAGTTTGTATTTATGGACCTCTTTTTTGCAACGCCGTGGATACCCCTCCTTCAAAGATCAATAAAGACAAATCCTGAAGATGAACAAACGAGAAACAAATGCCTTGCCTTGAACGGAAATTATACGACCTTATGGATGGAATCTCCATGTACTCTGAACGGCGAATCTCAGTTCTGAGTTAAAACTCCCAGATGCTTCTCACATTGGCTTTGTCTTGGGGAAAAGCTGCCAGGTTCCCTGAAGATATGAAGAAAAAAGGCCCCTGAACAATCTCATTTGTCAATTCAAAGTGTCTGTGGACTTTCAAGTCCCTTTCCTCTTCACGTTTGATTTTCTTTCCTTAAATTGCTCATCGGAGAAGACACATTTTTCTCCAAAATATGGCTGTCAATTTAGGGTAACCAAGTAATAAATTCCCCTAAAAGTACCCTCACAGAGTGTGGTGTAAGCAGCCAATAAGGATTTCTCATTAAGCCTTCCCAGAAATGAAAATTTGAAATGTTACTTTTTGTGTCCAAAATTTATATTTACAACCAGGTCTATGTTACCACAACCTAAACTCCAGCTTGTTTGGTACCTTGCAGAAACATCGTAAATTGACTATATATATAATTATAATTTGAAATAATTCATATATCTTAAAAGTTACAGAGAGGATCTCTGTAACTCATGGGGAAAACCAAGTAAATACAAATAAAATACTTTCCTTTTGTGACTACAATGGCTTGTGCATTATGTGGTCATATTTTAATAAACACCTGCCAACCTGAGGCCAACAGAAGTAGGACAAGGGGCCACTCGTGGAGAACAGAAATGGAATCTGAAGCCCCAGACACCAGGGGCTGGATGCACAGCTCAGAGAAGACCATCCGGCTGAACTAGCAGGGACTGTTTCTGTTTTCTCCAGGGCCTATTCCTGCTGCTTAGGCGTTACAAGGCAGGCATCAAGTTCTATGAACTACTTTAATGTCCTCTAACCCCACGGGAGATACCTACACTGACACTTTTAATTAAGAGTTTGCTCACAGCAAAATCCCATCACTGTTCTTTGTCTATGTCATAGCAGATGTCCCAAAGTAAGAATTTTGTCTATCTGCTTAAAACCAATTTTCTGTAACAGATAATATTGTGGATAACTGGTGAATTAAAAAAAAAATGAACTAATAAATGAATGGCCAAAGGCTACTGAGGAATTGGGTGCTCCCTGAACACCGAGCTTCATCTCATCTCCTTTCCTTTTCACTGTCAAGGTCAAAAATAAGTTTGAATATACCAGAGGGACACAGAATGCCCTGTGGCGGTGTGTCATGAGAGTACTGCCTGGATCCTGCACCCTGCCCACAGGGTGGCTTAGAGGAGAAGACATTCTGCCGGCGGGAGGGGAGGAAGAGTGCTGGCCCAGCCTTGGCATGGCACCCAGGCCACTGCAAACAACACAGTGCTGGAGAGGTGTGAGGGTCATCAGGCCCCCGGGGAAGCTGGGAAGCAAATCCAAGTCCACTGGGGAGAGGGAAAGAGGATGAGAATTTGAGTCCTCAGCCTAGCAACCAGGAGGAAAGTAGGGAAGCTTCCAAGATGGAAGGCAAGGCGGTGAAAACTGACCTGCATCCGCTGATCTTTGTTCACTTGCTACTTCTCCAGGCTAGACTGGAACCATTTCATTTCCTTCTTCAGGACCCTAGTTGTGATTTCTAAAATTGTCGTGAATACAACAAAACTGCTTCCATGGAGCCCACCACACGAAAAGGCGATTGGTCCATCCGTGACTGTCTCTTATAAAACGCTAATGCAATACCGTGTGTTTGATTAATGAAGAGTGGAGCCCACCACACGAAAAGGCGATTGGTTCATCCATGACTGCCTCTTATAAAATGCCAATGCAATACCTTGTGTTTTATTCATGAAGAGCACTGCCCAGAGCATCTTTTCTGTTTTTAAGTGAAAATCTTTCTCCTATTATTTGAGTCCAAATGAATCTCCTATGTATAGAGGGATACAAGCTTTCTACTTCTAGAACCACAAAATTTTCTTTTTTTTTGAGACAGAGTCTCACTCTGTGGCCCAGGCTGGAGTGCAGTGGCGCGATCTCGGCTCCTGCAAGCTCTGCCTCGCGGGTTCACGCCATTCTCCTGCCTCAGCCTCCCGAGTAGCTGGGACTACAGGTGCCCACCACCACGCCTGGCTCATTTTTTTTATATTTTTAGTAGAGACGGGGTTTCGCCATGTTAGCCAGGATGGTCTCGATCTCCTGACCTCGTGATCTGTCCTCCTTGGCCTCCCAAAGTGCTAGGATTACAGGCATGAACCACCGCGCCCGGCCTAGAACCAAATAATTTTCTAAAAGTTTCATTGCTTAATATTTCACCACGACACCACTTAGCATTACTAATGACCTTAGACTTCACTTTTGAGACTCCAATGTTGATTGCTATTGACCTTGTCTCTTAGAGAAGCAATAAAAGACTTAGCTGTGGTGATGGAGTAGTATCAACATAATAAAGAGAAAAAACAGTAAAGATACTGGGCAGGCGATTAATTTTAAAAATCAATTAATGAATCAATGCCATTGTCATTTTGTTGCAAAAATCCTGAGTCAGAGATAATGCTGGATCCTGGTTTTATTGGCATTTCTGGCAATGTTAATTAAATGAAAACCCTCCACTGATTGAGAAAGCACACAAGGAGAGGAAATGATTGTTATGGATCTGTGGATGCATTTCACTTCAGTAAGATGCTGAAATGGTGTTTTCATCAGTAGCTGCAGGCGATGGAAAATGGCTGACGTTCTGAGCTTAGCATGTCTTAAGCATGTCAAATCACTTAAATATTATTTATGTCAATTGATATAAACCACCACTTTGATCATTTAAAGAGGCTGCACTGTTTTATCACTTGTCTAATAGCTAGTAGCAAATCAACTACTCACTTTTTTCACCTGCTCTCATCTGGGGCATTCTGGGTAAACACTGGCAGAAGGCGCACAGTTTCTCAGCTTCTGTAGAGCACCTGAAGCACGAGAGCCTCCTTGGGAAGACCTATCTCCTTCAAGACCCTTCGTCAGTCTGGTGGATTTCAATCCTCAATGAATTTCTAAGCACACTATGATTTGAGGTACAGTCATAAAGACAAGAAGACTAAAAAGCAAAATAGACATGACTCTCTTTTTGTTGTAAGAAAATAAGCATGCAACAGCACACAACGTTAATCAATCATAGATAACTCCTGTTCTATAACCACTGTTATGAAGTTACCCACTATGTTCTATTTTCTTATGTTCTTGTCATTATGATTCCACCCAAAGTCAAAAATTTCCTAGTTTTCAAAAACATGAAACACCAAAGCCTAAAAGCCACAAGAGGATCAAATCTCTCTTTCTTTAACCCTAGAATGCCCAGGCTTAGTTAGTTAAGAAATTCTGAGCAATCAGTACCCCTGGACAGGAAAGAAGGAGACATATAAGCAGATGTGCTCCACACATAAAGGGAGCATTTAGTAGGAAAAAATTAACCATCCAATGGAGAGTTGTTGAAAACTTGAATGCAAACACAAAATAACTTGGGGGATAATTGGAAAAAGGCAAAGTATTTGAAAATGACATGATTATAATAGTATGCTTCCTGAAGGATGAGAGCATTAACAGATGACCAGAATGAGTAATTGTTTCTTGAGACAGGTGACTCACAGAACAATTAGAGGCATGGCATTAGAAAAAGAGTGAAAGATCAAGTCATAAATATAAATAAATACAGTATAAAGTTGAGCAATGATGAGAATTGGTACTATTTACTGTAAGGCATTTCTTCAAGAGAAGCACAGGAGCCAGTCCTCAGTTCAAAGGAAGTCTGGAAATAGGGCAGGAAAAAGGCCTCTGGATGCCACGTGGAGTTTTGTGTGGTGCTTGGCAGTTTTTCACTCTTGTTTCTCCAATGGGCTAAAACATAAATGTTTCAAAGGTAGACAAAACCCACTATTTTTCCATCACATTGAAAACATTTGGCCAGGCAGAGTGGCTCACGTCTGTAATCCCAGCACTTTGGGAGGCTGAGGTGGGTGGATCACTTGAGGTCAGGAGTTCAAGATCAGCCTGGCCAACATGGTGAAATCCTTCTCTACTAAAAATACAAAAAAAAAAATTAGCTGGGTATGGCGGCACACGTGCCATGCCTGTAATCCCAGCTACTCAGTTAGCTGAAGCATGAGATCTTTTGAACGTGGGAGGCGGAGCTTGCAGGTGACAGAGGGAGACCCTGTCTCAGAAAAAGAAAGAGAGAGAGAGGGAGGGAGGGTTGGGGGGAGAGAGGGAGGGTTGGGGAAGGGAGGGAAGGCAGGAAGGGAGGAAGGGAGGGAAGGAAGGGAGGAAGAAAGGGAAACGGAAGAAAGGAAGAAAAACATTTAACAAAGGACGTTAACAGGCTGTGAATGTTGCCTCCAACATGCATTTAAAAGGACTTTGCTTTGATAGGATCACGCATAACATTGTCCTGAAACTTACAAAGTGCACCCAGATAGACCATGTCACAAATCAATGACTACAAATACTAAAAATCTTATGTTAGGTACTTTTTTTTTAACTAATAGCACATTTATTGTTGATCAAAATTATACTTGATTTCTGAAGCCTTTGGGGGGAAAAAATGTCACAATTATCTTCTTATACACGTTGCACCTGGAACTTGTCACTACGGCATCCTGTCGTGCTGCTTGGCTGTCAGAAGTGACTGATATGTTCATATTATAATCTATGGTGCAAAAACATAAAATGAAAACAGCAAACTACACACCCGGTGTATTCTGAATGCTCTTTGTGGGTGTTATATTTCAGAAAGTTACTATCTGTCCAATACAGGATGGAAGTAGGATAGTTCAACATTTAGATTCATGATTTAAGATTGTAGTTTACATTTTAAAATCTGTTAGTGGATAATTATTCAATCTGTTTACTTTTCTTCTCTTAAATCTATTTGTCACTATCGTCAAAAAAATAGCCAGTGAGAAATCAAATTGAATATTTGTTCAGAAGAAAAAATAAAACTTCCTTTTTAAATTCTGATTTGTGATCAAATATTCAGAGCAGATGACATCCAGGAAGCAACACTTGCAACATAGATCTGGAAAAATTCCTTGTAAGTACATGATGCCTGTTGTTTTGTTGTTGCTGTTTTTAAAGTGAATGGCAGCTCTGCTCAAAAACATTTAAATCTATTTCAAATATATAAAACCAATATTCTGAAGTATACTGAGAAAAAAACCTAAAATGTTGAAAATATCCTCAATACTGATTCCTAGTATTTCTTAAGATAGAATTTTCTATTATTTGACAAGTTTCAACCTTCTTAATACTCTACACAAAAAGTAAATTTAAAATGGAAAACAGTCCTGAAGAACATGCACAAAAGTGAGAACAGACTCTGAGCAGAGGAATTCAGGGTTTTCACTTTCTCATTTTTTTCTTATCTGCATTTTCTAATAAGTCTACAACCAACATAAATTGTTTATAGTTTAACAAAGTATTCTTAATTTTAAAACTAGTGTGAGGTATCAAAGGAGAAAATTTCATTTAAAAATATAGTTAATGTCGACTGTAAGTAAGGCATTGTGCATGCCCGATGCTGAGAAAAGGGCAAATGTGAGTAAAATCTCATTCCTTCTTTCAAAGACTTTAGACCTCCATTGGAGTCATGATTATATTAGAGAATACCAGTAACAACAGTAGACAGCATTTATCCCCAGACCACTGAGTAAGGAAAAGGCACTTTTAAATACTTCTAATCTTTACACTCATTTCACAAGTTGGAAATTATCTCATTTTTACAGATAAGGAAACCGAGGCTCAGAGAAATGAAACTATTTGCGCACAGTTTGCATGCGGCCCAATTTGCATTCTTTTCATTACATTATGTTTGGTAAAATATTCCCTTTAAAAGAGTAACCTGTGTGCCAAACAAGTGATAAATGCTCCAAAGAATTACTTGACATTCAAACCAGATATTATTTTCCTTCAGGGACATCACTATGAATACACATTAGTTTTCCCAGTCACGTGCACTTAGGTTGGCTGCAGAGAGTTCCAGAGGATGGAATGCCACATAACAAATGGATTACACTGATTTCAACAAGGGAGTTAAGAGTGGGGAAAACCAAGTGTCTAATTTCAAGCTGAGGAACAAAAACTTTCATTATCTAACTCAAGAACAAATAATATAAACACCATTTTAAACATAGATATGTTATACTTTTCAGGAACTTTCCAATCCATTGCCTCGTTGATTCTTGAAAAGTAAGTAAACCTATAAACATGTAAAATGCTTGTTGATTGATTCAATCGAGTTACTTAACAAAGGACACCTAGCAAGTTAGTGGAAAAGCTAAAACAGGAATTTAGCGCTCCTCCAGCCACAAGGCTGCCTGCACATCCACACGAGAGGCTCCGTGCACAGGCGGGACACACCCGCACCGGAGGCTCCGTGCACAGGCGGGACACACCCGCACCGGAGGCTCCGTGCACAGGCGGGACACACCCGCACCGGAGGCTCCGTGCACAGGCGGGACACACCCGCACCGGAGGCTCCGTGCACAGGCGGGACACACCCGCACCGGAGGCTCCGTGCACAGGCGGGACACACCCGCACCGGAGGCTCCGTGCACAGGCGGGACACACCCGCACCGGAGGCTCCGTGCACAGGCGGGACACACCCGCACCGGAGGCTCCGTGCACAGGCGGGACACACCCGCACCGGAGGCTCCGTGCACAGGCGGGACACACCCGCACCGGAGGCTCCGTGCACAGGCGGGACACACGCACACCGGAGGCTCCGTGCACAGGCGGGACACATCTGCACGAGAGGTTCACTGCACGTGGAGGGCGGGGGCGGGAAACATCCACATCAGAGGTTCCGTGCACAGGCGGGACACACCCACACGAGAGGCCCTGTGCACAAGCGGGACACATCTGCATGGGAGGCTCAGTGCTCGGTGGGACACATCCACACCAGAGGCTCTGTGCATAGGCAAGACGCAGCTCACACGTGTTCCCCTCCCCCATAATATGGTCAGGAATATTTTTGCAAGTCAGCTATTTCTAACAATAAGAATAAAAGTAGTAACGCTAAGCAGACTTTACACATATTCTCTCCTGGAGGTTGATTTTGTTATAAACAATTGGACAGACAAACTTTGAATACAGGAGGAAACTGAGGCAATCAGGTTTTAAGGAGTGTTCCCGAAGCCACACATCCGGCAGGTACTGAAGCAGCCAAGGCCAGGCAGAGCTGATTCAAGTCCCCAGGGTGTGCAGACGCTGGCTTCAGTTAGGTTAACCTCCCCAAGTGTCATCACTCAGGGCTCACGTCCTTTGCGGAGTGCTGAGGTGTCTAGGAAAACTAAAGACTAAATAAATGAAACTTGACACATTCAGACAAAAATCACTGTCATCACTTAGTCATCTACCAACTCAGGATGAGAACTCAGTCCTGCTGAGGACAGAGCTATTGCTGACGGCAGGGAGAGCAGCGCTTCTAGGGGGAAGCACCTTCCGCTGCCAGGTGTGGTTCCCGGCCCAGCTACACATCCGCTTTCCCAAGGGCTGTGAGCCCCCCACTCCCTTGCTCTCGCCAGGCAAGCACATCCATCCTTAGCTTCATGGCTGGCGTCTGAAGGTGCAGCTTTTATGACTGCCTGGAAAACCTAAGTGAGTGACTACAGGTGTAGCTGCCAGATAATTCAAACGCGTTTTCCAGGTTTTCCAGGCAATCATAAAAGCTGCACCTTCAGATGCCAGCCACACGCTGCCCTAGGGCGCTTTTTACTCCTGGTTCTTATTTGCCTTTCCTGAGGATCCATCCACCCATGTGAAAGGCCGTGATTATGCTTCTTTTCCTCCAAGTTTGTTTTCTAACTCTGGAAAATAGAGCTAGGGTGTATGACAGAGGCATAAAAGTTACATTCCTAAAAAGCACCTGAGAAGATTTGGGGATCCGTGGATTCTCTTGTTAGGTCTGTCTTCAGAATAGAAAACGCAAAACTACAGCATTTGTTGTTGATACAAACCTTTCTTTCAACGTCTTCACAAAGCCTTGCATCTTCTTTATCCTAGTATGAAAAAACAAATATAGGAATCAACTATCGCAAGAAGGATGTTGTAAAATAAATCCTTAATCTCCCCCACCTCTACTCTGCCTCTCAGGGAGGTCAAATTCTTTCTCATAAACATCATTCAGGAGCTTGGCGTAAAGCCTCAAGCCTCATCCTCACTACTGACTCACTGCTCTGTTCCTCCTACTTCCTTCCATTTTGTTTCCCATTCTAAATTCTTTGTTTTTATGTACATCTTTTTGATCATTCTTATGCAAAAGGCGCATGTCATACCTGTATTCTCTGTTACACTTTGATTTTTTTTCACTTAATATAACATCTTGGAGCTCCCATCCTTCTGTTATATGAGTCTATCTAATTATTTTCACAGCTGTATTGTATTCCATTCTATTGGTAAAACATAAGTTAATCAACCAACCCTGTGGATGAACACTGCATTTGTTTCTATTAATAGTCATTAATATATTGTAATATATTAATATTTGTTATATTAATATAACTGCATAGGATGCTCTTGGAGGAAGAGAAAATCATCACCCCAAAATCAGAGTCAATCTCCCTCTCTCTCTTCCTGTCCCTCTCTCTCTTTATTGAATCTTAATATAACAAATATTAATAGTTGTTAATTAATATATTTGTAAAATATTCCTGGCTATCATAATAATGGTTTAAAAAAGTGCAGAAGATATTCCTAGCTATGATAATGGTTTAAAAAAAGTGCAGATTTAAT
The DNA here is from genome assembly GCF_000001405.40 of Homo sapiens. Taxonomy (NCBI): domain Eukaryota; kingdom Metazoa; phylum Chordata; class Mammalia; order Primates; family Hominidae; genus Homo; species Homo sapiens. The sequence continues at coordinate 3,784,325 of NC_000002.12, read as the reverse complement.
TTTAATAGAAAGAGCAAAAACTCTTTTCCAAAGGGCTGCATTGATTTATACATGACCCTAATAAGAAGTATTGCTACTTTTCTGCATCCATATTAACATAAAAATATAGCATTCAATTATCTGCAAGAGGAATGTTGTAAAACAAATCCCTAATCTGGATTTATTAAGCACTGGACATTGTCAATCTGATTTAACAACAAAAAAACCTCATTTTTATTATTTGCATTTCTTTAATTAGGAATGATATGGACATATTTCCTTATGTCTTTTGGAAATTTGTATTCTTCTTTGTGAATTTCCTGTTTGTCTTATTTGCCTTTCTTTTTATTGGGCTTTGTGTTAATGATTTATGAGACTTGTGTAAATCAAGAAAATTTGATTTGTATTGCAAATATTTTCTTCCTTATTTTGTTTAGCTTTTAACTTTATGAAATTTTCCAAAGAGAAAAGTTTGATTTTCATGTAGATAAACACTAAGGCTTTGGAGATAATTACTTCTTCTGATTTAGCCTTTTGAGACTCACTGAATATCCACCTTCATCTTTAGTCCCCTCTACTGGGGCCACGCTCAGCTCCTGCTTGGCCACACTCCGGCCTCAGGCCAGAGGCCTTGCGATGCCCCACGCTACCTCCACTGCCACACACTGGTCACCTAATATCTTCCAGAGTCTCTATCAAGCTCAAGATCAGTTACTCCTGTGTGCAAGGTGATATGAAAGGCACTAACGATGACACCAAAATGAATTAAGTCGAGACTCTTCCTTCAGAAAATGTAAGTCACTCAGAAGAGACAGTAGACGTACACAAACAGCTCTAATTAAAGCCAAACTGTGCTTTGGACGGCGTAGGAAGGACAAACAAAATACTAGTGGAGGTTAGTGGAGGAAGAGATGCTCCCTGGGGAAGAAGGATCCAGAGAGCCGTAAGGACGAGGCTGGCTCTGCAGTGAGCCCTGGAAGTGGGTGAGAGCTGGAAAGGCAGAGGTGCAGCAGGCATCAGGCACAGCTCCGGATAGGCCAGAACATGCACAGGATGCTCTTGGAGGAAGAGAAAATCATAACCCCAAATCAGAGTCCATCTCCCACTCCCTCTTCCTGTCCCTCTCTCTCTTTATTGAATACACAAAATTACCCATGAAATTTTTATACAGCTTTTTCAAAAGTATGAAACACCTAAATACTATTTGAAAGGTCGATAACTGAGAATCAGAGAAAAACCTGAGTCACACAATACCCGACCACTCCTATGCATAACCCTTCTCTAAAGCATCCCTCCAGAGCTGGCTACAGACCGCACGGAGATACTTCCAAGGATAGGAAGCTCGTGTCATCCTTGGAGAGAGCCCTGAGCACGTGGCCTGTGGATACATTTTTTGGCATTGCCATTCATACTTTCCATCTTGCTTTGGAAAGGGATTGAACCTTTTCAAAACCATTACGCATTGCTTTACAAACTTTGCAGGTAGCGTAAATTAAACAGTGCTGCTTGCACATAAGATGTTTTAGAACCAATGAGTCCAAACAAATCAAGCACTAAGAACTGGAGAAGGCCAGGTGCGGTGGCTCACGCCTGTAATCCCAGCACTTTGGGAGGCCAACGTGGGTGGATCATGAGGTCAGGAGATTGAGAACCAACCTGGCTATCACAGTGAAACCCCGTCTCTACTAAAAACACAAAAAATTGGCCAGGTGTGGTGGCAGGTGCCTGTAGTCCCAGCTACTCGGGAGGCTGAGGCAGGAGAATGGTGTGAACCCAGGAGGCGGAGCTTGCAGTGAGCCGAGATAGCACCACTGCACTCCAGCCTGGGCAACAGAGCAAGACTTCGTCTCGAAAAAAAAAAAAAAGAACTGAAGAAAATCCCAGTGTTCCAATGTTAATAACATTCCATCTTTAAGGATGAAAAATGTTATTACAGTGCCCAATATCGTCAGAATTGTAGTGATTGTATAATTAACATGTTTAAAATATTCTGAGGATGAGGAAGTGTCATCCAAAAGCACAGTTCTATTTTTGCTTTTGATTTTGATTGCTCCCACTTCTATGCTATTGACATACATAATTATAAAATGAATGCACCCTGAGCTGTGGCGTGAGGAGGATCCCATCATAATACTTGCATCTGAACAGCTCCTTCAGGCCGGGATTGTTTTAAGTGCTTCAAATGACAACACAGTTGGAGCTAGGCAAAGCAAGGAACGGGGAGTTAGCGCAGGACAGGGAGGTGGCACAGAGTTTCGGTGTGAGGGGACGAAAAGGTGTTGGAACCAGACCATAGCCGTGACTGTGCAACACGGAGAACGTGATTAATGCCGCTGAACTGCACGTTGAAAATGGTTAAATGGCAAATTGTATTTATATGTTACCACAAAAATAATTTGTATTCTACCACAAAAATAACGTTTGTGATCAAGCATCAGAAATCTTTTCTATATATAGTAGTAATTGTTGTTGTTTTTCTTTCCAGACAGAGTCTCTCTCTGTCACCCAGGCTGGAGTGGCACAACTGTAACTCACTGCAGCCTCAACCTCCTGGGCCCAAGCAATCCTCTCACCTCAGCCTCCCAGGGAGCTGGGACTACAGGTGCACACCACTGCACCTGGCTACCTTTTTTTATTTCACTAATTTTTTGTAGAAACAGGGTCTCACTATGTTTCTCAGGCTGTTCTCAAACTCCTGGCTTCAAGCAATCCTCCTGCATTAGCCGCCCAAATTGCCAGGATTACAGGCATGAGCCACTGTGCCTGAACAATACATATTTATAAATAAAGTTTATAATATGTCTTCTTACAACTTTGCAAGGTAATTAGCATTTTACTCCAGGATTACATATTTAAGTAACTTCATCATAGGCAACTGAAAGCAAATCTGCAGATATTTATTAAACACCTACTGTATATAAGACACTGAATGATACATAAGTTGACAGGACACAATCCCGGTCTTTGAGGAGGTCAAGCCGGCAATCATATGCCTAAAATTTTTAATATCATCAATATCAAATAAATGTCATATGATTAATTTGTCAAATGAATGTACAAATGAAATGCCAAGTGAACTACAGTTCATTGAGAGCAGGGTTAGCTCACCGTGGCCTATTGGCCAGGAAGGGCTAATTGAGTCCTGCTTCTTTTTCATTGTTATTACAGCTAGTATAATGCATATAAAACGCTTGCTCTTCTTGAGCCCTCAAAAACGTGGGCCAAATTTTAGGGCCAATTACCTTCAACCCCATGAGTTGCTTCACATCAACAAAGGTTTGTTTCAGTCATGTTAGAAGCAAAGACTGAGCTGTTAGAACTGAAACACTTGAGCCACCCTGCACCCCTTGAAGCAGTAGGTGGCGCCAGCGAAGCAACGGTATCTACGAGGGACACAGTGTGAAGCCTGATACAGGAAATACCTCTTCCGGAAAGTTATATATAAATAACCAGCAAGGTTCACTGGAAGAAGAAAACACAGCCTTTGGAATCGCTCAAAACGAGCTTCAAATCCAAGCCCCATCACCTCCTGCGTGACGCCGACAAGCTACCTAAACTCCCCATCTCATTGTTTTTAATCTTGTTTATTCTGCCTTCCTTAAAGATCGACTGTGCAGTGGAGACAGGGCTGGGTATGTGGGAACGGCTGCGCAGTGCCTGGTGCACGGTGAAGCTCGGGATGCCTTCGTTTGCTCCCCAGCCCTCCCTGTCCTGTCTCCCGTCATTAATGTTCAGGCAAGAGAACCAAGGTATGGCTGTCCCTATCACCTTTTAGATCCTTGGCCCGGATACCTGAGGACTAGGTGCTTGGGTTTGCCATTGAATTCCAGTGATAGTGCTTACATTAAGAAAGACATTTTGATTCACTCTAAGAAATTAAATCTGCTACTGGCTGTTATCAAGTCACTAATACGCATGGATCCCCCCAGCAGCCTGAGTAGATTTCCGTAACAAGTCAGTTAAGCACAGATGACAAATTCAACCGCCAGTGTGCACAAGGGATTCAGGGGACACCACAAACTCACGGCAGTCAGAAGGCCTGGATCATATCGCTGTTGAAATATGCCATTCACATAAGAGCACCCTCTCCTTGAGGGTAAGCCAGGTAAGCCGGTGGCTTGTTTGCCCCTCTTAGCCTAATGCTCTAAGACAAATGTCTGCACTGTCACTCCTGCTCTCAGAACACACTCTTACCCTCGACGGAGGGTGCCAAAGAAATAAAAAACTGTCTTTGCTCTTCGTCTGACAGTCTTCCCTACTCATCCAGATACAGACAGGATACCTTTCCACAATTATCCAGGAATATAAAGAAGAATGAGCTGTTTTACAAGTGTATTCTGTTTGACTCTCTGTTTTAGATCAGAAGCTGCTTTGGTGTTTTCTAAAAAACCTGAACTAACTTCCTGAGGACCCATATCCCTTCCAACAAACACCCGTTCCAAGTTGTGTCAGGCGCCGGGGGTGACCTGCGTGGCTCCAGCACCCTGGCACAAGCTCCCTAGGGGTCACTCCTCCCCTTTCTTCAAGGTGGCAGCCAGGAAGCTGCAGGGCAAGTTTAAGAGCAAAAAAAAGTGACTCCCGGCAAGGCTGCGAGTGTCCCCGCCTGTTTACAGCCCTGGAGGATAAATCAGACTGCAACTCTCAGACTTAATGAATCCGGGAGCTCATTACACAGCCTCCTGTGCGATGATCAATTTACACAGCTCCCTGACTGCCGCCAAACTTTTAAAAACAAGAGACTACCTTGAAACAAAAATAAAGATCCACAGACAGAATTCTGAAAACAAAGTCCTCAAAGTCCACTTCTTAGCTAAAAATGATACATTTAAAGTAAATTCTGTTTTCCAGATACACACATTTTATGTGGACGATAAGTTGCATAATCTCATAGAGGACCACAGACACACGCTCCCTGCATGGAGGAAGTTTCCAGGACATCCAGATAGGAAGAAGACCGAGCAAGAACCCACACTGCCAAGCGTCCTGCGCTGGCTTCCACTGCCATCTGCACACAGGCACCGCACGCCCTCACCCTCGTGCTCCCCGGCGGGACCAGCCACTGACACCACGCCACAAACTACGCCAGTCAGCACCCCAGGTGTCCACTCCACACAGCCACCTGCACACCTGCTGCCTTCCTTCACCTCCCTGGACGTTCCCAGCTAAAAGTACATCTTGAAACTTGCTGGGGGAAAAGTTTTTAGGTTTGTGACTGGAAGTAGAGCGGAAAGTAATTAGGACAAGTGTAGATGTGATTAAAATGACTCATGTAATTGACTGGCACAGGAAACCCGATCGTGTCCACGGCTGCCTGCGAAATGCACTCGCTTCCGATTCCGCGCTGGCTTGTGTTTTGGAAGCGACTTGTGATCTCAGATCCTTTCACCACCAAACGTGAGCTCTGTTCAAAGTGTCAGGTGCCTTAGATCCAAGCCATTAAACACAAAATAAAATGAACTCACCTTGTTGCCCTCAAAATCAGGGGTGTTCTCATGTATCTCTTCATCTTCTTTAACTATCTCAGCTTGTCTCTGGGGAGAAAATACACCACATTTTATCAACTACTTATGTGGAACTCCTTTTAAAAAATCAGAGAGCACGTGAAATAGTGCGACCTTCTAGACCACTTCTATGGGTAGAGCTGGGGAAGTCACTGCAGTTTCTCCAGATGCAGGATGGCATCCACTCTGCATTTTTGTGTTTGGCTCCAAGAAAATGTCAACCTGCTTGGTAAAATTGCTGGAGAAACCTCTTTCTTCTAAGGAGTGGCGTGGGCGCTCCAGAGACCTCTGGTCAGCAGGTGCTTTTGTAATTCTTGGGACACCATGAGGACCCCACCCAGGGCCCTCTGCTCCCTGGTCAGCAGACGCCCTCCACAGCCTGCCTGCCCTCACTCCTCACATAGCAGTGGGTTCTCACTCTCCATGGTTATTTCCTAGTTTTCATGGCACACTGGCAGAAGACAAGGATCTGTCCTAATCTGTGTCCTGGAGCCTCTCCCTGCTCTTGGGGAGAAGCATGTGGTTCTGTGACCAAAGAAAAGACTCTCCAGGACCAACTTCCTTTATATTTCTGTAGCAGTCAGGACAGGCTGATGAGGCTGCAATAACACGCCAACCAAGTATGCGTGCTGCACATGCATGGCAGCTGGCCGGGAGGAGTCCCGTCCACACAGCCACTCAGGAAACCCACTGATGGAGGCCCCGGCGCCTCCTGTTTCCTGACTGCAAAGGAAGAGAAGATGCGGTGTGGGTGCTGCACATGCGTCCAGCTGGCCAGGGGGTGTCCCGTCCACACAGCCACTCAGGTAACCTACTGATGGAGGCCCTGGCGCCTCCTGTTTCCTGACTGCAAAGGAAGAGAAGATGCGGTGTGGGAAATCACACACTGGCTCTTCATGCACCTTCCTGGAACCACTCACCTGTCATCAGGGAAGGCAGGTGGCATGGCCACCCTGAGTCACAGTGGGCAGAGAAGTGAATTCTCACTGTGTGACCAGAGAAAAAGAACTGCCATTAGTAATGAGCCATGAAGACCCAACAGCTCCTGCCAGCTGACCTTGAATGTGCAAGAACAGTGTTCCGTGGCGAGGCAGACGTGTAGGTATGTCTTCAGTATGGCAGACCCCATCAGCCCAGACCTCAGACCTTCTGAAAACTCAGACCAAGGCTGTATGAGCATTATCTTCCTATAGCTTATGTAGAAAAGCAGTCGCAATGAATAAAACTCTATGGTGAGTGCTCAAACCACGTAAAAAAATAAGCTTTGTAAAAACACATTATTTTAAAGAATAATCAACATAATGTCAATCAAAAACATGTTATTTTAAAGAATAGTCGATGTGATATCAATCACTGATTCATTCATTTATTCAGCAAGTATATAGAGGACACCCACCATACTGAATACCACAATGCCAGAAGACACAAGTGATTGTGAGTACAAACAAACAAGGCCCTCAAGAAGTCGAGAGTCTTATAGGGAAGACAGATATTAATTAAATAGTCACACAAACAAAACAACTGTGACAGGTGCTACAAGGAGAGGTACATGGAACAGAAAGAGAATGTAATAGTATTTAACATATATGGGAAAGCAACAAAGACATCCTCTGGTAATTGACTACTAATGTAAAATCTGAAGGATGAAACAATGTTAATATATAAAAACAGATGGGAAAACAGGCCTGGTGCATGGAGCAGCATGTGCACAGCCCTGTTGCAGGAAGAAGCGCTGAGCTTCAGAGTTGCTGGGGGTCAGTGCATGAAAAGCAGGAGTGACAGCAGCAATCTAACCAAAAGAGGATGCTAAGTGGGACCAGAGAGATGGTAACACAGGCAGAGAGGGGTGGAGAGATTCCAGACACATTCAGGAGGTAAAACTACAGAGTCCAAGATGATCAGGATACAGAAGGGTTGAAGAGGTCACTCTCAGGAATACCTCTTCAGTTTCTCTTTTGTCTTACTGAATGGATCTGGGTGTCATTCATGCAGAGAAGAAGGTTTGAGGACAGGGGAAGGAGACCGCGAGTTGCATTCTCACTCTGCTGAGCTTCAGTGTCTTAGGACATCTACAGGAGGTGTTAATTCAGCAGATGTGCATATGTTCCTGGAGGTCACACACACTGACACTGGGGTGATACAGAATTTTATATCACATAGAGAGGACATCCAGAGTGAGAGGAGAAGATGCCCTACCCCTCATCCTTGCTGAAAGCCAGCATCTGATGGCCAGTGAGATGATCAGAAGCCTAAGAGAAGGACAACGAGCGGCCAGAGGGAAAAGGGAAGTCAGGAGTCTCATTTGACGAGATTCTCTTGCCAAAGGAAGACAGCATTGCAAGGAAAAGCGAGTGGCCGGGAGCGCCATGGGTGGTGAAGGTCCCGTGTGACGAGAACTGGGGAATGTGTTGGGTTTGGTGGCACAGAGCGGAAGAGCTGTTTTTTGCCACTATGGACAGAAGCCTGAAGAGATAAAGAAGAGGGGAGAAGATGGAGAAAGTGAGGAGACACCACTCCCTGCAGACCAGCTCCACGCATGAGGGGAGACAGACACGCTCAAAGAGGACTGAGACCAAGAAAGAGTTGTTTTTACTCATAACAAGAGTGATTTCAGCGTGCTCATATGCCAGCCAGAAGGACTCGGGCATGAGAGAAGCTAAAGACACCAAGGAAAGAGAGAAAATTATTAAGCAGTTGATGACACACAGTCCTGAGAGGTTCTGAGCGGGAAAGGATCCAGCATCTGGAAGGAGGGGATATATGGGTAGGAGAGGACGGACCTCTCCTTCTATGATGAAGAAGGGGCAGATGGCACAGATTAAACATCCTGTACCCTGACAGCTGCCTAGCCCACAGCCACAGCTGCCTAGCCCACAGCGACAGCTGCCTAGCTCAGAGCCACAGCTGCCTAGCTCAGAGCCACAGCTGCCTAGCCCACAGCCACAGCTGCCTAGCTCAGAGCCACAGCTGCCTAGCCCACAGCCACAGCTGCCTAGCTCAGAGCCACAGCTGCCTAGCCCACAGCCACAGCTGCCTAGCTCAGAGCCACAGCTGCCTAGCCCACAGCCACAGCTGCCTAGCTCAGAGCCACAGCTGCCTAGCCCACAGCGACAGCTGCCTAGCTCAGAGCCACAGCTGCCTAGCCCACAGCCACAGCTGCCTAGCTCAGAGCCACAGCTGCCTAGCCCACAGCCACAGCTGCCTAGCTCAGAGCCACAGCTGCCTAGCCCACAGCCACAGGTGCCTAGCCCACAGCCACAGCTGCCTAGCTCAGAGCCACAGCTGCCTAGCCCACAGCCACAGCTGCCTAGCTCAGAGCCACAGCTGCCTAGCCCACAGCCACAGCTGCCTAGCTCAGAGCCACAGCTGCCTAGCCCACAGCCACAGCTGCCTAGCTCAGAGCCACAGCTGCCTAGCCCACAGCCACAGCTGCCTAGCTCAGAGCCACAGCTGCCTAGCCCACAGCCACAGCTGCCTAGCTCAGAGCCACAGCTGCCTAGCCCACAGCCACAGCTGCCTAGCTCAGAGCCACAGCTGCCTAGCCCACAGCCACAGCTGCCTAGCTCAGAGCCACAGCTGCCTAGCCCACAGCCACAGCTGCCTAGCTCAGAGCCACAGCTGCCTAGTCCACAGCCACAGCTGCCTAGCTCAGAGCCACAGCTGCCTAGCCCACAGCCACAGCTGCCTAGCTCACAGCCACAGCTGCCTAGCTCACAGCCACAGCTGCCTAGCTCAGAGCCACTCCCTACGTTGTTCCTCACCCAAAAAAAAAAAAACATCCAGCCAGGCGCACTGGCTCATGCCTGTAATCCCAGCACTTTGGGAGGCTGAGGCAGGTGAATCACCTGAGGTCCAGAGTTCAAAACCAGCCTGACTAACATGGTGAAACACCGTCTCTACTAAATACAAACAATTAGTCAGGCATGGTGGTGCATGCCTGTAATTCCAGCTACTTGGGAGGCTGAGGCAGGAGAATCGCTTGAACTGGGAGGCAGAGGTTGCAGTGAGCTGAGATTGTGTCACTGTACTCCACCCTGGGCAACAAGAGCAAAACTCCATCTCAAAAAAAAAAAAATCAAAAATTCAAAATTTTTTCAAATACTATTCATACATTTCAGCGGAGCCTGAATCCCTTTCCAGACACGAGAAGTAAAGGCTGATTCCGCTAAACCACCTGAGGTCAATCACCTCTCCCTGGCTAGGGACAAGAGAGGCATAGACACGCGGCAGCTTTCAGAGGGGTCCCTGGGAAAGCCTCTCCTCACCGTTTAAACGGTGCAGTCTCTCTACTCTCCCCAGCATCCCATGTCTCAGTGTGCCAGCCACAGCAGAGACTGCCACCTTGAGATCATGAGGAGACAAGCCCAAGGCCAAAGGTGAAGGCTTGGAGGGAGGCAGTGGAAGAATGGGGTGCCCAGCCACTCCCCGAGGCTCGAGGGGGCCAACCCCAGAGCCTCTCCCACACGGAAGGCTCGAGTCCTTCTGTTAGGTGGCCTGATAAACGTTCCTGATTGTTTAAACCACTTCTCTTGAAGTTTCCCGTTCCTTACAGCCAAAACATCCTTACAGATATAGTAGCTAATTATACTTTTAATTTATTCATTAAAGCCAACACCCCAAGGATCTCAGTGGCCTCCGTCTGAGTTACTCTACACAGATAAAAGTGCCAAAGCCTAAAGCTTCATTAGGTTTTTTCCAATTAAACAATTCACAGATTACCCAAGTTTAGATTGACCTTCTCCTAATTAGTCCCAATTATTTTGGTTTCTCTTTGGTTGGTGACTTATTCTTATCTCTTTCTCTGGAGGGAAATGCATTACACCCCTTGGAGGCACAGTGCAGGGGGCACTGCCCTAGTTGCTATTTGAGAATCCAAGGAAAGATACTCTCCTTTTGCACTGACTCTTTGAGACTCTCTAAAAATAACTGGATTTTAGAAGAGTAGAAATGGACCCAATCCTTTGTGATTTCAGTCAAACCATGCTTCTCACGCATCAGCTGAAGACCTGGGGTTTGCACAGCCTACTTACCACCTGGGGAAGGATGAAGCAGCCTGCTCTACTAAAATGGAATTGGCCATGTTCAGAGTAAATTCTAGACTATTTCCCCAAGAAAGGAATCACAGGTGAGTGTCCTGGACCTGGCAGGGTTTCCAATTGTACACATTTGCCCACCTTCTTAAAGTAGTTACAAAACTAAATATAATCTTATCACTGGAAGAAGACCTTGCTTTTGTAAAAATGTAGTACTTAAATCAGAATTTCAACATTAATGTTTTAACATCTGGGTGCCTTTTTTGCACAGATTGTAAGAAAATTATTCCTTAACATTGGGGCAAAATGATTCGAGACTTTAGTGTAAAAATTCACTGCTCTCTGAGAATGAAAGCTTATCGGGCAGCAGGCACACAGGCCATGCACCCCCGCGCATCTACAGATTCCCTCTGCTGATGGAGATGGTGGGGGAGGGGTGGATGCCAAGGGGATACATTATCTGCTATTATAACCAAAAATTAAAAATTCTTTGAAAATAAATTATAATTTCTTAAAAATAAAAACTCAAGAAAGGAGGGAATGCAGCCTAGGAGGGAAAAAAAACAGGGGGTCGTTAAAGACTGGCGATAATTCACGCCACAACCACCAGTGAATCGCCTTCTCTCTGACAGCCGGCCACGCCCCACAGCTTCCACCCCGAAACCCTGTCCCTCTTGCTCCCATTGCAGTTCCCACAAGCTAAGCCTTCCGTCCTATTCACAACCACTTAGTTCAGGACAAATGAGTTTCAGTGACTCTGAAGCTTCCCACTTTGATGACCCAGGTAACTGAGATCACTGGATTAACTCAGGTTACCGCTTCCCTAATGCAGAACCCCAATCTTGATTCTCTCATGAGCCACAGATGAGCACCCACAGAACTCTGTGAGAGTCTCCGTGTCAAGTTTGTGCTACAAGAATGAGCTTTCAAAACAGCTAGGAGCCTTGAAACGCCAGTGTGAACTTCCCAACACCTGCCCATAAGCCAGGGGCTCTGCAGAAAGCCCTGTGTCCGTTGATAGAGACCCAGGTGACAGAAGCTGGAGGACAGAAAAGTGACTTGTATGATTAAAAGTATGTGTTGTTTTGTGAGTAAATTAATAAGAAAACAATTAAAGGCTGAACAAGTGAGAACATTCTAGAAATCCAAGTACAGGTCAAAATGCACAATGAACACTCATCTTGCACTGTCAGGAAGACCAACACCCAGCGCCCCCAATGACCTGACTTCCCAGCTGAGCCTCCGACCCTCCCTGCCCACATTCAGTGAGGCCGTGCTCCATTTTGTCCTCCTCTGCACAGCTATGAGATGTTCCAGAACTGACTAACAAGTACTGGGAGAAGCTCCTAGACACTGGAATAAAGGAAAGGTGACAGGAAAGGGGGCTGCGGAGTCAAAGTCTTATTTATCATCACAAATCGTAAAGATCATATGAGGCCCCTCCACAGGGGCCAAGGACGGGCCACATCCTTCATTTCTCCAAACCTGACAATGGGAGTTTAGTAACAGATATTGAAGGTGTCACAGGAAAATCGAAGTGTCCTTCCACATTGGACATCCTCCATGGATGCTCGGATGCTGTGCTGTTAGTGTCACTGACCACGAAGCAATGGCCTGGGATTTGGAGGACTCTGCATTCATGAGGTTCCCTTCTTCAACCTAGAAGGCTTGACTCCAAATTCATACATTTACTAGTCGGGATGTTATATTTTGTAATATTTTACCTTTATGGTGCCACTACACTGGAGAAAGTGTAATACTGCAGACACAATGAGAAACAGCATGTGAGACGCTCAGGCTAACCCACAAAGTTGAAATCATTACTCAAAAACAGGAGACAGTATTCCAGATTACTAAAGAAGTCAGCACCATGAAGGCATAATATTAGGGCCAAACCGTCCTTCACTAATGGCCTGGAAAGTTCTCACGACACGGATATACGCACCTTCCCTGTGTCCATGGGTATGCCAGTCACCCTGACGCAGAGCCAAGAGCCTGCCCAGCAGGCAGCACGGGCCAGGCGCAGAGTGGGGCCAGGCAGCCAGCCACGCTCGCGCAAGTTCTCCAGGCTTGGCCCACTCGGATGCAGCCACCCACCCGGTCCATGACTGTCCCAGGAACAGAGGGTCTGCACAAACCACATCCTATGTTCCTGCTCCATAGGAAAGAAGGAGGTCCTTGGACAACGGCACACAGGCAAGGTCTCAACTGTGTGTCATGAAGAGTCCTAGCAAGAAAAGGTTCGTGGGGAAATAAACAGAATTAACCAAAAGCTTATACATAATTTTAACTCTAGGACTTCTCTGAAACAATACACTCATGTGCACCGTGATTCCCCCAAGGAGAGATATGAGAGTGGCGCCTCCCACGTGTGCATTTTCAAAGATGCAGAACGCGGTTTGGGCAACACCACTCTGTCTACATGGCCTGAGCTTCATGCCTTGCCTCTGTTGATTAAGTGCATGGGATTTTCTTGTATCCACTTCTGGAAGATTTCATAAGCTTTTGTGAAACACCTGCTGCATGTCAGGACCCGGCGAGTGGGAGACAAGGTGAGGCAACGTCCTCCCCAGGTGTGCTGTGCAGGAAGGGTCCTCCTGGCACTCAGCTGTCCCCAGCATCCCAGCTGACAGCCGCTCTTTCTGCTCTCGCCACGCACGGAGGATGCAGAGGGAGGACGGATGACCTAGCTCACCCTCAGGGGGTCTTCCTATCCACAGACAATGGCTGAGAGTCTGTTTCTGTGTCACTCAAAGCCACAGGACTTGTGTTAATATTGCCGCTTGACAGCGAGAAAGTTCCATTCACTGAGACTTCGCCCTACCTGGTGTGGAAAACTGCTGCACAGAAAACGCTTTCTGGAAGCCCCTCCTCCTCCACGGCTGGTGGGTGGAGCATCCCAGGGACCTACTGGCCCTCTTCCCTCCTCTCACCTCACATTAGTGCGGGATAACCGAATTCACTCCACTGCCTCAAAGTCGATGGAAATCAGAATCACCGGCAACCAAAACTTATGAATATGCTTATTATACGCAAAGTTATGACAACAGTGCTTGTCACACGAGGATTCTGCCTGTGTTGAAAAGTTGTGTTGGACACACAGTCTACAACCCAGAAAGCCACAGTAACATCCTAGTGACAACGGTATATTTGGCATACAAGTAACAGCCTAAAATGTCCTAGTTTCCTTATCACTAGAAAACTCTTAAGTGGGCAATACAAAATATTTTAACTGTTAGTTTGGATTTGCGAAGAAAATGAAATCTTTTAGTCATTTTTGACATGTCAAGGAAAAGAGAAAATAATATTACTAGAAATTTAGAAAATATGACAGGACTCATAGGAAAGGTGCTCAAAATGCCAAAAAAAGGAAGTGGAAAGCTAGAATATTGAGAGGCAGTCTGTAATATTTTTCAAATGTGTCACAGAAAATAAGAAATACAGCAGAAGTTAAAAAACAAAGTGCCAAAGTTAAGAGTGATCCATTCGGAGAAAGGAGTGGAAAAGTTTGCTGGATACCAGGATTTGGTGGTTTACAGTTACAGGAGCAGGGGTGGAACCTCATCTATTTTAGAGGAATAAAAATGGAACTCTAATGCTAATATTGACCTTTTAGAGAATATACATTCTTTGCTCAAAAACTAAGAATTGGAAATGTACTTGTTTTGCCTTCAGGTGGGTAGTGAAGACAAAGCATGCATTTTAGGAGATCACTGAGCACAATCTGCCATTTGCCCAAGTGCTGGAGACTCACTCAGGTGCGCAGCTGGGCTGGAACCCTGGCCTGACCCCGCCCCTTCTCAGAACCCTGCTCCCCACTCCTCCCTGAGGCCAGGAGGAGGGAACAGTGTCCCAGCATCCACCATGCACCAGTGCTGGCCACACACTCAGGCCACACACAGACCTGCACAGAGGCAGCATCCCCATCTATGGATAAGGAAACAGAGGCTCAAGGTTTCATAATCATGCCATCTGATCCCACTGTTTACTCCATTATTCAGTCATCATTCCACAAAAAAATTACTAAGGCCTCCTCCATGCCGGGAATTCTGTGAGGTACAGGGCCCAACAGTGAGCGAGGCAGCCAGCCCCTTTCCTTATGGAGTCAGTAGCTTAGTGAGGGGACAGACACAATCATCAAATAATGATGAAGCCAAATTTGCAGTCACACACAGTGAAGTGTTAAAAGGCGTCTCTCCAGCAGAAGCTGTGGGGGAGGTGGGAAGACAGGAAAATGCTTAACACAGGATCTGAGATGAGCAGTCTCTAACTAGGAGGAACACAGAACATTCTAGAGTCCAGAGAGAATTTGCAGGGAGAGGGTGAAGGATGACGCTGAGGCGGGCAGGAGCTGATGGAATGGAGTGAAGACGGCATGGACATCGGACCCCGGACACCCACCTGGTCCACAGGCACCTCCAGCTGCACATTGTGCTCCTCTTTGACGTCCAGCGCCCCTTGGGTTTCCTTGCTAGGAGTCGGTGCTTTATACACGTCACCTTCTGGGAGAAAATCACACAGACAAACTTTTGAAACCCATGGAGAAGCTGGAGTCCACTGCATATTTCCTGACCCAAACCCAAGTTACGAAGCCGGGCATCCTGGAGCTTCGGGCAGGCCACCTGGTCTGCAGTCCCAAACCCCGTCCGCCTCACCCCGTTTCCCTCTCGCCCTTCCTGTTTGCATCTGCCAAGGTGCTCAGCGTGGTGGCCTCGATTTTAGCCCCGTCTGCTTTTGTCTCTGTCTTCATGAAGGTCCTGGACCCTGAAAGTCATGCAATTGCTGTGCCCACCATGGTAGTCAGTCCACAAGATGAAGCACAGGGAAGGCCTGTGTCCACCAAGCCTTGGTCCAGTTAATTCCGTTAGAAATAAATACATGCAAAGTAACCCCACTGGACAGCAAAGTAATAGAATAAATTTTAAGAAAATGCAGCTTCAGCCAGGTGCAGTGGCTCACGCCTGTAATCCCAACACTTTGGGAGGCCGAGGCAGTTGGATCATTTGAGGTCAAGAGTTCAAGACCAGCCTGGGCACCATGGAGAAACCCTGTCTCTACTAAAAATACAAAAATTAGCCAGGTGTGGTGAGAGGTGCCTGTAGTCCCAGCTACTTGGGAGGCTAAGGCACAAAAATCACTTGAACTCGGGAGGCAGAGGTTGCAGTGAGCTGAGATCACACCACTGCACTCCAGCCTGGGTGACAGAGTGAGGCATCATCTCAAAATAAAAGAAAAGAAGAAGCCAAGAGGGGAGGAAGGGTGTTTAGGAAAAATGACTTCCAAAAATGTTCAGCTGCTGCAGAGAAGTGCAGGAAAGCCTCTCCCACCACCTTGCTTTCTCCTCCATAACCAGCCACACCACTCACAGTCTCTCACTAAGTATCCATACATGAGACGGGACATGAATGTGCCTCACTCAGAGCTGGGCACCCAGTAAGAGCTCAGTGAGAGTTAGTAATAGTAGCAGAGTGGTAAAAATAGATGTCAGAGCACTTTCTAAATTATCTCATTTTAAAACCAGCTCTGAAGATCCATCTTTTAAATGTTTCTTATACTCAAAAAATACACCTAAACAATCTCGGTGGCTTTTATGTTCATGTTTCTCCCAAAAGATAGATTTATTTGTTGTTTTCTACGTCATCAGTCTTTAGAAAAGAAGATACTCAGTCCTGGTGTAAGCTGATTTTAAATATGTATTTATCTTGGAGGCCCCCTAATTAGAGAATCCCATTGCCTTCAGCAGTGAAATGTTTTTTTTCTGCTCTGCCAACTACTGAACTACCTACAAGCTGAACCTTTTATTAATAAAGCAGATAGTTACAAGTCAAACAATATTTCTGGAGTATAAGATTTCTCTGAAAAAAAAAAAATCCCATGTTCTCAGCCTGGTAAAGTTTCGAACTGCCTACAGCAGAATGAAACTGCACGTCACCTGCACCCCTTTGGACTAAAGGTTCTGCCAATGTTTTCTTCTTTTCTTCTTTGGCATAATAAACAGAATCCTGTGTTTTAGGGGGTATGCCATCATATTTACAAGGTTCTTTTCCTTTGGAGTCCACCTACAGGACAAATGAAGAAGAGAAAGTCCATTAAGAACAGTGGGATACAAGGAGTCCGATCAGGTTCTCTGGGTGTGGTCAGGAAGACACAAGTTCCTCAGAGAAACAGTAGGAGGAAACTCAGGCACCTCCAAGAAGCCTCACTTCGAATGCAACCTCTTCTGCTCTATTACTTGCATTCCCCTCAGGAAAGCAGCAAAAATAATTCTCTCCCTCCCTCCCAGTGCCTTGGCAGGCAGAGAAGGTTAGTTCACTTCTTAACTGTAGGTGGCCTTCCTAAAACCTGACAAAATAAGGGCTTGCTTTAGAGGAACAAGCAAGTCAAAGGAGGCGCCTCTGGTTTTTTGGAGACACTCTTTAAAGCTGAATAAAAACTGCTGTTCAACAAGCATCACAAAGCCGTTCCTGCTGGAACCTCTGAGCAGGATGAGAGCGTCTGTGAGGAGAATTAGCCATGTGGCGGTTTACTTTGGGGTTGCAATAAGGGAGAACTCACATGTTTTTTAATCTGTAAACAATAACAACAAAGCACAACTAGAACACAAAGTAAGATGACATGCAGATACCTGCTCCTCAAATTAGGACGTGGTCACATCCTGATGAACATGTCCGAAGGTGAAAGTATCTAAAGTCAAAAATGCATTTAACACACCTAGCCTACTGAACATCATGGCGCAGCCCTACCTTAAACACGCTCGCAACACTTACGTTGGCCTGGAGGCGGGAAAAGTCTTTTGGCATCGCCGTCCACTGCAGAGGGCATGTGGCTGACAGGGAGCTGTGGCCGTCACTGCCCAGCATTCCGAGAGTATCCTACGGCTTTCCACTGAACGCGTGAAGCTTTGGCACCATCAAACAGTCAAAAATCCTAAGTCAAACTAAGTCAGGACTGCCTGTAATTCCCTTAGCACCATTACACTTCTATCCCATAAACTATCTTTATGATACAAAATGTCTTTTTTAGGTTTTCTTTTTTTGATCTTTTCTCAAGTATTTGGAAGTGAATGCAGGCTGAAGTATATAAATAGGTATTTCTCTCGAGCTCTCTATGTCACTTAAGAAATGTCAAACTAAAAACACCTGCCTTGTACCGTTAATATATTGCATATGATGCAAACTGCCAGGTTTTCAATCTTTGTGGAAATTAAGGTATGAAAATAGCCCTCCAACCTTATACATGCGACCACACAAAATGTTTCTACCTATTTTAAGGAGTTTTCCTACGAGCTGAAATCATGTTCTTAAGGAGAAGAAATGAGATCTTAGCAGAACTGGTCATGGAAACAGAAAATGGTATATGGTGCTTGTATTTTGGCTGGGGGTTGGGATTCTGAAAGTCTGGTTGATTCTTTTCAGCATCACTGAACTCTGGTTGTTGAGACACATTTTCCATAACTTTGGCCTCTAAGATAAAGACACCGTGTGTGTGTGTGTGTGTGTGTGCGTGTGTGTGTATGTGTATGTATGAGTGTGTATGTGGTGTCCTATTATCTCTGGAATAGTACTCAAAGGACAATGACAAGCATGCACAACCCACCCTAGTAACGAGGGCACAGAAGTAGTTGTGACACAGAATACACAGCAAATGAGAACCACCCACGGTGTGACCCAGCCCCCACCACCCCGGGCACTGCAATGAGATACAAACGCGGAGCCTCCACCCTGACGTGGAAAGTCACCCAAAACGAAAGTAACTTTGGATGCAGCAGGATGGCTGGGCAAACAGGAGGCACCATGTCATTACACCAATTTATTTCTCATCTCATACCTTACCCAAGCACACGCAGGAAATGTGAGTTTTTGCAAATACCTTATTTCTGTGAAATCGGGAGCAGCGCAGGTGCACCCTCCTGTCAAGTCTTGGCTCAAATTGTCCCTCTGCCCTGTCATTCCCAAGAGGGGTGCCCTGTCCCTTCCCTTGCCCTTCACACTTTACCCACAGCAGCATATGTAATCCACAGACAATTTATTGATGATGTTTGTTGTGTTTTTCTTTCATCAGCAGAAGGTTAGAAGCCACCCAAGGGCAAGGATGTTGGTTTGTTTCTCCATTAATGAATTCCCAGAGCCTAGAACCATGCCTGGCACATAGCAGATGCTCAGTAAATATTTGTTAACTGAACAGGTGAATAATGCCAGCACGCCTCATCACTTCCCGCCATTCAAACCCTTAAGGAGGTAGCCACAGCCTTGGGAAGACATCCAAACTCCTTAACCTAGCACAGTGGTATTCATGATCTAAGACCCACCTGCCTTCCTAATCCAAGCCATCCTTCCCTGCACCATACCTGTGCTGCTACAGCTCCCTTCCACGTGGAAGTCCCTTCCTCACCTTCTTCTTATGACAGCTCATCCTCCAAACCCCAGCTCAAGCCTCACCTCAACGGTCTCTTTGATGTGTCCCTATGACACCCTGACATAACTAACCACCGTGCTAAACAAAGAGTCAGCTCTCAATATGTGCGTGTGTTCAATTCAGCAAGCATAATAGTTGCTCAGTAAATCTCTGCTGATTTAATGAACTGAGCAGGAGGATGGAAAGACAGTAGGGAAAGAAGAGTTGAAAATCTGACATTTCTTCATACAAGAAAATGCAGGGCATTGATAGACACAGATTCTGCAGGCCAATATCTATATTAAGTACATATTTTATCTGAACTATTTGGGAGGTTTCTTACATCATGCACCTTTGCCTCTTAGTACTTTAGTACTTAATACTGAAGACGTGATATCTATTTAATACTTCAGAGTGTGTTTCCTCACAACAGAAACATCATCTCTTACATAATCAGAGACAATTGCCAAATTTAGGATATTCATCTGATATAGTATTTTCATCTATTCTACCATCCATATTCCAATTTTGTAATTGTCCCAAAAATGTGCTTTATAGCATTTTCCACTCAAGAAAAGATCTGTTCAGGATTCACATCACATTTAGATGTCAGACCTCCTGAGTCTCCCCTCTCACCTGGAACAGCTCCTCAGACTGTCTTTCATGACCTTGGCATCTTTGAAGAATGTAGGCCTGTCTTGCATTGCTTTATAGAAAGATCTAGAGTTGGCTATGTATTAGTCCATTTTCATACTGCTATGAAGAAATACCTGAGACTGGGTAATTTATGAAGAAAAAGAGGTTCAATGGACTCACAGTTCCACATGGCTGGGGAAGTCTCACAATCATGGCACACCTTCCCCACAAAGCAGTGCCCCTGTCCTTTCCAGCTAATGCCATCTGCAGGACATACAAATATGCTCTTTCCTCCCAAACTTCCCTGCCTAAACTGTGGTCCAAGTCTGAGTCTGTCCTAGTCAACCTCCAGAATAGAGCTTGTTGATGAACCTCATTTAAGTGGAAGATCTTGACTTCTTAAACAGCGCAAATTACAATATGAGTTGGAAAACTGACTAAAAGAAAGCAACAAAATGTTAATTCCATGGAAAAGGGAAAACGTAATCTAACCCCCAAACACTAAATGAGGACCTTACAAATTGAATCATACCCAATCCTAGTATTGCACTTACTTTTCTTAATTTTGCTCAGTTTAAACTGTCTTTTAAACGTGGAGTCTCAAAGCAGTTCACAAAACTTGGGTCAGAGGAGAGCAGAGACTACATCTTTCTAGTTGCATATAATAGAGGTAAGCGATGAGAAATGATGAAGTCGATGCCTCCTCTGGTTACATTACAATTCTAATTTAGTCTGCTCATGTTAACTACCATGCTAATAGACTAAACATCTGCAAAGGTTGCAATAAAGCAGGATTCAAATTTTATTCCAGTTTTCTATATCTGAGCAGTAGCATCCTCAACAGTCACTGAGCAGCTCTGGTGGGTGAATTCATTCATTCCCTCAATAATCGCCTACTGAGTGTCTACAAGGTATCCAGCTGGAAAATACATGACTAAAGAGCACAGTTCTACCCCGGAGAACGCAGCAGAAAGAAACACATGGGTAGCACCAAGCGCAAGTGCCTCACTTGGTTTTGTGTCCAGCCCAAAAGAGCAGAGTCCATTCTAAACGGTGGGCTGTGAAGGATGCTGGAATGAGCCCAAAAATGGCTTTACAGAGAAAATGGTGCTTACAGTCAGACAATGGGAACAGTCAACAGTAGGACATATATTCCAGGGAGAGAAGAAAGCAGGTAAGAGTAAAGGCTGTGAGACTAGAGACCCCGTGCAGCATGGTGGGACTAGGGCCACCTTGGCGGGTGCTCTTGCATTGGTGACACAGAGCTGAACAAGGATACGAAAGCCTGGGTATGAGCCAGGGTCAAGGGCAAGGAGCCTTCAGTTACCGTGCTAATTAAATTTCCATTTTAGAAAAATCCATGACCATTCTAGGAGCCTGGCTGGCAGTGGGATCTCCTGAGCTGGGTGACATCTCGAGCCGCGCTCACCAGCGCTGGGTCGCGGGCCCACCACGTCAGCTGTGTGGTCTCAGGTCTCTCTGAGGTGCGATAGAATGGAGATGGTGCCTGCCTCCTGGGGCTGTGCTGGGGACCACAACACTTCAGACAGGGAGGGATCTCAGAGCCAGGCTGGCAGTCGGCCAGTGCTCATCCAAATGCCAGAACGAACCTCTGTGAGTGAGTGGAACAGGTAAGACTTGACTCCGGACACACTGGCAGCGGTTGGGCATCAATGGTGGTCCAGGGGAGGGGTGTGGAGGGGCTCTCTCAGGAGAATCAGTGGGCAGTGTACAGACATAACCCAAGCACTCAAGGTCCATGTCCCCTCAGGATAAAGTCCAAACTCTTGCCACCCTCCCCCAACATTCAGCCCTTCACCCAGGCCCAGCCTGCCTCCCCATCCCCTTCCCAGGCAGCCTCACACACGCTTGCTGTTCCCCAGCTTGTCAGTTCCCCTGAAGCCCTACTCTCTCCAAAACAGCTGCCTCCTCTCAGCCACCTGGAGAACTCTCCTACACATCCTCCAAGACCCAACTCAAAGGTCGTCTTGTTCCCACACTGATATAGTTTGGATGTTTGTCCCCCGCCCAAATCTGATGTTAAATTGTGATCTCCATCCTTGGAGGTGGGGCCTGGTGGGAGGGGTTTGGGTCATGGGGGTGGACCTCTGATAGCTTGATGTGTCCTCACAGCAGTGAGTGAGTTCTCACGAGATCAGGTTAAGTGTGTGGTACCTCCCCTGCTCCCCCCGACTCTCTCTCTTGCTCCTGTGTTTGCCATGTGAGACACCTACTTCCCTTCACCTTCTGCCATGATTGGAAGCTCCCTGAGGCCTCCCCAGAAGCTAAGCAGATGCTATTCCCATGCTTCCTGCAGAACCGTGAGCCAATTAAATCTCTTTTCTTTATAAATTCCCTAGTCTCCTATATTTCTTTATAGCAGTGTAAGAATGAATGAATACACACAGCTTCCTTCCCCCAGTACCCCCTCTGCACACTACACCACGTTATGAATAGTTCCACAGCCACATGCCTTGTGGTTTTCCACTTACACAGCCATTTCTCCTTCCAGCCTGCAAGTTTCCAAGGACAGGAGCAGGACAAAGTGCATGGCACTCCAGGTGGCTTTTGTCAGAACAACATGGATCTACAGCAGCACTTGGTTAAAAAAAAAAAAAAAGGTTCAAGCAAGAAAACATGGATCAAGCAGGAATCCATGGCTTTCACAAGGAAGCATGCATGAACCTCACGTCTTACACCCATATTTCTCTCCGTCTCAAGTCTCAAGCCCTCCAAAATCAATGTGAGCTCTATTTACAAAGGGGACAGGTACCGCTTCTCAATTTCATTCATCTTTCTCCCTATTGAAAATGTTTTCAGAAAATGAACCTCACGTATGTTGGTTTTATTTCTCTGCAGTGCTTTAAAGACTATTATTTTTCTCCAGAGCCTATTTCAATTAATCCAGCTATATTTTAATGCTATTATAAGAGATTGTCTAGCTCAGGCACACAAAAGGCAGCCTCCCAGGGTAACTTGGGATGAGCCAGTTTGTCTAATTGAAGGACAGTAACAACCTATTTCAGAGTCAGTCCATCCTCAGGTAAGGAATGACAAATGCTGACAGCAAAAAGTTCCCATGCGAATGTCCCATTTCCATCCCAAGTGGGTCAAGGTCTTCTACCAATGAACCAGGCCTGCTTTGAACATTTATTAAAGTGGAAGATTTGCTAACATTGAACCTGGCTGTTGCATCCTCAGGCTGCTAAAAGATGACAATTGCAGCCTTGATTGTTGTGATATATTGCTCCAGCCTTGACATGATTAGCCAGCAAATGTCAATTCCAAAGCACTCATTTCACAGTGAAATTTACTGTTCAGAACAGGTTATTAAAGTGTGGGTCTCAGTCTGGTATGCACATGCCTCTGCAACTGTTTTCACGCACACACACACGCACACACACACGCACCTCCTTAATTTATATGCTTTATCTCCTTTTCATTACCGTTCACTACGAACACTTGTGCTCTATGCCCAGAAGAATTTAATATTAATGTTCTGATTGCAGATGTGATATAAATACAATGCTTATTAACTATTTACTGATTTTTCACAGAAGCCTGAACCATAAAACATTCATTTTAATATGTGAATGCAATTTTAAACATTTATTAAATTAGCATTTCTTCTTTGGAAGGCAATAGCTATTAAAATCACAGTAAATGCAGTTCCCGTAAAACTGAATGCTATATAATGAGAGTAGCTTCATTCAATTACTTTCATTGGACTAAAAGTTCCAGTTAATTGTGCCAGACAGGATACTGGCAGACTCATAATGGCATATTTTCCAATGCTCAAATATTTGAATCAAGCAATAAGTGAAGTGAACCAATAGAATAATGCAGGCTATTTTCAAAGTATATTTCAGATGTGCTAATAACTAAACTGCATTCATGATTTTTTTTTCCATTTCCTTGGGAAATGGGCTTTTTTTTTATTTTACTTTAAGTTCTGGGATACATGTGCAGAACGTGCAGGTTTGTTACATGGGTATACATGTGCCATGGTGGTTTGCTGCACCTATCAACCCATCATCTAGGTTTTAAGCCCCGCATGCATTAGGTATTTGTTCTAACGCTCTCCCTCCCCTTTCCCCTCACCCCCTAACAGGCCCCAGTGTGTGATGTGCCCCTCCCTGTGTCCATGTGTTCTCATTGTTCGACTCCCATGTATGAGTGAGAACATGTGGTGTTTGGTTTTCTGTTCCTGTGTTACTTTGCTGAGAATGGTGGTTTCCAGCTTCATTCACTTCCCTGCAAAGAACATAAACTCATTCTTTTTTATGGCTGCACAGTATCCCATGGTGTATATGTGCCACATTTTCTTTATCCAGTCTATCATTGATGGGCATTTGGGTTGGTTCCAAGTCTTGCTATTGTAAATAGTGCTGCAATAAACATATGGGTGCATGTGTCTTTATAGCAGAATGATTTATAATCCTTTGGGTATATACCCAGTAATGGGATTGCTGGGTCAAATGGTAGGGAAATGGGCATTTTTAACAGTGCAAATGCAAGTTCTTTTGCTGAATTAAGAAAAAAATATTTTCTTCTATTCAAAATGGAAACTGAGAACTAAGAGGCGAAGAGCTGTGCTCTCACATCTTTCAAACATTCTGGACAGTGCAGCTCCAACAGCTTAAATTAGAACTTCATGGCCTTGGAAGGAAGTCTGATGACAGAGATCCAGGAAGAGTAAAATAAGAGGGAAGAGAGGAGGGAGTCAGCATTCCCTGAGACCCACAGAAGGGAGGTCCAGTCAAGCCACTCGAATGTTAAGTACAGCTGGGATTCCAAGTGCAGAGGTCAGAGGCCAGATGCCTGCTCTTAAAACACTACAGCTTTGCCTTGACGGCAGCAGTTAGTTTACCAAGGAAAATCGTCATCACACATAAATGAGATGTCACCTACTTCACAGACATCTGTTAGATGCAAAGGAGCCCCATCCTTCTATTCCACAGAGAATCCACAATGATAATCCCAGACAAACACGGAAGCAGATGTATCCTCTGCTGGACACACAAGGAATTTGACTTGACATCGAAAATACTTTTATGCATGGATATTATCTCTCATGCCTCCCTTCACTCTCATGTAATAAATGTGCTCGTCTAGAGCAAAGCAACTTCTCACACAAATGTGCAACCCAAAGTCCTGCTTCCTCCTCCTGCAGACCTGATCCTGGCTCCTGAATGCACCACCCTCCCGCCATCCCTGGAATCCTGAGGTCGGTCTTGACTTCTCCCACGTCCTCCACAGTCATCTCGAGGTGCTACATTACTCTCTGTTATTCTCCATCTCACGTCTTTGAATCAAGATTCCATGAATCATACTGCAAACACGTAGCTATTTTATAAACCACTAAGAAAGAAAGGAAGTGCCATTTAAAATATGTCAGCATGCTTTAATTTCCTAGAAGTTCTATTTTCTACTTACTGAAGAAGCCCTTCTAGAACCATTTAGACACCCATTTTTATGACATAGCATGCTTGTACATAAAGAAAAATGAGAAAATAACAGAAACAAATCACCTGAATACCCTCCAAGATTTTACATCCAGAGTCTGACTCTTCTGAGACACTTTTTGACTCCGAGTCAAAGGCATCAGTGCTTCTGCATGCAGCGTGGGAAGGATGCCCCGCCCTCATCTCTGAATTGCCCCTGAGCCGTTGGTACCTGAACTGCACATTTTGGTGCTGGTGCTTCAGCCCTGCAGAGTCGAAGGCAATCCTTTTGCACCACTCTCAGGAACAAAACACATGCGAGTGTGGTTGGTTGCTTGCTGGCCACACAGCCCTCCCCTCTCAGGCTGCACACAGGTTTGCAAAGTGAATCGGCTCTTCTGTGCTTCTCTGTTGAGGGAGAGCCTATTTCTCCACCTCCTGAAATCTAGGCTAGTTTGTGACATCCTGCTGGAAGATGAGAGGCCACATGGAAGTGAACCAAAATGCTCAACAACCAGCACTAGCGGCCAGATGTGTTAGTGAGGCCAGCTTGGACATCCCAATCCAGCGAACCTTCCGCTGAACACAGCCTCATAAGCAACCAAGGTGAAACCAGCCCAAGACCTGTGCAGCCAACCCACCGGACTTAGAGAAATCATAAACCCTTGTTGCCTGAAGCACCTGGGTTTGGGGGTGGTTTGTTATACCACGCAGATCACTGACGCTGGCAGCTGCAACTTTGTGTGTCGACCTCCCTGTCTCAGGTCCTACACAAGAGCTGGCTGTCACTCTGCAAGAATAGATGGAATCGAAGAAGAATATACTCAATTGATAGCAAATTTGCATCGTGATGTTCTACTTTTAGGTCTTTCCGTGTATATAATAACTTTTTGTTTCAATTCTCACAGAAAAATCATTTTGAGGATATTTTACACAGCAGTTAAGCTCAACATGTACAGAATCAACCCCACACACAATTCAATTGAAGACACAGTCAAATGAGCAGCTACAGCCAAGTTTATCCATGAGCAACTAGCACCTACAACATGGCTGCCCACAGGAGTCCTGAGACGCTGTCGACGTCAGATGCACCTGTTCCAGGGATGTCGGGATGTGGGAACATGCCCTCCATAGAATCAATGATACACAGCATCTCTCAAGTCCCACTGTTCTGCTCCACCTGTCACCTCACTGGGAATGTCACAGTTTTTCAGGACCAGCCCTTCTCTGTCTATTTTGCTCCCTTTTCAGTCCATACAATTTATTCCATCAGTAGTAATGAGTATCAAGTAGATATAGTCCATTGTACTCCCTTGCTTAAATCTGGATCCCTGCAAATAAAAACATCTTCCTGGGGAGCCCAGCTCCCCTGACCCCTACGTGCCCACTCTCACAGTGCTTTCCCCCCATAGGTATCAGGTGTTTCTTCCTGACTCCATTGGGCAGTGTTGATGGGGAGACATAGGCAGATGTGGAAGTTAAACAGCTTATAGGAGAGGCGTCAATGATCTGTTGGAACTGTGGAGATGGGGAGGTTGGTGCTGGTGGCATCTGGGGTGATTTAATTACTGGGATTTAATTTACTGAGCAGGAGGGCTGGGTGAGGTCTGCTAGGGTTACGCCCATGCTTATCGACACTCTGCCTTCTCCAGTCGTGGAAACTTACACTCCACTCATCTTTGTGTCTCGTGCTAGCGGAGTGTGCTTAGCATGCTGCCAACACCTCACCACGGCCTCATGGACGACCAGATGAATCAATGAGTGCCCCATTCCGGCCTGATATCCTGTGGGTCACAAGTTCTAGGTCATGTTTGTGATATGTTCATTGAAGGGTCAAGAAAGACTTTCTGTTTTGTATTCTAGGTACTTTTTTTTAAGCTTGCAAATTTAAAAGAAAATCCAGCATCTGATTTTAAAGAAAGCTGATACTTTGATTGGCTGATGTTATTAGAATGTGCACAGCACCAAGGGTCCCAACAGCCCCCCACATTCCACAAGGCAATATCTTAATGAAGAGCACGCCTGTATTTTTTTTTAATTTTGTACCTTCTTTTCCAAAAAGATGTTGTGGCAATTCACATAGAAAATAGATAAAAGGTTTAACAAGTTAGAAATGGAAAACCTGGGGCAAGCAAGTAAAGAAACAAACACATTTATCATAAATGGCTAAGTTGCTGCAAATCATCATAAATTCCAGCCTCAGAGAAGCCCTGTGTGTGGAATTCTTTTCATTCTTAGAAACACACCCACTCTTCAAAATGAGGCCAAAAAAAATTAATACTGAGTTTTAAGATAATACATCTTTACAGATGCAGACCTTTATATATGGAACAATGGAGTAAGGCATATCATTTTTGTA
Organism: Homo sapiens; assembly: GCF_000001405.40. NCBI lineage: Eukaryota > Metazoa > Chordata > Mammalia > Primates > Hominidae > Homo > Homo sapiens. Next base: position 3,756,979 of record NC_000002.12, on the reverse strand, counting down.
ATCTCAGTGATCATCATTCATCCATTCAACAAACACCTAATACGAAAATGTGTTTCTTAGAGAAAGAAAATCTAAAATAAATAAGGCGATCATTCAACTCAAGAAGCTACAAAAAATAATAAGAGTCAATTCAGAAGAAAAGCCTTGGCAACAAAAGCCAGAGAAGGACAACATGAGAAAGAAGTCAGACAGGCTAAGCTCACTCATGAGCAGACATGCAGAAATCTCCAATAAAACCTGGCAAAACATATTCAGAAAAACATTTTTTAAAACATCAGGCTTAATCAGTGAATGAAGTTGGATAAGGACCGTGGCCGTGAACTCGGCATGAAGACTCGGGTCAGCAGTGTCATTATTTCCAACAACACCACGCTGCATTAGTGCAAGTGCAGAGGAAGTGCAGGCTGGGCTCACCCAGGGCTGAACACTTGCCAGGTGCACACAGTGGCTCGCAGGTGAGAAAGTCAAAGCTATTTGCAGGGAGTGATTAAAATGGCAATCATGAAATCTGAGCTGCAACAGCAGAAAAGCAAAGCCCAGGGCTATCTGTTAGTTACTGGGAAAGAAAAGACCAGGACAATGCCGACCCTCAAAGCCAGTGTGTCACAGTAGGGAGGGGACTTGAGCCAGTGAGCCAGGCAGACAGGCACTGGAAAGAGTACGTGTTCAATAGCTTTGTCAAATAAATATTAATGTCAATAGAACCACTAAAAGGCAGTATTTGTAGGATGATCAGGGATATAGGAGGATCACGTAAACAGTTACAAGGACTGGTAAGCCCCTCTAGGACCCAGCTTCTGCAAATCTTCCTGGTCCTGTATCCTGATACCTCCTTGTCATTATTCCTCATGCTTTATGCTGCAACTTCAAACTGTGTGATCAGCACACACACACACACACACATATGCATCCATACACATAGGTACACAGGCATCCACACACACATGCATCCATACACACACGTGCATCTACACACACAAATGTTTCCATATGAATACCCATGTATGCATCCACAAAAACATATGCCTCTATACACGTGTATCCATCCATACACACATATGCATGTGAATACATACATACACATGTATTCATATGCACACATGCACACATATGCATCCATATGCATATGCATCCATACATACACATATGTACTCATGCACACATGCACACATATGTATCCATATACACACCTCCAAACATACATATGTATTTATACACCAACACATATGCATCCATACACACATCCATACAACATATGCAGGCAACATATCCATACAACATATATGCATCCATACACACATCCACACACATATGCATCCATATGTACACACACATATGTAGTCATAGGCACACACATATGCATCCATACACACATGCATACACACATATACATCCATATGTACACACACATAGTCATATGCACACACATACATCCCTACACATTCATACATACGCACATGCATGTGCATTCATACACACGTGTACTCCTGTGTACACATGCACACATGTCTCCATACACACACATGCATTCATACATACACATGCATGCCTCCATACACACATGTATTTAAATACATACATATGTGCATTCATACATACACATGCACCCATACACACATGCATACACACATATGCATCTATACATGCATGTGCACGTATGCAAACATGTATTCATATGCACACACATGCATCCACATACACATGCATCCATGTACACACGTGTACCCATCATATGCACATCATATACACATCATGCACACATCATATGCACCCATGCACACATATGCATCCATACACACACATGCATCCATACATACACATGCATCCATACATACACACACATGCCTCCACACACATGTATTTATACACACACATGCACCAGTACATACACACACATATGTATTCACACACACGCACATGTGCATGCAGTGAGCTGCTTCTCCCACTGCTGCCTTACTGTCACATCTGCCTGGAATGTCCTCCTCCCACCCCCCGCCAGAGCCCACTGCCACTCATGCCAAGCTTGAGTCAGTTACTCTCCTCCCTGTCCCGTAAAAGTCCAAATATATTTTTGTCTTCACACCTACTGGGTTGCATTATAAATACCTATGTGTGTCTCTTAGCTCTGGACTCTGTGTTCCAAACATAAACTTCCTCTCCTACTCACACCATTCTCAGAAGTGCATCTGATTTTTCCTTATAAGCCTGGCACTGATGCTGGCCCAGGCCCTGGCACTGATGCTCTGTTTACAGCTCGGGCCGTCACCCTGCGCTGTGCCCTTGTTAATGCCAGAAGACGCCAGAATCAGAAACAAGTTACTTACTTGTTTTAAAAAGTTACTTACTTTTTTCTTTCTCTGTGAGTTTTTTTCAACATTCGCATACCTTCTGCAAGACAAAAGATGTTCAACTTGAAATGTAAAGCCCGGCCCTAAGTTATCTCTATAAAATGCAGACTGCAGCCTTGTCTTTAGGAGGGAAGTGACCACGAGGAGGAGCAAGCTGTCCACAGAGGACACGGCTCATGGCAACAATGATTTCCCAGCTTTGGGAGCAGAAAACGCCCCAGGAATCTGTTCAATTTCCTTCCTGCAGATCAGATAGCCCATCCTCCTTCTACCACAGTAAACAGCCCCTGTCTACCTGCTGCCTTTGCAAGTGCAGGCATCCCATTTCTAATTCCTCTTTAGTGAGGCTTTCTCCAATAGCTGCCTCTCAAATTTGGAAATGCTTCTATCCCAGGATTCTCTGCAAATTCAGAGCACCTCCTTGGTCTATTCTGTGTAAGCTGCATGAACTTCAGTCTCTGAGTGATTGCATGTGGCCTCCTGTTGACCCTAAACTCAACAACTTCGGCAAGGGGAAAAGATATTTAAGCCAGTCAGACCTGGTCAGGGCTTCCCAATGAACAGATAATGGCAAAAAGCAAAACACACTGAGAGGTGGGAAACACGTAGGGGGCAGATAGAAAGAACGACTCAACTCCACAGCCCCACAGTGTTCCTCCTCACTGTGCTATTAGGACTATTAGCACGAATTAAGTCAATAAAATCAAGAAATATCCATGTGTGCCAGGCATACAGGTGGGACTCTAACCTAACCATCTGCCTGGATATCAAACTGCTGTGGGGTCGTCCTTGGCAGACAGGACAAAGGGAGCCTTTCTCTGCCTTGAGGTACAAACCCTAGCAGCACGTGAACCAGAATAGGAGGAGGCCATCCCGGACGCTGCGCCCTCAGTGGAGGTTCAAGCACTCGTGCTGATGTGCTGCCTTACTGTCACATCTGGTACCACAAAACCTAAAGGATAGAGGAAGGCTGGCCACCTGCATGGTGTTCAAACCATCTGTCCTGCTCCACCATAAGATGAAAAATGGCAGCTCTTTTTCTTTGCTCGAGATAATGATCATTGAAAACTTGACAAAGAACTAGCTCCAGGAAAGTTCCTAGTAAGCCCTCAAGTCATGTCCTACACGAAATGCATTTCAAACACACCCGTCAGGGCTAAACAATTGAGGATGAAGAATCCCACAGATGGGCTTCGGAACCACCCATCTCAGCACCCTTCACCTCCCTCCTGGTCACTGCTTCATGTCCATAAACACACACACAGTGTGGCACCCGCATAGCCATGCCCAGATTACTACAAAAATCATGGCTTTTTTCACCAGGAGAGACTGACACCCAGCACAAATTCTGTATTTTAGATATGGGGAAGCATGCCAAATTAAGAAAACAAAGCATCATGCTGGGTGCATCACAGGCAGGCATAACTGTGCCTAGAATCAGCTCTGAAGCTGTTGCACATTTCAACTCCTGATCTCTAAGACTCCTGGTATCCCAGAGAAAAGCAGTGGACTCTGTGTAGATCTTGCTGTCCTTGTGAATACATCATACAAGAGCAGTTCCCCCACGCCTCATTTTTAAAATCTAAAATTGTATCATACATTAAATAAGAATATTACATTTCACTACTGAAAAATAACCAATAGCTGAACTGGACCTATTTGGGAGAGATACTGGGGAAAAGGCTAATTTTTTTCCAAAACTCAGGAAAGAAAGGTACGAAGCATGCTCACTGTTGGACCTCACTGGGCACCCTTGGAGACTTCCAGTAAGGAAAATATTTGAAGGTCTCCAGTCCCACAGCAACATAAAAGTGATTGTCTTGCAAATCCTTTGAGTCGCCCAAAAGATGCCCATTCATTGTAAATAATCTGTAAAAACAGAAAGAAGAAATGAGATAGAGACTTGAGGACCAGTAGCATAGGGCTTGGGGTATTTGTGCATACACTATGACATGACTAGTGCATGGACCGCTGGAGAAACAGTGCTCATCGTAAGCACGTGTTATCCAAACGGGCCAATTAAACCCGACGGGAACTGCTCTTCCAGGATTAGACTTGCTTTCCACTTTTAGATTTTTTAATTAAAGTGTATTTTTAATTATATACAAGTGCTCATAGGCTCTTGAGAACCATGTTACACTCTTGGTTAGTGTTCAATTAATTTTAACTAATAACAGCTAAAATTAATACAAATTGGCCCACATTGTTATAACAATACTTGGAAAACAAACCAGGATTTATTAGCAAATAATATGCATTTTTATAAGCACCAAAAGACTAATATTAGTCTACTTTTTACTCAGTAATCCTTTTCAGCAGGTACTCCTTCACTAGTTTATTTAAGAAATGATACAATTAACTCAATGCTGAGCCTCTATATGCATAAGACAATGAGGTAGGCAATGCATTAGATAAAAATAAGCAAAAGAAAGTCTCTGCCTCCCCAAAGTCAGGAAGCACACAAAAGCCTACAAAGCTAAATATGACAAGAGAAGTGCAAAGGGCTGGGGTCCCAAGAGGAGAAAGGCTGAACCCAGCTGCAGGCTTCACAGAGCTGGAGGAACTTGCAACAGGGTCGGCAGGGTAGGTGGGATTTCATCATGTACGGTGCTGTAAAAAGGCCAGAAGCCAGGGCGAGGAGGGGAACTGACAGTCACTGAGGGTGAGGTGCAGGCACAGCTGTGACTGTGCAGGACAGGGGCAGTTTCCAAAGGGCCTTGAATTCCGGGGAGGAGCATTTATCATTAATTTCATCAGAATGAAGATTTCCAAGGAAGAGAGGATAAGGGCTATGTTTTAGCACTAGTGAGCGGGCAGCTGTGGCCAGGATGTGACTGAGGAAGAATTGCCCCTGTGGGAGGAGGCTCAGAGCTTCTGCAAGAGCCTGAGAGGAAGGAATGAATTAGGGCAGGAAGTGCAGGAGCAGAAGAAGAGAAGAAATGCAGGGGGCATGGAAAGGAGGAATCTATAGAACCTATCCCTCCGCAGAGCTGGGCGTCAGAGCTGCCCAGAGGGTCAGCTTCAGAGTTCTGGGCCCCACTGCAGAGCTCCCAGCTCAGGAGGCCTGGATAAGGCCTGTGTGTGGCATTTCTAACAAGCTCCTGGCTGACAAGCTGCTGCTTCTCCTGGGTCCCATCCCGAGAGCTGCTGCCTGAGACCGACCCTGGAGGCGTCAAGACAGGAACCTGGGAGAGGCATGGCGGAGCTGCACCTGGGGAGCTGGTGGGCCCACCTGGAGCAGAGGCTTCCATGGGAAACCCAATGCTTGGAATTCTGTTCTCCTCCCGCTGGGGCCTGGGGACAGTCAGTCCCCTTTGGTGGACTTGGACAGCCAGTGCCAGAATCCCCAGGAGTAAATCAGGAACATGCAGAAGCCTCACTAGGGAAGTGGGGGACTGACGATGGTCCTAAGGAGAGGGCACCCCCAAAGCAACTGCTCCCGGGGGCCAAACAGCAAGGCTTTGAAGGGTGGGAACAGACAGACCAAGAATTCACATACAAATATGAAAAATGCCATCAAAGAGATGGCAGATATTGCCGGTATGAAACAAGAATATGAAACCATAAAACAGAAGCAAGTAGAAATACTGATGTGAAACACAAGTCGTGGAAAGAAAGATCACAATAGGGGTGAGTCGTAGAATGGACATGGAGCAGGTGCAAGCTGCTGTTTGGAGGTAAAACTGAGGAATGCCCTTAGAGGAAAGCAGGGAGGAAGAAAGAAACAGGATCTGCAGAAGAAGAGCTGAGAGATGAGGGTGAGCAGATGTGCCGACACCGGTGAAAAGAATTTCAAAAGGAAGTTACAGTAAGAGTGGAAGGAGGAAATATGTACAGAAATCATGAAAATTAATTTCCTGGAATTGAGGAAAGAGGACAAGCCACAGGTAAAAGAGTCCATGGATGCCAAAGAACAGAAACTGCAGGAAAACTCGCCGGCAGACATCTGAGTGCGACACCCAAGGTCACAGACAGCATCCTAAAGGCACTGGGGAGAAAGACCTGGCCATACCGCCCGGCAGGACAGGACCAACCGGGGCCTTTCAGCAGCAACACAGACAGGAAAGACGGTGATATTTTCAAAATCTAGAAGGAAAGAACATTAAAGCCAGCCAGACCCTCACGTAAACAGAAAGGACAAGATTAGAATGTCCTCAGGCTTACAAGGCCTCAGGAGATTCGCCACACAGACACCCACGCCAAGAAAATTTTTAGAGGACGTGGTTAAATAAAAGGAACAGCGAATCCAGGAGTTGCTATGAGAATGACGTGAAGTAAAGGTGACCAAATACAAGGACCAATTTGTGTTGTCTTTTTTAAAAAAGCTAAGATCAAAGAAAACATATTCATCATAACCCAAAATTCAATTCTTGATCATAGCCATGCGATAGGGGCTGTTGAGGGGAGACCAAGGGACAGAAAATCGTGCTTATGTTCTTGGCTGGGGAGGGGGAAGACATGGAAATCAATCAGCTCAGAATCTCCAAGGCTTGCTGACTGGCAGATGAGGGAGAAGGTGTGTGCAGTGTCCAGCGTGGATCCGGGGATTCTGGGTGCCGAGCAGAATGATGGAGCCGGGAACAGGCAGAGGAAGGCAAGGAGTGGGGCTGATGGCTTGGGGTGGAGGGGGGTAGAGGGGAAAATGAGCTGTCAGCAGCTGGGTAACTGTAAAAAATGCACCCGAAAAAACTCAACTGGAATGTCTCTGCATAAACCAAAGGCATTTCGGGTTTTCCTTCCAGCAGCAGGGGTCTTGCAGGAATGAAACTGGCTGTTTTTGTGTTCATTTGTTTGCTTCTAGGAAGTTGTGTGCTTTTCATTCAGGGATGGAACTATAGATACCAAAGAACAGGACTGTGGATAGCTCAGCGCAGGACTTGGGAGATGCCCGCTGAGTGGAGACAGAGCCATGGCCACCAAACTGTGGTTTAAACCCTATGGGGCCAACAGGACACCTTGGCCGCCCACACGCTGGAGGAACAAACGGTTCAGGCACATTCCCCTCGGACTCTTCCCTAAACTCATCTCGGCCTCATTTTCTTCTAAGAGAGGTACAAAGTCTACTCACAGGGTGAAGGGAAGTAGAAATTCCTCAGTGGGATAAGACAGGAAGGAAGTTCCAGACAGAACGTGATGCATGCATCCACGTGAAGATGTGAGCCTGTATGTGATGTTCAGATTACACTCACACAGACATAGAAATGTGAGCCGGGACATCACATACGGAGAACGGCGGCTTTTACTGAAGTGTGAGTCTCATGGAAATGAATAGCCAGAATATGGATATCAAATGAGATCATGCACATAAATCAAAGTGCTTTGCATCATAACATGCTAAACACTAGGTATTTCTATTATTACCTATATCAGAAAATGTGAGCACTAAATGCAACGGCCATTTGCAAAATTGTTTTTTAAATTGGAAAACATTACCAAAATGTCAATTATTAAATGATTTTTAATGAACCTTAAAGATTGGGGATATAGTAGAAAATGTAAATATCTCTAAATTAAACTAAATCCTTTACCAATAAAACAGCCAATTTGGCTGTTTTCCCAAAATAAAGGTACAGTCTATCTTACAAGAATTTTAAAATATTTATGTTTAATGAGCTTCCTTTTCAAGACCATGTGGTGATTAAAAGATAGATGTGATTTTCAGCTAAGGCTTCAAAATCTCTGGATGCAGGGTCTCACTGGGTACCCTGAACCCTGGACTCCAAGCTCATGGGTCTCAGCTGTTAGTTCAGCCAGTTTCCCCCCATTAAGGGACTAAAAAGCAGAGATTTATCAGACAGGGTCCCAAACTTTAAGGAGCTTAAAATATACTAGAGGAGAGATGACAAGTCCACAAATAACCATAGTCCAAGGTTGATGGGCTATTTATCAGGAAGCTGAGCCCAGAACTCAGTCTTCAGGTGCCTCCTCCAACACCAACTCCATCCCACCCAGCACCTCAACCGTCAATACCATCCACAACACTCAGATTGTGTGTCTGTTTCTCCAGCCTGATCTCTTCCTTGACTTCACACTCACATATCCAGCCTGGCGCATCCCACTCTGATGTCCAACATGCCTCACCAACTGGACGCGTCCAAAAATTAATTCTTAACTCCCCCAAAACCTGTTCCTCCTCCCACTTCCCCCTTGTCAGGAATGGTACCGACAGTCACCCAGCTGCTCTGATCAGAAGGCTGGGAGTCTTCCTCTCTTTCTCCCTCCTCTCCCCTCCCGCATCACCTCCCCCACCACACACTCCCCACCCCCACCCCCATCTCTCGCTCACTCATTCCTACATGAGGTTGATCAGCAAGTCCCACTGCATACAGTAATGCAGCCAAAACCTGCCTGCCTTTGCCCCAGCCACTGTGGTCTCCCCCAGATCACCTGTAGGAGCCTCCAAACAAGTCTCCTATCCCACCCCGGAGTCAGGTGGTGACACTCCATGCTCAGAATCCGCCAATGGATTCCCACCACACTCACTACCCAAACCTCTCAGCGAGGTCTGCAAGCAGCCTTCACTCCCGGGCTCAGCAGCTCCTGCCCTCCCTCACCAGGCACTTCCCTGCCACCGGTGGCTTCCCACCACAAAGGCTGTGTGCCTGAGGGTCCCTCTGATGGGGACGATCTCCACCCAGATCATGATGTGTTTTACTTCTCTGTGCCATTCAGATGTGTTCTCAAATGTCGCCTTCTCAGAGAAGCCCGCCCTGACCAGCCCAGTGACTCACCGCAAGCCCTGCCCTGCTTCATTCCTCTGTGCCACCCCTGGCATGGCATTTATCAGGGGTCTGCTCCTGAGCATGCATCTGTTGTCTCTCCACTAGACAGTGTCTGCCCTGTGAGGACCATACTCACCCCATCCCCTCAGGGCTTAGATGGAAACCCCTCAAGCTCTCAATAAATATTTGTTGAATTGATCAACAAATAAAGAAAGGTTCTGTATGTTATGAAGCCAAAGATATCACTTCTACTGCGAGATGGGCGAGGTCAGGCCACACCCAACGTGTCCAGTGTGTGCCCTGCACCTTGCACCTATGCTGCGATTGGGCTACTCCCTGGGCCAGGCAAGACACACAGGACACGCTGTGCTGAGCCAGAAGTGACGTCCACTGGGGCAAGCAGCTGCCACTAACGGTGGTGGCCAGGCTGCTCCATGACAATGGCCCACTTCGCCTCCCTCAGACCTTTCACTGCCTTTGGGGTGGGGGCTTCTCTCTTTCCTAATCAGGATAGTCAAGATGGGCAAACTCAAGTTCATGGTTCACCATGGTCTCTCCAGAATGAGTGTCGCCTACATCACGGATGCTGATGTTCCGAACACCCGCTAGTGGATAAGGGACATTTGTGCCCACGATGCAGGGCAGCATGACTGACACTGAGCCCTGCACAGAAACCGAGGCGGGAAGCTCCTGCCTCAGAGGGGCCGGGGCCAGTTCACAGGTGTGGGCCACGGGAACACACATGTGTGTGCTGTGTGCTGCGTGCATGTGTGTCCCGCCCTGGCATTCATCATTAGCTCTTAGAACATCGTAAAACTCTGCATGTAGCCACCAGGGCCATCTGTAACCGCTGCAGCCCTGGGTATCCACACCTATCTCCCAGCATTTTCCAGAAAGTTTCACTACAGCCAGGCCCTGCTTCCCTCAGGGCCCTCTCACACCTCCTCGCTCCCAGGGCCAGGCCATTGTCCACACAGTCCCCCCACCCCAGAACACCTCCCTTACTTCCACTACCCATTTCTTTAGAACCCAGGACAGATCCGCCACCTCTATGAAGCCTTCTTCTTCAACTCCTCTCAACGCCTTCTGCTCTGAGAACTCCCCCAGGGCTCAAGGTCCTCCTCTGTCTCACTGGCTCAGCCCCAGCACTGCCTCTGATTGCAGTGTATCTGTTTCCCTTAGGGGATCCATCTCCCAGCAAGGCTGTGCAATCCTCAGTGTCAAGGAACATGTTCTTCCAGATGTTTTGTTTGATTGTTTATCACCTCCCGGCTCCTAGAATAGTGTACGGTGCAGAGTATATACTCAACGGACAGTGGGAAATTGAAAACGGAGAGTGGAGATCATTCCACTTTAGCCTCAGAGAAATTCACAAGCATAGCTCATCACCTTTTCCTTCCAGCAGGCGGCATGGAAAAAATGTTCAGAATTGTCAACCTCAGGCAACTTGCCCTCTTTCATCCTCCATGTCCCCCGCTCCATACTAAACGTCATTCCTTTCTTAGAGTGGGTCGTGCTCGTCCCCATCCACTCCCACTTTCCCTGGCCAGGGCCTGGCCTAGGTGAGGCACAAGAGGCCCACAGGGTGCTGATGTGAGAAGGTGCCCTCCTGCCCCAGCTCCTCCGCGTCCTTCAGTTCTTACAGCACGCATCTCTTCTGGAAGGTCTCTTAGTCTGGGCTCCCCCGGCCGTGTGCTCCCTCTCAAGAACATGCTGCCCTCACCGTAGCTGCTCACATGACGTGTTTCCTCTCTGCTGGGCTGCAGTGGGGCTGAGGACCGAGACTGCTCTGCTCATGGCTGCCTCCCTGGCACTCAGCCAACAGCCTCTACGAGCGCCTTTTTCCAACCGAGATCAGCAATTGTCTTGCACAGAGACCTACAGAATTTCACTTAAGTATTTCTCTGAGCTATTTGGATACATTATTCCAAAAGTTCAAACTATCCAATAAATCAAGTAATTTTAATACCACGAAGAATAATTAGCCTGGGCAACATGGCAAGACCTCATCTCTACCAAAAAAAAAAAAAAAATTAGTCATGAGTGGTGGCTCACACCTGTAGTCCCAACTACTCAGGAGGCTGAGGTGGGAGGATCCTCTGAGCCCAGGAGGTCAAGGCTCAGTGAGCTGTGATTGTGCCACTGCACTGAGCCTAGACAACAGAGTCTCCTAAAAAAAGAACTGTCTTCGTTTCTAACCCACACAAGGAAAAGGTGTGATGGAAATCTCAGCTGAATCATATTAGCATTATCTAAGGAACGATAAATACAGAGAAATATAAATAATGTCTCAAATGCATGAGAAACAGTAGCTGTAGTTCCCATTCAAAAGTAACACACACATTGATTTTTTTTAATTCTGTTCATGTGCATATTGCTTCACTCCTTCAAGCTCAGTATTTGTACTTTCTAAGCATTTCTTTTATTTCTAAGCTCTGCACTTTTGCTAAACCCAACCATAAAAAACTAATTTAAGTCCAGGAAAAAAATAAATTAGTTTATTGATCTAATGTCTTTTTTACCCTTCAAATATTCTGTTCCCTTCCTTACTTCTACCATAAAAGAATTTTCTCTCCGACTTTCACTACTATCATTCTACATGTGATACTTAAGATTTATTCCAAGGCTGGGTGCAGTGGCTCATGCCCATAATCTCAGAACTTTGGGAGGCCGAGGTGGGCAGATCACCTGAGGTCAGGAGTTCAAGAGCAGCCTGGCCAACATGGCAAAAACTCATCTCTACTAAAAGCACAAAAATTAGCCAGGCATGGTGGCGGGCGTCTGTAATCCTAGGTACTCCAGAGGCTGAGGCATGAAAATCACTTGAACCTGGGAGGTGGAGGTTGCAGTGAGCCGAGATTGCACCATTGCACTCCAGCCCAGGCAACAGAGCAAGTCTAAAAATAAATAAGTAAATAAATAAATAATAGATTTCTTCCACTATCATTTCTAGCTTCTCCCAGAAGTATACACAGGTCTATCTACTGCACACAGCTTTATTTCTTTGAGAATAATACACTAATATTTATAGCTGCATTCTGGGAGCATGGAGGTATTCCCGGTACAGACTTGTGCACAAACATCTAACTTCCACCTGCTCGTCGCCACTGCCACGAGGTTACTCATGGCTCCACTGCTCTAAACGGCTCGACAGTTTACATCCTACTCAAAAGTGGACATCAGTTTTCATCGTTGGTATCACAACTGTTGACTGTAAATCACTCTTGGATGTTTTTAATCTACCCCCAAAGGAGAGTTAACTGACAAAAGCATAAGGCAGGATTAACTGTTTCTGCTCTTCCACCACAGCGTCTACCATCAGGGGACCATCACTGCCCACGGCGGCCTCCTCCTAACTCTCCTTGCTGCACGGCGTTTTCCCACTTCTCAGCCTGAAAGATCTTCATCTCCCCTGCGCCTTCTCAGCCCCTCCCAGGGCAGTCCTTCACACCTCATTAGTGCCCAGAAGCATCCCCAGGTGGATGTCTCGACCTTGCCTCTGCAGCCTCTTGGCCTCCCAGTCTCCCGCTTTCCCACTTCACCTTCCTCTAATCTGCACCAACAGCCGGACGCTGGGCCTGATGCCACCCAACTGACTGTGGCTTCATGTCCACACCAGCAATGGCTCCGCCTGCTGTGCCATGAGCCTCCATCCCTCCCTGTCCCTCTCTGCTCTCACCTCATGGACCAACTGCCCATCTGCCTTCTCCTCTCTCATCCCCAGCTGCTGAGTGCCCGAGAACACATGCAACTGCAGGCTGGTTCCACTACAAATCTTCAGCGTGCAGTCCAGCAGGGCTCTCAACCCTGCTCGGCAATCCTCCCATTCCATGTCCCTCCCACTGCCCCCATTCTCCTTCTGTCCATTCGCAAGACACAGCCTTCTCCCTTTTTAGAGTCCTTCTCCCATTTTTAGAGTCCATTTAGATTCTCCTGCCTCAGGCTCCCAAGTAGCTGGGATTACAGGTTCCCGCCACCACGCCTGGCTAATTTTTTATATTTTTAGTAGAGATGGGGTTTCACCATGTTGGCCAGGCTGGTCTTGAACTCCTGACTTCAGGTGATCCACCGGCCTCGGCCTCCCAAAGTGCTGGGATTACAGGCGTGAGCCACCGCACCCGGCCAATGTAGGCATTTTTCTTTATAAAATTCACTCTTAGAACTGGTTTTGCTGAATCCCATAAATTCTAGTATTTATTTCCATTTTTGTTGCTCTCAAGATATTTTTTTATTTCCCTTTTGATTTCTTCCTTGACCCAATGGTTGTTCAGGAATGCACTGTTAAATTTCCAAATATTTGTGAATTTTCCAATTTTCCTCCTATTACTGATTTCTAGCTTTGTATCATTATGGTCAGAAAAAACACTTGATATGATTTTAGTCTTACATTTGCTAAGACTTGATTTGTGGCCTAATATGATTTATCCTGGGGAATGCTGTGTACACTTGAGAAAAATGTGTATTCCGCTGCTGGTGGACAGAATGTTCTGCAGTCTGTTAAGTCTATTGGGTTTATGTTGTTATTCAAGCCCACGGTTTCCTTATTGACTTTCTGTCTGGATGATGTATTCATTGTTGAAAGTGGGGTACTGAAGTCACCTCCTATTATTGTATTGCTGTCTACCTCTCCCTTCAGTTCTGGTAATACTTGCATATTATATATTTAGGTGCTCCAGTGACAGTTGCATATATATATTGATAATTGTTGTATATTCTTGATGGGCTGACCCTTTTAACCTAATGTGGTGACCTTCTTTAGCTCTTGCTGCAGTTTTTCACGTGAAGTCAATTTGGTCTGATGTAAGTCCAGCTGCCCCTGTTCTCTTTTGGTTTCCACTTGCATGGGATATTTTTCCCATCCCTTCCATTTCAGCCTGTGCATATGGTTAAAGCTGAAGGCCAACCCAGATTATCTTCACAGCCACCAGGCCCGGAGCCCCTCCCTCACCTGCCACCTTCAGTCCATCATCATGACTAGCACCACTGTGAGCTTTCATTCATGCAAATGGGACCCACTGGCTGCAAGACAGCAAGCCCCTTGCCTGGTCTGTAAAGTATTTGTGGAACCTAAGTTCTGGCCTTGGGGCTGGCCACTTCCCTCACAATAGGGCTGAATTTCCTATGATGACAGTGTCGTGCTCCCTCAACACACTCTGCTTGTTTGTGCCTCATCCACTGTCGCAATCATAATCACAAACCCATTTCACGCCTACTATGCATCAAGTGTTTTGCTAAGCACTTTACATATATGAGGACCCTTGGAAGTAGGTATTATTATCATTTCCAGTTTTCCAGATGACAAAACATGCATTGAGGAGTTAGGAATGTGCCCAAGGTAACCGAGACACAGATGGCGGAGAGGAGATTTGCTCCACGCCAGACCCCCAGGCACATGCTAGAGGCCATTACACACACTACCTCCCTCCCACATGCTCTTCTGTCCCATGGCATTCATTTCCCCCATCTCTGCCAAGACTCAATCCAAACACCAGCTCCCCCAGGCCTGGCTCCTCCAGACCAACTGAGAGGCCTCATTATACCAACTGCAGCATTCTAGCAACTTGAACGGTCGGCCCACTCAATAGGGGTTTCAGGGAGCAAGACTCTTTTTTGCAATGCTGTATTCTCCACCCCTAGCACATGGTAGATGCTCAATGGTTTGTTGAATGAATAAATGAATGAGGCCAGTTAAAAGTAAGTGTAATACCAAGACTGAGAAAATACTATCTGCTTGAAGAATTAAAATTAAGAGTTTATGGTGAATCATTTTAGACCTTGCTGGTCCAGGCAGAAAACTCTCATAGAAAGAATAAACACAAGCTGCCGCCCCCTGGCTGTCCTAAAGGCGAGAGTCTCCTTACTTCCGAACGCCTCCTAGAGGGAAGACTTTTTCTCCGATCGTGGCCAGCACGATGTCCCAATCGGACAGACTAAATTTGGGTATAATGATTTTTGCAGGTGGAATAAATAATCTTCCATTTGTAAAAACACTGTAAGAATAAAAAGAAAAGCATCCATTAATACCTTAAGTTTGAGGGGGAAACATTGAAAATTCAATATATATACAATTACAGAACTGTAAAAACAATGAGATGCACTAAGCAGCCTCCAATACTTCATACTATGTCTTATTGGGGACCTTATCAAGCTGTACAGAATGTCACAGAGCCTGGTGACAGACGCGCGCGTGTGTGTATACCTATGTGTGTGTGTGTATGTGTGCTTTTGTTGTAGACGAAAACCACAACAGTGGGCTACAGAAAGAGCACTAGGAGTGAAGGTGCCTTAGGGTTAATAGTGGTTGCGAAACAGGAAAAGTTCTCTTGTCCCCCTCACAGAGCATGAGATGGGGGTGTGGCTCGCTTTTTCAGTGCCTCACTGCTCAAACCTCTAGGGGAGGCATACAGACGGGCAGGCTCTGGGGCTCCAACCCCACAGTTGTGACATTCTGGGCAGCTTGATAAAAATCTGGGTATTTTATAAAATCTAAAATGCCCAGATTAATAGAACATAACTCCACTTTTTATAAAACATGTCTCCCACTACTATAATGGGTAAAATGAAAGAAAATTGTGTCCATTTGGAAAACAGGCAGATAATTTTGCCTTAAATAATGTAGCTGTTTTCCCTTTCTCTGGAGCCGAGATCATCTCCCAAAGAAAATAACATGCATTCCTTTGAAAAGTTAATAGAAACCACTTATTCACTCCTGAGTTTTAAGGCAACTTCAATATAATCTTAGGGGTGTTAGTTTATTGTTTCTACGTGTTGAGGGAGAGGAAGTGCTTAGAAGATTTTCAAAACCCAACACAAAGTTAGTAGTGTTCATGAGACTATGCCATAATCAAAGACACATGCAATAGTTTCAAACTCTTGTAATTCACATTAAAATAATGTAAAATACAAGGTGTATCGAGTCTAAAAATAATAAATGATATCATTGATATCCTTTAACAATATATAAGCTCAACTTTGCAATTCTGGTTAATTTTTTTACATTATAATTTACTATTACTGCCATTTTTTGTCTTCTTCCTTAAATGCAAATAACTTAGAATTTGAGAAATATCTCTCTTTAGAGTAAATATAAATCTTAATTTAATATGTTTGTCACCATAAAGAGAGTCCATTTTCTCTGTTAAGGTTTTGTGGCAAAAGAGGCTTCCAATCAACCCAGAGTCCAACTTCTTCCATATTTAAGACGCTGCCCACAAGAAGTCATAAAAAGAAATGTTCCATGCAAGTTATATCAGAATTTATCCATGTGCTATTACAATTACAATAAAGATTTGCTACAATGTTTTCAACTATTGGTTTTCCTAATTGGTTTAGGCTGCAAGTTTTTCTAAATATAGATTACTAATAGGAATAAAAGTAATCAATGTTTAAACAAGGTCTTGTTATATTTTGTCTCAATTTTTAAGAAATTTAATTTATAATCTTATCCTGAGTATTGAGAAACAGGCACACCATCCCACTGCTGATGTAGCTGAAAATCAGCACAGTCTTCTTGAAGGACACTTTGGCAAAATAGATCAATGTAATATAAAGGATCAATAACCACTAACCCAGTCATCCCACACCATGAAATCCACCCGACAGAAAAGTGGACAAAGATTTAGAGGTGAAGATATTTCTCATAGAATTATGTATGAAGTCAAAAATACAAAATGTCTAAGTATGGATGACTGGTTAAATAAATTATGCCACAGCCACACCATAAATTATACAGCTGTTAAAAATTGTGTATGCAGAATTTATATCTACAGGGGAAAAACGGTCAGATATAATTAATGTTGTAGACAAAAACCACAACAGTGGGCTACAGAAAGAACACTAGGAGTGAAGGTGCCTTAGGGTTAATAGTGGTTGTGAACAGGAAAAGTTCCCTTGTCCCCCTCGCAGAGCGTGCAATGGGGGCGTGGCTCGCTTCTTCAGTGCCCCACTGCTCAAAACTCTAGGGGACATACAGACGGGCAGGCTGTGGGGCTCCGACCCCATGGCAGTATCTAGGGGTAAATGTTTCCAGCTCCTGAAGCCCCAGTGGGCCTGTGTTACAGGCTGCTCTTTGAGTTTAGCCGTCTGTATAGGTGGCTTGTGTTAATCAGCTCAATTAGACCCCTGCCTTGTTGCAAGAACAAAGGGCTTTGTATCCCGGGTTCTGGCCTTGGTGTACCAGAACAACTGGATCACATGTGGGCTTGGAGAATGAGTGCAAGGTTTTATTGAGTGGACGTAGCTCTCAGCAGATGGCGGAGCCAGAAGGGAGACGGTTTTTCCCTGGAGTCAGGCCTCTCGGAACCCCAGCACTCCTCTAACTGCCCCAGCCAAACTCTGTGTCGTTCTGCCGGTCGGCGGCCTGCCGGTGTGCCGGTGCCTGTTGGTGCGTTCCTCTTGACGTTCAGCCACTTGTGTGTTCCTCCGCCGATGTGCTCCTCCCGACGTCCAGCCATTTCTGTCTCTGCCTTGCCAGGGTCTCAAGCTTTTATAGGCACAGGATGGGGGCGTGGCAGGCCAAGGGTGGTCTTGGGAAATGCAACATTTGGGCAGGGAAACAAAAATGCCTGACCTCACGCAGGTCCATTGGGTGGCGCCCTAGCCAGGGACCATGCCCTCCTGTCCCCAGCAGTTCCCTTCCCCCTTCTGTATCATTTAAAGGGACTACACTCTTCCCAGCACTTCTATATCTGAGGGATGGGATAACTGGAGAATTTTATTTTATTCTTTATGCTTTTCTAGATTTCCACATTTTTATAAGCCTGTAAATAGAAAAATCTGTAAATTTTTTTGAATTTTTAAGATAAAAGAGAAGAAACAATAATCTCTGATTTATAAACTAGGAAATGGCAAGTTCAGAGGGAGAAATGGATTTCACACATCTCTAAAATTTGCTGGTTGAGCAGAAGAATGAACCTAGACCAATATCACCATGCCAGGTTTGGGGTCCGTGTTGTTCAGGGTCCGATGATCCATCTTCCAGGTAGCTGAATGAACAACTCCATCTAAAATACCCAAAAACAGTTTCCCTGGAAGTCTGTGATAGGTTGTGGATGGGCACACATCAAATCCCATCACTGGTAAATAAACACTGGTACATGTGAATTTTTGAATGCCTGGTACTCATTTTTGAAAGCACAATTTATATATGCTGATAAAAAACCATATACAAGATAAATTGGGTGGTTACAAGAAAAATGAAGGTACACAACAGTGCATGCAGTACACATATACCTATAAACGCCTGATCACGCATGGCCCATCCTAGAAAGAGACCAGAAACTGCAACGCTGGCTCCCTCTGGGGGAATCACTAGAGAACTAGTGATATAAGCTGGGAGGCTTTTTTTTTTTTTTTTTTTTTTTTTTTTTTCCCAGATAGACCAGCAGAAAAAATGTATTGCCCTTGGAGTGGGATGCTGAATATATCTCATCATATAGTTCATCTCAATTTAATTTCACTATCTCTCCTCTTTCTTCACACTTTGAATTCTCCTCAACTCTCTGCCAACAAAAACTTGCAATCTGATAGAGAAGTTGCACATACAATTATCTGTAATATAAATCAAACCCTTTGACAAGGGAGTAAAAACAAACATTAATTCCTTTTTTACTTTATTTCAATCTCATTGCTCAAAATGAATATTCAAAAATCAGGCATTTATCCAATCTGCCGTTAATGTGAAACACATTGATGTGAACTGTCAATGGTGCACTGAATTATTTATTTCTTACCAAATTTACCAAATTTCATCAGTTCAAATGTAGATTTTACTTCTTGTTGACTTATTTTTCTAACAAATTAGCAGTATTGACAGGCTGAAATTAATTTTATTTTTTTAATTTTTAATTTGGGAGACTTACTTTAAATGTATATCTCTTAAAAATATATATTTACCATTGGCATGAGTCACTCTGTTAAATAAGATGGTTTATTTAAATAAAAACTCTGAAGAGATTTCAAAAGGCATAAAACTACTTTGTCAATGCACCTCTTCCTGTGTTGCTACTTAATTTTTAGTAGTAAATAGGAGGAAAATAAAACATTTTAAACATTTTAAATAGAAAATATTTCAGATTGTTTAAAATGGGAAGTAGCATATAGGTCCAGGAATGGGTTTTGGTCAGGTGGGTTGGCGATGACAGCTGCCATTTCCTCAGCACTAGCCATGAACACTTTAGAGAGTCGTCTCTAACCTTTCCAGCAAATCAGTAAAGTGAGTCCTGCTCCCCCGTGACACAGAGGAAGAATCTGGACCTCTGAGAGGGTAAGGGGTTTCCCCAGGCCACATGGAGGCCACATGGAGAACCAACCACCCAGACCTTCCCCTGCATCCACCTCCCTCTACCCACTTATGTCTTCTCTGTTGAAAAGCAAGGTAGAAGGCATCAGAAATGTGCTGTTTCTCTCCGAAATACATTGATGATAGTAGGTGGGAAGAAAGCCAGGGTCGTTTTTGTTTCCATTGCCACGCTATCTTCAAATAGCCATGACCCACTGCAGTTGGGTAGTAAACGGGCCATGAACATATTGTGACATCCTGGGCTGGCCGCCTGCGCCCTCCCCTCATCCTGGGGTGAAGGTCGCCTAATGCTTGCTCTCAAGAACCAGGTCAAGTTCCAAGCTGAGTTGAACTGAAAAGTTCTCCACATTTGAACTCAGAAGCCATGGTCTTCGGGGCTGATTCTAGAACTAAATAGCTCTATCTCTGGACCTCTCATTCCCCCACTGAACTGTGAGCTCTCTGAGGACAAGCCTGCATCTGAATCTCTCGGTCTCCCCAGGGCCTGGCACCTGGGGGTACTCAGTCAATTCTGGATGGGCAGTGGCGGGGGGTACATGGATTGGATGGAGCCATTAGGGATCAAAGGAACAGATGAAGGTCTTACTCTCTTTTGGCCTCAATCTTCCATTTCCAAAAGTGGAATATGACTGCCTGCCTTATCTGCTGCATAGGCTTATAATGAAGGCAAAAGGAGGTTACAGGCATTTTGATTTGAAAAGGGTAATAAAGAGGCATTATTCTTTAAAACTAAGGTGTCATAACAGTTATTATTGTGTTTTTCTAAACTAAGATTTTGAGACAACCTGAAAGAAAACTGGAGTGATTTAAGTAACAGTTCACTCTAATCTTAAACTTTCTCGTTGAGAACTGCAGAATTCTCAGCATGTAACAACCCCGTCCATTTGGAAAATATACAATGTACAATGCACTGCAATTGAAATCATCAGGAAAAAACCTGAAACATTTGACCACAGCAAGCTCAGAAACCATGGGCTCTTTTGGGTCTGGACATTTGCTGGCTCGTGGGGAGAAACAGCTCAGCCCTCCAGAGGAGCGAAGAATCCTACCCCTCTGCTCATCACAAAATCACTGCCTGCCCTGCAGAAAGCAAACGTCCAATGCTCTTATAACTGCCACTAAACTCAACAGGAGAAGTCACCCTGCAACCTGAAGGGGACTCCACCACGCTTCTCACTGGTCTGGGGCAACGCATCCTACCCTTAGGACCTCCTCATCTCCTGCTCCGTTCCTCCGAGTCACCCACCTTCACCAGGGGTGGGTTTTGATCCTGTGCCTCACGACTTGCCTCTTTCTCAACCTCAAAACATTTCTGTGGGACCCCTTAAAGCAGCACAACTTCCTTCTCAGTCCTACCACCCTGTAAATCTGCTAGGAAAGGATCTTCTCCTGGATTGGGGTATTAGAATCCACTGTGTCCCCAGGGACTCCTTCCCTCTCATCTATGTTCCCCGACATGGTGTCCGACTTGCTTAAGTTCTTCTGCTTCCCTCCACCTGGCACTCATTTAACCAAAGACTTCAATCAGCTGTTAGGCAGGATTCCTCCACCTTTGTGGATAAGAAACTCCATGGATATTAGATGTATTTGGGATGCAGAACCCTATAAGATAGAAATAGATCCTTCCATGCCCCTCCACAAGATTTGCAAAAAATCATTTAAAACCAGAGGGACTTGAAAGGTACTGCCCTATATTTCCAATCCATGCAACACTCGCATTCCAGCCACTAAAAAGCCAAATGGAAAAAACATATATCAGCTGATCCAAGATCTGAGATCTATAAAAAAAAAAAAATGGTCAAACCCAGGCTTTCCTTGGTGCCTAATGCTAACACTATCCTGGCCGTGATCACTTTTAACACACAGTATTTCACAGTCATCATCAATGTGTGCACTGCCTTTTTTAGAATTCCCTACCATGAAAATTCCCCGGGCTTGTCACCTTCACCTGGGAAAATGAACCATATTCCTGGACCGTTATGCCTCAAGGATTTACTGAGGCCCCTACCTACTTCTCACACACCCTAAGTGCAAATCTGATGCGGGTAAAATTCCCAGGAAACTCAACTGTAATCCAACTTGTGGATGACCTCCTCCTATGTTCTGAAAGTTACTCAGGTGGGAATTGAACAATGAGAACACATGGACACAGGAAGGGGAACATCACACACCAGGGACTGTTGTGGGGTGGGGGGCAGGGGAGGGATAGCTTTAGGAGATACACCTAATGCTAAATGATGAGTTAATGGGTGCAGCACACCAACATGGCACATGTATACATATGTAACAAACCTGCACATTGTGCACGGGTACCCTAAAACTTAAAGTATAATAATAATAAAAAAATTAAAAATTAAAAAATTAAGAAATAAAAATAAAAAAAAGAAAGTTACAACAGCTCCCTTCTGCACGCTGAATGCCTCCTTAGGGTGTTAGCAAAAAGGACCGTGGAGTGGCTAGACACAAAGTTCAGTTATCCTGTGTGTCTGGTATCTGGGCTATGATATCTTGGTCACAGAAAAAAGCAATCTCTACAGACCAAGTTTCTAGTCTTCAACATTTTCCTTTCCTGGAAACAAACGAACAATTGGGAGCGAGAAAGTGGGGGTCTTGTGGGATGCGGTAGGATGTGGATGCCTAATTTCTCTCCAATTGCCTCCTCTCTTTAGGCCACGATAAGGGAGTCATCCCTGGACCCGGGAGTAAGGAACCCCCTATCTAAAGACACTTTCATGAACCTGAAGGGCTCTGTACTTTCACCCCCACCTTGAACTTCCCAATTACTCCCTGCCTTTGTCCTTCCTTGTGCATGAAGGAGAGGATCATGTCTTGGAGTCTTCTCCCCAAAACATAAAAACGTGGATTGCGAGAGCTTCACCGAGCTCAGGACTTGAGGCATGTCTCCTGCCTGTGAGCCAGGGCTGCAACCACCAGTCTTGTCCAGGCTGCCTGTCTCATTTGCAACTGGGTCGCCTATTAGACACACACATTCCTCATCCCGTTCAGACCCTACAGACCCCACTGCTTAATGAGAACACAGCATTTCTCTGTGGCTAAACTTCCCTCTTACGAAATCTACTGCTTTCCCCCTCACATAACCATACTACACCATCAAAGCCTTAACCCCTCCACTTGCTTCCTTTACCCGTGGTTAGTTAGTGGATGTTAGTGACACCCGTGTCACCAACATCAGATGATTGTCTCATCCTAGATTAGATTCATCAGAAACCCCTCTGCCCTAAGTAGATCTCGCTCTTTATGTCGATGGCTCCTATCTCTGGAGGGAGGGTGGGCCCTTCCAGGCTGGATATGCCATCACTAATCAGCACAAACCTCTTGGCTATCTAGCCCTGCCATGTGTTACATCAGCCCAGGTGGCTGAATGAATCATTTACTCGGGCTTGCATGAAGACAGAAGAAATGAAGGTGAAACATCCACGCTGACAGCCGCCATGCCTTTGGGGCAGTACGTGATGTTGGTGTGCCACGGAAATGGGGGATTTACGACAGCAGCCGGTAGCCCAGTCAAATAGCAGAACTTCTGGAGGCACTGTTACTACCCCAGCAAACTGCTCTTATTAAAACTGAGGGATACGGCATAAAGAAATCAGATGACACTTGGGAAAATAAGTGGGTTAATAAATATGCCAAACTAGAAGCCTCTTCCCCCACCGCTTGAGGAACCCACGTGGTTTCTAGGCCTTGGGACCACAGCCCTGGCTCGCACTTCAAGGTCCCAGACCCCTGGTGGGATGATTCAACCTCTGCTACAGTCTGAATCGTGTCCCCTCACCCCCCAGTTCATGTTGAAACCAAATCCCCAGTGTAAAAGCATTAAGAGGTGAGGCCTTTAAAAGGTGATTCAATCACGAGGGGGCTTAGGTTCACGAGTGGGATTAGTGTCCTTATAAAAGAGGCCTCAGGGAGCTTGTCTGCCCCGTCCATCATGTGAGGACACAGCAAGAAGGCACAACTGTGCAGCAGGGAACACCCCTCGCCAGACACCAAACCTGCTAGCACCTCAATCTCGGACTTCCCAGCCTCCAGAACTGTGGGCAAAAAATTTCTGCTGTTTATAAATTACCCAGGCTCACATATTTTGTTATAACAACCCAAACAGACACCTCCCTTGAAGGAAACAACTCCTTCAAGATGCCTCCCAAGGAAATAACACAAGAGAGCCACATGGCCCACCCAAGTCTGTCACCAGAGTCACTGTATGTGGTTTACACCTGACTCATCCCAGAAAGGTACAAATGCAGGACATACTGGACAAACAATGGCTTGAACACTTTAGCTTTTAGCTGGACCAAGCAGCTGTCCCTCACTTCATCTGCCAGAAACATACCCTTGGGAAAATTCTAAACATGGACTGAGGAAGGAGAACAGCTTACACTGGACCCTTCCTTCACTGACAAATACACTTTATCCAATTACCAGAGGCCCAGCAGCCAATATGTCCCCAATATGTCCCCACACTGATCTGCATGTTTTCTAAATAGTTAGAGGTTGTTCCACTGCCAAAATGCCTCCACGACATCAGTTGCCAACATTTTCCTGGAAGTAATCTATCCCACTTGGGGTATCCTCTCTATAATTTCTAATGAAAGATCACATTTCACTAGCAAAATTACACAAGCAATTATAAATACAATATATTAGTCGAAGACTGCATTGCCATTACACCCTCAGTCATCAGGCACCTCAGGAAGAGCCCACATGTCCAAAGTCCAATCTGGCTAAGCTGTCTGAAGAACTGGGTTGTCTATGGCCATGGGTGTTATCTGTCCTTCTTATGACTCCCAGATCCTCACCCCATCCTCCTCAGAAATGGCCCCCCTTTGAAACCACTACAGGAAGACCACGAGAATGCCCTACACCTCCTGGCTAACAAGAGATTCCAATTTAACACAGTCTGACATCCTCAGACACTGTCAGGAGTTAATTAGATACACACAGTCCTACAATCAACAAACTAAGGCCACCTTTCCCCTCAAACTCCTTGATCAGCCTTTACACAGTTTGAAAGTATGAGATCTGGTATTTTGGAAATGCCACCATCAGGAAACTAACCTTGAACCCCACACAAGAAAGGCCTTGTGCTGTTTTGTTCATTGCTGTCAAATTACAAGGTGTTCAACCTTTGTCCATGTCTCATGGCTAAATATATATATATTATATCATATATACATAGATATGATTCCGACTGGAAAGCACTCCAACCAGAGATCTCAAACCACAGTTCCATTGACAGCCTCAGGCAGCAGATGACAGCCAGAGGCAGACGACTGTCCCAACAACCGTGGAACAAAGCGGGTGATGCCATGACACAGTTGGCTTCTCTCCGAGATCATGGAACAAGAGCCCATAGATTCTCCTGCCTTTTCATACTCCCTAACAGACTAAATCTTCTCCCACAATTCCTGTATCTTCCTCCCAATTGCATCAACTACTCCTCGGTCCCCCGAACCACATCCAGCCTTCCACTGGGCCCTCCCTGTTTCCCTCCATCTCGATCTGCCTGCGCTTCCCTAGTGCGGTCATCACTCTCTCCTTCTCTTGGCTCACCAAGCAGCAGATGAGACCAAGAGGTGAATTCCTGGGTTTGCACTCACCGCCCCCTACCGTACTCAGTCCTGAAACTGAGACCCCCTTCATAATGGCCTCATCATACTCATACATATGGTCCTGACAGGAAACATCCCATACACACAACCAGAGCAGTCCCCTTCTGAAGTGGCACCAAACTGTAACTTCAAGGCCCCCAAGACTGGGACTATGACATGGCCTCGTGAGCTCAAGAACACGACAGTTCATGGGAAATCAGTCTAATAGACATAGCCTGTCTGTGGGACACAGGGAATCCTCCATGTCCCTGTAGCAAGACACATTCTGTTCTCATGAAACCGGAGCTCAGTGTAAGGGCCAAACTCCCTTTAGACATCATCTTCCTTCAACACCCCATGATGTCAGCATCACAGGAAATTATTTGGCAAAGAGATCAGGCAAATGGAATTGCTGGTTAAACAGGACTAAAAGGCGCAATCAGTGAGAAGATGATGGTTAATGTTACATTTCTCCCTTTGGGATCTACTCCCGGTTAGCTCTTCAAGCCTCTGTCACAACCAGTACAGGCAATGACCAACCCAATTATGCTCAGAAGGGTCATTATTGTGTGTGTGGTCATAAGACATAGAAAATGCTTCCAGCCAGTGGATGGGCTCCTGTCACGTGGCCAGTGCTGACCTTCAAATGGCTAAATGTGACAAACTTCGCAAAGGAGACTCAGAAACGTGAGTGCTGCCCCAGCTGCTGGTCCTGAGACTTGTGGACCAAGCATTAGTGGATGGGAAGCCGTCTTAAGTGGGTTCTGGAAGGACCTGCTGCCTGGAGCCAGCCTGGTAGGGTGGTCTGTCCCTCCCACTGCACCCTCGCCTATGGTGACGGATACACTATAAGGTTACAAAGGGGATCAGCAAAGCTAGCCCCCCAAGAACTGGAAGATTCTGTCTCCCACTTAGGACAAGCTGCTGCATCATTAGCTCCAGAAGTGTCAGAACTTTGTAAATGACTCCACAAAATGGACTAGCCTCAGACTGCTGACTGGAAACCAGGGAGGTGTTCGTGCACGAGTCAGTCCTCAGTGCCACCTGTTTGTAGACGACACTCGAGAGGAAATTTGTCAAGAGACAGTCACAGCAAAGGCTCACACCCAAGACATAGCTTGTTGGAGGCCAAAAGAGTGAGGGCCGTGATCAACTCAGTATACCACTGGAGGCTATATGAGTAAGCAGCAAACTTTCTCATAAATGCAGAATGTTGGCAAACTGACAAACTGCACACGCCACCCAGAAGGACTGCTGAGGGCAGTCACGACCCAGGCGCAAGTGTTTCTTGTGATTAGGCATAATTGAAGCCTGTTAGTAATAATATGAACCTGTGATCAATTAAGCAGCTGACCAGTCGTTATCTCCTTCTCCCTGCTCATTCTACCCAATAAATAGGAAGGGCTGTGGAAGCTCGGGGGGCGGGGGCTGCCTTTGCTCACTAGAAGCAGGGGGCTCTCTTCTTCCCCTGGTCCTTTCCTTAAAACAGTTCCTTTTGTTTTTTGTTATTATTTCTACATTCATCCCTTTGTTCTGTCGTAATGATGGTCTCAAGCAGTAACAGTAGTAACTGTAGCAGTGGCAATCCGACACAATAGCTAACACAGCTTACAACCTCCAGAAAAGCACTGACTTGCATCTCCCTTTAAATAATTTCCTCCACTTACTGGATGGTTTAGGGAGCTCCTTAAGGGACTCGGTTTCTTTATTTTTTTTTAAGAGATGGGGTCTCATTATGTTGCCCAGGATTATCTCAAACTCCTGGGCTCCAGTGATCCTTCTGCCTCAGTCTCCCAAAGTGCCATGATTACAGGCTTGAGCGACTGTGCCTGGCCTCTGGCTTCTTTGTATCCATCCCGATGGTCACGCTTTCATCTCCTGATGCATACCACCCTCGTGGGAGGGTTGTGCTCCTCGGCTGTCTCTCAGCTCCTCCTGAATGCACAGCAGCTGGAAGCAACGGCTGGACCCTTCTCCTCAAGTCCCCCTTATGACAGGTGGTGGTTGTTCTACAAGGAATAGATCTGCTTGTCTTCATGAACAAGAGGAGGGACTGAGTTTCACAGAACTCTGGCCTATGACAACTCTGTCCCAACTCCTGCGCTGAGATACAACCAAACTCTAGCATGCGTCCAGCAGCATCAAGCCACAGCCATAGGATGACCCTAGCCCCGCCACTAAACACCCACCTGAGAAAACCCAGGGCTGCCAGGAACATTTACTGTTCATCCAGCCAACACCTGAGATAGGCCCCTGACCTCTCCTTCTTAGAGCATTGACAAATATGCAGCTCTTGCCATGCAGACACGTTTCCCACACCTAAGATCCTTCCCTTGAACTGCAAGCATCAGGCAGGACAGGGCCTGTCTCCCAGTCTCTGGCGGAGGACAGAATCCTAACTTCCAGAACTGCCAGCTTGCAGACCAGCTGCCTGGCCACCTTCACTGACCAACTCTTTGTACTTTTCCACTTCTCTGATTCTCCTGAGGCCCCACTTGCTCCCATCTCATTCCCCCTTTAAAACGCCCAAATCACTTCCACACAAATCAGAGTGGAACTCAGCTCCTTCCCCAACTCTCAGTAGTTACTAAATAAAATCTGTTTTTGCCGCTTTCACTAATGTCCAGCTGTGTCTATCTTCGACGTCAGTCTCGCAATGAGGGCCAGGACCAATGGCCCCTTCTTCTCCAGTTCTGCCTGGCACAAACGTGCCTCCTCCCCACAGAGGAGCCCTGGGGTGGGCTCTTCTCTTCCCACTCTCCCTCTGGTCTCAGGCTCCCTGTAAAGGGCAGGGAGTCCCCAAGTAAAACCACTCCAGGGCCCAGACAACTTTTGCCAGCTCACTTCTAAATAAACGACAAAAGATCTTTTAAACGCTTTTTCTCCCAAGGCTCATTCACTGACTCAGGGTGTTTTCCACGCCAGTATAAGTGGAATGAGTGAGTGAATCCCTTCCTAAGTGACAAGGGACATCAGAGAGAACACTGGGCAAGAGAAGTGACCTCAGGCCACACGGCTCAATCAGTGCCAGAACCAGGGCTTCAATCTGAGCCTCAACCTCCAAATCAGTGACTTCCAACCCATGCACTCACCACCAGCTCAATCCCCCGGTGACCCCATCAGGGGAGCCCCGGGCTCTCTCTCCAGCATCTGGCTGCTGCAGAACACAGCTCAACAAGCCATTCACTCCCTCGCCAACTCTCCTCTTCACCAGAAAGGGTCACACCCCGCCTTTCTCTCCTGAGCATCTAAGCCTCTGAAAGCCGTCATAACTACTGTTTATGTGTTTTTATAGCGACAAGGACTCCGAGGAACACGATCAGGTTTATTTGTGGTAGGAAGGACTCTGCACTCACATGGATATTTGGGTCCATCTAGTGGAAATTCCAACACACCAAGACAAAGGATGGGCAAATGCTGCAAGACTGTGTTGGTTTCTCATTGAAAAAAATAATCATGTCTGTCCAGTGAGTGAGGATCATTGATGGCCTGGGTCACGCACATAAAATGTGGCTTTAAGGATGGCGTTTTTGTCAAGAAGGACCCACAAACCAACGACGTTCCCTGAGGTTGCTGTATGTTCTGCGGGAAAGACATCACTAACAAAATTCAGAAATACTGTGTCTTATTATTTCAAAACAGCTCTTAGGTACATGAAAAGTGGTGTGGAAAGATCTGTGTATTTAGGTGGCCCCCTTGTGGAAGCTTAAAGTATTTTAAAGAAATGGTCACAGATTTTCAGGAAAAGCGCAAGGGGCCAAGTTTGGCGAATTCTCGGCCACATTTCCTTCCTCTTTCTCGTTCCCAGCCTGAGGATCTGTCGGGTGAATCAGGCAGTTTCCAGCCTCATGAGCCTCCAAGCCCTTGCCTCTCGGGACTGCGAGGGGACGTGGTAGAGGTGACTCTGGCTCACACAAGGCTGGGACCCCCACATGAAGAGCTCAGCATTCTCTGGAAACTCGCTAAAATTCCTTCCATTTAGACTAGAACATGGTAAAATGGAAAGATATCCATGTCAGGGCTTTTAATCACTAAAATGCTAGAACATCCCAATAAAAGGACAGGGGGAAGAGCTGCCATTCAGAGAACTGCTACGCTGTGACAAGCCCTGGGGGGCTGGCTGCAAACATTCCTGAAGCTAACCCTCACCACAGTGTGCTGCATATTCTCAGCCCTGTTTTCCACAATGGGAGACATCCTCAGCCTCAGAGCGAAGCAGCAGGCACAGGTCCCAAGCTGATAAGACGAAAAGCCGGGATGTAAACCAACGTTTCGTTCAAGTCAAGTGTGTGTCTTTTCCCAACCCCAAAAACATAATGCAGGTGGATGCACACAGTGCTCACAACTATCCCCAGTGCCTCCCACTGAGCACCTCGGTGCCTGGCACTGCCAGCGGCATCCCAGGGCAGCGGCCAGTGAGGCTCTAATGCACTCCGTTCCTGTAGCAACACCTGACTTGGATGTGCTGTAGCCCATGAGGGCCTTTTGGTAGCAAGAGGTCAAGGGGCGGGGGAAACAGCTTTTAAATTTCCCTTCAACATGCTGCAGCTGCAACTGCTACATTAAAAAAAAAATCAAAACAAAGCTTCAGAGCCTAAAACTAAGCTGTGTGTATGATGCTCTTATCTTCATATCCCCAGGTGAACTGTTCTGCAAACAACGGCATGGTGATTGGATTGCTTTTCTTTTCCAAAATCAGGGTTCAAGAGGAGAAAGAAAAGGTAGCACATGAACAGCTGAATCAGAGAGAAGGTGGTCTAGGAAAAAGAAATCACCTGTCAGGAAGTGAGAGCACAAGAGAGCAGGGGGAGGGGAGGGGAGGAGGGACAGAAAGGGGGCTGAGGGGCATTTGTCAGGATAGAAAGTATTGTTTTTAGGGAGTTATGGCACAGTTTGATTTTTTCACCCATAATATTATACTCACTTTATATGTCGAGATATACGATGATATGTTTGCCACTTGGAAGGCACATTTATATCACAATGCACCACTGGTTTGATCTGAAAAAGGAAAAAACACACCTGGGAATTCAGTTCAAATTAGCCAACACTCATCAAACTCAACAGTGTGCACAGCACTGCCCTAAAACATAAGAAAGGGGGGGAACCCCTTTGTCAATAGAACACCCAGGGGCGGGTCCAGGAAGGATGCAGAGAGAGGCAGACCAGGTGCTGGGGGAGGAGAAGATGCCAGCAAGTGCAGCGCGAGGGGGTCTGGGGCTGAGGGCTCTGCGCTGCACATGGAGGGAAGTGCAGGGTGCGGGGGCTGGGCTGACGGGCAAAGGTGGCACCAAAGGTTGTGTGTCCATGCTAGGGAGGCTCCCCATGGTCCCCAAGAAGCATGCGTCAATGGCCTACTATGCCGAGGAGCTTTGCTGGCCAAGTTATGGGGCCCCAAGAATGGACATGTCACTTCTGATTTCATTACAAGACTCCAACCAGAATGTCCTGGCCAGGAGGCGGGAGCCCCTCCGCCTTCTCTCCTGTTTGCTGTGAATGCAGCCTGAGAGGCCGGGCCAACCACTATGGCCTGGTGACAGCTTCAGTCTCAGGTCCACTGCAGATAAGACACAAAGGGGGAAAAGAACTACTGAGACCTGTCCCAGGTAAGCAAAGCCTGTCATCCTCACGGCCCTACTGTTTAAGAATGTGCAGAAAAGCAAATGGGGGGAGCTCTGATTGGGAAGGGATGTTAACCCCCAACCCTGTGCTGAGTGACAGGGTCCTGGTCCCACCCACAAGGCTGAGGCTCACCGAGGACATCCCAGCACCTCAGGCCTGGCCTTCCTCTGAAGAGCTGCTCCCCTGTCCACGTTCCATCTCTATATCCCCAGCCCACCAGGATAAGAAGCTTGGGGTCCCTTCACACCTCCCACCCCTGGTTTCCCCTGGATTGGGACCCTGTCTGCCACTGCACACACCTCCACTACAGTCCCACTACCTGGTTCACACACCCCCACCCCCCACATCTCTCACTTGGACGATGGTGACATCCACTCAAGGGATCCTCGCCAGGGTCCCGCTCTGTCACCTCCCACGGACACCATCGTCTTCCCGACAACACCACTGGGTGCAGTCTCCCTCCCGGATCCACCCAGCAGCCTCGTCACTCTCTGCTTGTCTCCCTCCAGGATCCACCTGGCAGCCTCATCTCTCTCTGCTCATCTCCCTCTGGGATCCACCGAGCAGCCTTATCACTCTCTACTCATCTCCCTCCGGGATCCACCTGGCCACCCTCATCACTCTCTGGCAGTCTCTCTCCGGGATCCACCTGGCCAGCCTCGTCACTCTTTGCTCATCTCCCTCTGGGATCCACCTGGCAGCCTCCTCACTCTCTGCTCATCTCCCTCCGGGATCCACCTGGCCATCCTCGTCACTCTGGCGGTCTCCCTCCAGGATCCACCTGGCAGCCTCCTCCCTCTCTGCTCGTCTTCCTCTGGGATCCACCGGGCAGCCTCCTCCCTCTCTGCTCGTCTTCCTCTGGGATCCACCGGGCAGCCTCCTCCCTCTCTGCTCGTCTTCCTCTGGGATCCACCGGGCAGCCTCCTCCCTCTCTGCTCGTCTTCCTCTGGGATCCACCTGGCAGCCTCCTCACTCTCTGCCCCTACACCCTCCATGTTATGCTCCTTCAGCCACCCTGGTCCCCAGCCAGTCCATGTGCTTCCCGGGGCCTCTGCTGCACAACGAGGGTCTCTGCTCGAGCCCCCACAGCCTCTCCACCTCCAGGGCACATGTACACTGCCCTTCCAAGGCCCAGCGCTGGGAAGCCACCCCTAAGCTGACATCAGAATCGATCATCGCCCCCGCCGGCACTAAGCCAAATTCATTTGGTGTCCTTCCTACTGCCTACTTCACACCCACCCAGGAAACTCCCAGCATAGACACCATGGTGCGGGCCCTACCTGCACCCCATCCCCCAGAAGGTCGGGGGCCTGAACCTGTCAATAGGGCCTCCTTCCACACCTAACGCTGCTAATCCACACCCTCCCCTCCAAGCTGCAGCCCCCTCTCCCTTCCCAACCCAGACCCAACTTAGCACAGAAGAGGTTCCAGCAGCTCAGCATCTGAGTCCACTGCCAACAAGGAGTTCAGGTGGGGCAAACGTGTCCCTCCCTCACTTCCCAGCTCTGCCCTGGGACTCAGCTCTTGAACCTCACCTCTGCCAGGGGTCTGCTGCCTACCCACTTGCCCACACCAATGTCAGGCCAACAACTGGGGAGCTCTGCTCCCCAAGTCAGACACAGTGGTAGTAACTCTTCATGCCTGGCCCAGCAGGGAGGGTCCTCCTGGGGCCCTGCTTCTCGACACCCAGACCCCAGCCAGGTTTCACAACACACACAAAACCACGAGACAAACCACTTAACCTATTAATGTTACAGGAGCTCGACGACATCACCCCACGTTGAGTAAATGTCATCTACGAAAGTGCCATGGCCAAGGACAGCACCCAAGCCATGCACCCCAGATGCACAGTGAGAGAGAAGGAGCTGCATACCTCATTAACAGAACTGTGTTTTAAAAGAGGAGAGGGGACAGGAGTTACTCTGGGTCTTCTGTCCCTGAAGGAGACCAGGGAGGTGTGTCTCATGGGGGCTTTGGAAGAAGGGTGAGAGGAACCAAGACAGCCACAGTCACTGCAGAGAGGCCACTCTGGCACCTCCCTGGGATCCTACAATGCCTTTCGTCAGAATAGAGAGCTGCACGAGAGGCAGCGAGAACACAGTGAATCTCAGAAGCAGCCTGGCAGACGGGAAGACCCCAGGCTTTGGAATTGGTCAAATCTGAATTCAAATCCCAGCTCTACGTCTTACCGTCCATGTGGTCTGGAGAAGCAGCTACACTTCTCTGAGCAGCAGCTGATTAATTTTTAGAATGGATCTCATCGTGCGTTACAGAGTTCTTATGAGAATAATATTGAGATAACAATGAGAACATTTCATAAAAGGCACAATGCAATACCTATAACACAGTAATAAATATTCAATTCAATAAATGAGAGTGCCACACACACACAAACACACAGAAACACACAGAAACACACAGAGAGACAGAGAAGGGGGAAGGGGGGCTGTTCAGGTACCTCTATCTTGTTATGGCTCAAATAGAATTGCTGATTTTATCCATAGCCAGTGGATCAACCCAGGCTTCCCCATCTCAGAAAATGGTGCCACCCCGGCCCCATTTGTTCAACTACAAAATCTGGGAGGCGTTCTTGAGTCTTCTCATCCTTTATGCCATCTGCGCATCCGTCAGCTCCACTTCAAAGCCACACCACGGACCCTTCACTCCTCACTGCCTCCACCATCTCTCCCCTGCCCCGAGACAATCCTTCCCTCATGGCAAGCAAAGTAGCCTTTGTAAACACAAGTCAGAAGGCAGTGTGATGTCCCTCAGTAAGGCCTGCCCTTACTCTACCTACCCCTCACACTGAGCCTCGGGCCATGCAAGCTGGCACTGGCTGCCTCTCTGCCATGTCTCTGCACCCCTCCCAGCCTCCCTGCTCTCTGGCCATGCTTGCATTCTTGCAGTTCCTGAAACATCAGCCCATTCCTACACAGGACCTGAGCCTGGAACATACTCACGGATCTTTGTCTGGTTTGCCCCTCTTACTTTAAGAAGTCACTTCGACGTCAGCTCCTCACAGAAGCCCTCCCTGCCCAGTCACACACCTGCAGTTACTTTCATCCAAGCACTTCATCCTGCCTCTGCTTTCTTGTTTGTGTATTTGCTTCCATCGTCCTTTGTAGAATGGAAGCTTCTGAGAGCAGGGACCCTGGTTGTCGTGTTCAACCAAGTACCTTCAGTGCCTGAACGATGAGTGACCCCTAACAGGAATTCAATAACTATTTCATGAAGACAAACGAATAATGGATGAGTGAATGCTACCATGACTAGGGAAAAACAGCTCTGATGCTCTGAAAAGGATTCCAGGAAAAGAGAGGCCATGGAAGAAGGTGGAAATGCACACCTGCATCCATTCTACCCTATTATCATACTATATATAAAATTATATACACCTGCATACTCATGGTAACAAAACTAATGCCATGGGTACCAACAATGAACATGAATTTACAGACCTAGTTTGAAAACAAAACAACGGAAATTATCCTCTGCAAAATTCTATTAAAATACAGCCACCCTAAGTACCAGCTTTCTGCTTCATTGCATAAAATTATGGAAACAATGAGCTAATTGCTCTTTTGAGGTGTTAATGATTCATTAACCCTGCTATCACCTGCCTAATTAAATAACTCCAGCAATCAAATAATGTGATTCTGGATTTTTTTCTCTGTACTTCATAAAATAATCTCCTGAACAATGTCAAGCTTATGTATCTGATGGTGATGACAGCCTCATTCACACTTGTCAGAGCCAAAGACTCACATCAGTCATCTGTCCTGAGAGGCTGAAGGACGCCATGAGCTTTAGACCTCTTCAACCAAGGCAATTCAACCAAATCTAAATCAAAGACGGAAGACTCAAGATGACCACAGGTGTATCTCCCCCAAGGAGCAACTACAGGTTATTGAATACCCACCATGGATCAAGCATTGCAGTAGACTCTTTACCTGCATTCATACCTAACCCTCAACATAACCAGGCAAAATATCTAGGTAACAAAGAATCAGAGAGGTTATATCATCTTCCCAACAACATACAGCTATTAAGTGTCCTGGCCATGATAAGCCATCAAAAAACATTTTATTTTACTTTTTAGCAAAATGAGTCCTGAAATCCATACCCATGTAGCTTAGTACTCAGGAGCCTGTGCTTTGGATCATCCAGGATCCCAGTACTGGCTCTGCCACTTACTAGCTGTGTGGCCTTGATCAAGTTGTATAACCTCCCTGAGCCTCAGCTGCCTCCTGCATGCAATGCTAATAGCAGTAGTGCACACCTCATAAAGTTGTTGCCTCCAAAGTGAGTAACACGAAATGAGATAACACATTGTCAAGTGCTTAGCAAATGACTGTAATGAGGATTCAGTTGATAACAGTGTATTAGTTTGTTTTCACGCTGCTGATAAAGACATACCAGAGACTGGGCAATTTACAAAAGAAAGAGGTTTAATTGGACTTATAGTTCCCTATGGCTGGGGAGGCCTCACAATCATGGAGGAAGGCAAAAGAGGAGCAAGTCACATCTTACATAGATGGCGACAGGCAAAGAGAGCTTGTGCAGGGCAACTCCCATTTTTTTAAAACCATCAGATCTCATGAACTCATTCACTATCACGAGAACAGCACAGGAAAGACCTGCCCCCATAATTCAATCCCTCCCACTTGGTTCCTCTCATGACACATAGGAATTTTAAGAGTTACAATTCAATTGTGGGAGTTCTTCCCACGGCACATGGGAACCGTAGAAGTTACAAGATAAGATTTGGGTGGGGACATAGCAAAACCATATCAAAC
Source organism: Homo sapiens (assembly GCF_000001405.40). Taxonomy (NCBI): domain Eukaryota; kingdom Metazoa; phylum Chordata; class Mammalia; order Primates; family Hominidae; genus Homo; species Homo sapiens. The sequence goes on along the minus strand of NC_000002.12, from coordinate 3,721,585 downwards.
AGCAATTATTGTGGCTTTGTTGTTTTGTCTTGGGCTCCAAAGTCTCTGTTCTCTCCACCTCTCCAATGCTGCTCCAACTACCCTCCATGAACATACCCTCCATGGCCCCTTCCACACAAAATATCCAACTAAAAGCCTGCGAGAATCTAGCATCAGGAAAGGACTTCACTACAGGAGGATCTCATATGAAGCAAATTGTTTTGATCAACTCTCATATATTCAGCACCATGCAGGATGAATTCACAGAAAAGGCTCTGCTGAACAACCCTGCAGCAGGTGCTGCAGGGTTCCCCAAAGAGACACATGCCTCCCTACACAATAGGAAGAATAAAAACTAGAACAGATGCAATGAAATAGAAAACAGGGAAAAAAATAGAGAAAAACAATGAGCCAAAAGCTGGCTCTTTGAGAAGTTCAATAAAATTAATAAACCTGTAGAGGGACATATAGGAAAAATAGAAGACACAAATAATATCAGGAATGAGAGAGGCAACATCACTTGAGTCTACAGATATTAATAGAATAAGAGAATGTTATAAACAACTTCATGCCAACAGATTCAACAACTTAAACGAAATGAACGAATCAAAAGACAAAAACTAGCAAAGTTTACTCAAGAAGAAATAACCTGAAGAGCCCTATATTTACTGAAGAGTTGAATTTGTAGTTCAAACTCTTCACACAAAGACAACGCTAGGCCCAGATAGCTCCACTGGTAAATTCTATCAAACATTTAAGGAAGAAACAATACCAATTCTAGACAAGATCTTCCAAATACCTTTCCACCAAGACAACAATTCAACAAGTATAAAAAGGATACTCTATGATCAAGTGGGGTTTGCCCCAGGAATGCAAGGTTGGCTCCATATTTGAAAATCAATTCATGTAATTCATAATATTAACAAACTAAAAATGGGAAATCATCTGATCATCTCAGCAGACATAGAGAATGTCCTGCCCAGTCCAATTTAAATCCTAATCCTACATCCCATTGAGAGTTTCTCCCCTTAGCTCAAGCCTGACCCAGCTGCATGTGGGAAGGGTACATGGTTATTTCATTGTTTCACAGTATTTTACTCTGCCTTCGACCTCCTCCTCATCTTGGCATCAGAACAAAAGAGTGTCTAATACAACTGGAGCTACTGTCATCTGACCTCCTATGTCCTCTTCCTCGGCAGGTGTCCAAATGTGGCTCTTTAGGGAGGCAGGGAGAGTGCAGGCTTTAGTGAGTTCCTCTGAAAACCTCACAGAGACTCCATGCTGGACTGTTCCTGATGCAGAATGTTTCTGATACTTTCCGCAGCTGACTCTTGCTTCAAACCACAACGTTTTGCTACGTCCTCACAGACCCTTACCATGGCTGGCAACGATTCTTAAACAACTCAAGTCTGGCCACCTTCTAAGGCATCCATTTGCCTCCCAAGGAAAGACACACACCTTTGCCACACCAGCTCCCCAGAGGGGACAAGTGCAGTTTCCACAGCTGCTGCCTCCCCATGCTGTCTTCACAGGCAACACAGAGCCCACCATCCTTCAGGTGCTTTGAGGATGATGGAAGCAGGTGCCACCTGCACACTCACCTGCAAACCCAAACCCCTGGCACACGGGCTGGGTCGTCCCAAGCACACCCTCACCCTCTCAAGAGGTGCTTTACCCTGCAGCATCCGACCTGGTCCCTCCTCCAGCATCCCAGAGCTCTGAGCTATTCTCTGGAGCCTCGCCTCTGATTTGAAGGAGCATGAGGCACCCACAGGGAGGAGAGAGAAAATGCCACAGCATCCACTACTGTCTATAGTTTCTTCATTCAATAAACTTACTTACAGTCCTTATATAAGGTTTAAGGGTGATGTCGGAGGCTGGTTTGGTACCTGAAGCCTCTCTCATGTTTTTACACCTGACACTTTAGAACACGGGGAGTGTCCACCAACATTCCAAGACATCAGGCAAAGCCCCGTCGAACCCCCTGTGGGATGGGCTCCAGAGGCAGGGGGATGCCTGACATGGCTGCCCCATCCCCATTATCATGGCCTCCAACCCACGTCAACTCTAATCTTCACGGTGACCCTTCAGCATACTAGAAAAGGCAGGAAAGAGAAAGAAAGCAGCTCCAGCTCGGAATGAGGAAGCAGAATTACACCCAATGTGGACAGCCAGAGGCTTGGGAGGCAGCGGGAAAGAGCCCCTGGAAAATGAAAACAGCTGGCTGGGCACGGTGGCTCACACCTGTAATCCCAGCACTTTGGGAGGCCAAGGCGGGCAGATCATGAGGTCAGAAGATTGAGACCATCCTAGCTAACATGGTGAAACACCATCTCTATTAAAAATACAAAAAAATTAGCTGGCATGGTGGCGGGCACCTGTAGTCCCAGCTACTCGGGAGGCTGAGGCAGGAGAACAGCATGAACCCGGGAGCCAGAGCTTGCAGTGAGCCAAGATCGCACCACTGGACTCCAGCCTGGGCGACAGAGCGAGACTCCATCCCAAAAAAAAAAAAGGAAACAGCTGCACCAAGCCTGCAGGATTTTGTAAGGCACTGAGATAGTGAGAGGTGAAGCCAGCTGGACTTCCTGGGTCGAGTGGGGACTTGGAGAACTTTCCTGTCTTACAAGAGGGTTGTAAAATGCACCAATCAGCGCTCTGTAGCTAGCAAGAGGATTGTAAAACACACTAATCAGCGCTCTGTAGCTAGCAAGAGGCTTGTAAAATGCACCAGTCAGCAATCTGTAGCTAGCAAGAGGATTATAAAACTCTTTGGGTCCGTGCCACCTTTAAGTAACACTCACTGCAAAGGTCCGTGGCTTCATTTTTGAAGTCAGCGAGACGACAAACCCACCGGCAGGAACCAACTCCAGACACAATAGGAAAAGCCTCCACCCAGCACAGAGCTTGTTTCAGAGTGTATGCTCAGTGAGGGTCTGCTCATTTCCAGTGTTAACTGCATGGCGATGAAAACAGACCCCCATCTTTTGTATGCTGCCCCCTAGTCCACAAGGCCCTGGACTTTCTCAGAGAGCATCAGCCAGGCATGTCCCAGAGCTGAACACAGGTGAGGTTCACTCCTTGGGACCAACCTGGGGTCTGGCCACGTGAATCTCATTGATAGAAACAGCCACACACTTGATTTATGTATCATGCACCCACAGAGGCACTCCCTGCTAAAAAATATAAGGAGAACTGATGCTCTCCATGCCTCCAAAATTGCTGACTCTAAGAGCCAGAGAAGCCGTCCCATAGAATCAGACAGCCAGACGGTTTGTGGAGCCTGTGGTTGGCCTGGTCAGCCCCACTCAGAAGCAAGACCTCATCTAGGCCAATCCACAGAAGAACCAAGGAGAGGAGAATACCTGCCCCTAAGATCCTGCCAGCCACCAGCCTTCCCGTAAGTACTCAATCACTGCTTCATTCATTTATTCAAGACCTATTCATAGAGGACCCACCTCTGATGGTAGGAACTGTGCTGAGTTAGAATGCAGTGGTGGAAAAGACCAACACCACTCCTGGCCTCAGAGGGCTGGGAGCACAGAGGGACACAGACAAGTCAACAAGCAATTACAGTGCCAGGTGCCAGGGGCTCTGCTGAGGCCAGCATGGGTGCCATGGAAGCATGGGAGAGGAACATCTGACCCTCACTAGGGAGAAAGGAGGCCTCCTGGAGGAAGAGGCCGTTAGATTGAGACCTAAATTATAAGCAGAAAACAGTCAGTTGAGTTAAACAAGGCAGAAGGAACAGCATGCACAAAACCCTGGCTTGAGGATAGGCGCATGAAGAGGCCTTTGGGAAACTGAAAATCCATCAAGGACTGGATCCTAGACACAGAGGGAGGAGCGGTGAGAGGCAAGACTGGAGAAGAACACAGGGGCCAGATCAAGAAGGGCCTTAAACGTCATGGTAACTAGTGCAGACTTCACCTCCCTGGAGCCAAGAGGAGTGACTTAATGTATGTGAACAAGGGAAGTGACGTGATCACATGGGAAAGGGACAAGGTTGGAAGCAAGGAGACCAGCGGAAGGCATGGGACTCCTTCCAGGTGACCAAACTTGGCAGCCTCAACAAGGCTAGGAGCAGCCAACATGACAGCAGGTGAGCTGACTCCAGAGACGATCAGGAGGTGGGATGGGTGGGCAGGGAGGGACTGGGGGCGTTTCTGGGAGAGTGAAGGGTTGAGAAAAATGCTCACGTTTCTGGGTTTAGGAGCTGGGTGGGCAGTTCCATCTTCTGGAATAGGAAACACAAAATAACAATTGGGTTTGGAGTCAGAGGCCAATGAGTTCAAACTTGGACATGCTGAGTTTGAGATGTCTTTGGGACATCCAAGTGACAGAGTCCTAGAGATGTGGGTCCTGACTTTGAGAGAGACCTGGGGGTCTTTGGCACATGGATGATTATGGAAATAATGGAGAGAATGGAGTGGGGGTGGCCTGAACTAGAAGAGAAAATGAATTGGAGAGCACCCTACAAAACAGCAGTGTTCAAAAGACAGGCAATGACAACAGTCCCACAAATAAAAGAAAAAACAGTCATAGAAAATGAGAAGAGAAGAGCTTCAGAAGAGAAGGAAAGAAACAATTTTCTTTCCTGAGAAAGAGGACCACCTCACCCCTATCAGCAGGGCTATGACCAACAAGGCCCAAATGTTCACCACCTGATGGATGGGTAAACAAAATATGGTGGATCCATACAATAGAATGGAATTCAGCCTTAGAAAGGAACGAATCCCTGATACACACTACAACATGGATGAACCTTGAAAATATGCTAAGAGAAACCACATGCAAAAGGCCACACGTTGTCTGAGTCTATTTACATAAAATGTCCAGAATAGGCAGGTCCTATAGAGACAGCAATTATTATTCTTCATAATATCTTCCTCACCCACCCAAGGCCATTTCTCAAGTAATTCTCCCTATTTTGTCCTACATCATCAATTTTCCCTCTGCAATGGCTACTCCCATCATCACGTACATGATGTCACTTCTTAGAAAAACTCTCTTCGCTCTGTTTCCCCCTCCAGTTACCTCTACATTTCTCTCCTTCCTTTAGAGCAAAACTCATTTAAAGAGCAGTTTGTATCTCCCATCTCTCTTCTATTCTTTTCTGCCCACGACCTCCATATTACTAAATCCAATGGTCCCATCTCAGTCTTCATCTTCCTTTTCTGGTCAGCATCTCAGTCTTCATCTCCCTTGTCTGGTCAGCATCTCAGTCTTCATCTTCCTTGTCTGGTCAGCAGCGTTTGACACAGATGGCCCACCCTGTCTCTCATCACCCAGCATCCTGCACTCACCTGGACTTTCTCCAGCCCTCTCTGCTCCTTCTCACCTCCCTGCCCTCTAAGCATTCCAGGACCCTGTCATCGGAACTCCCTTTGTTCTGCCCACACTGACTCCCAGCGTGAATTCATAATCACCAACGCCACCACAATGATCTAAATCCCCACTGTCCCTTGCCTGGATCATTGCAGCAGCCTCCTAACTCATGGCTATCAACATGGCACCCAAACACTCTTGCTCAAGGTCCATGTCACTCCCTGAACAACAGGCCAGTGTCCTTTGCACCGTCGGTTCTCCCTCTCAGGATGCTTTTGCCCAAGATATCTAAATAGGCAGCTCCCTCACTTCTTTGAGTCTGGACTCAAAAGTCACCTCCTCAGTGAAGACCACCTGGTCATCCTAAAATCAAACAGCCCCCAGCATGACATTTCATATCCCCCACATACTCTATATTGTATAGATTTTGTTTATTATCTGTCTCACCACCTGAAATGCAGGCTCCCTGAGGGCAGAGATGTTTTTCCTTTTTGTACAACTGCTTCAAATAGTACCTGGTACATAACCAGTGCTCAAGAAGTATTTAGTGAAAAAACCGTTGGGCTTAGTACACATACACATATTATTTGGTTTTGTGTTGCTGCTGTGGCATAATCAGCCACAGGAAAGCAAACACTTCCAAATACACAAGCATTCAGATTAAATTGGATGAATGGATGGATGGATGGATGGATGGATGGAAAGTTTAGGATGTTGTGATGAGCAGAATACATGCATAATTACATTTAACCCCTATTTCTTAGATACAGCCATACCCATTAACTGAGCATCAGAGAAGTTAATTTGTCCGAATTACAGAGCCCATGATATTTCCACAAAGCTATGGCACCAGCATGGCAATGTGTTGGGAAAATTAAGGATAACACACAGTGTTTGGGAGGTGTGGGAAACATCCAGTCTCACAATGGGCACAGATTTAACTTGGTATAATCTCTCAGGAGAGCAGTTTAGTAGGACATATAAAAAGGTTCTCTAAATCTCAAGCAAAAGAAGGCTGGTTTTAAAAACATATGTTATACATCTCTTAATGCAACATTCTAAATCCACTAAAAAGTATTACAGGAATATATTGCTTGACATGTAGAGATTTCATGATACATCATTAAATAGAAAGGAGTTTTGAAAAAAATGTAGATTATGCTCCCATTTTGTTTAAATAAATACATTTATAAAGCTAGGAGTATATACATGTATGTAGGTATATGTGTACATGTCAAAAGCATATGGAAAAACAGTGGTTAATCTCTGAATGATAGGATTATGAATATGTTTTTCTTTTAAATTACATATATTTTCTCATTTTTCTACAATGAGCATGAATTATAGGGTACTTTTTTAAAAATGGAAGCAGAAGCTTCCAAATGTGTTCCTGACAGGTCAACAGCAAACGGCAAACAGTGGTCTCGCCATTGGCAAGATCACTAAGAAGTATAGTGGAAGTGAGTATTGGTTCAGCCAGCCCAAAGTACTGCAGCCTAAGCTTGAGTCACCTGGACAAAGTTAAATTTTATTCTCCAGGCTTTTCAGTAAGGCAGGAAATCATGTAAAACACTTTGTTAAAATGTATATTAAGAAATTAATTTTAAAACATCCTTTGAGTTAGATTCATTGGTAGGCTTCAGTGATCTAAAAAATTCAACTCAGCAAATCACATCCTTCTCTTCCATGACAAAAATGTGGTCTAAATGAATGGTACACTTGTTGTTTAGTCCAGGATAGGCCCACTGAAAGAGCAGAATTGAAACAGATCCTTCATGGGGGGAAAAAACATTGAATTGGGATTCATCTGTTCCTAGCAAATCTGCCTAAATCTCTACAACTTGAGATTACAAACCAGAAATCTCAATGTTGTACTATAATAGAAGTCCTTCCATTGAATTAAGACCAAGGACACTTTTCTCATTAAACCAACATGGCACAGTCATTGAAAGCCAAGACCCCAAGAGCATTTGTTCCTAATCTAATTGTCCTTGTCCCTCCATTTAATGAAGTGCAACTTCAAATTCATTATATTGAAGTATTTTAAAAATCATTTCTATTACAATATTAAATGTATATTATGGTATTCTAATTAATTTTAAGTAAATTTCTACATAAATCAAAATCTCTTGGGAAGCTTCTTCAATTTTCCCATTAATATATTTTGATCAAAACAGAAATTCTGTGAAAGAATAATTTACAGAAGCTAGGTCTTTCTGCTCTGTATTACTGTATCATAAACTAAGGCTAAATGACTTAGTAAAACATTTAGACATTGAATTTTTGGACTTGGCAAAAGCTTATGCCACATTTAATTTGTAAAACAGTTTACACTGGTATTCAAATTGTAGGCAATCATGGATCTCAAATTTGGATAGGATCAGCTACAATTTAAAGGCATTATGAATAATAATAGCACTAACTACTTATTGAGCTCTTGCTGTATGTCAAAAGCACAGGCAAAGTGATTTACAAAGATCATCTCACTTAATCTTGCTCACATTCTGACAGATACCATTTTAGATCAATCCCTACAGATCTAATCCTGGGATGACATAACATGAATCATTTAGCCATTTCTGTACTAGTGGACATTCAGGTTGTCCCCAACATTTCGTAATTTAAAAACAAAATGCTACTGTAAACATCCTTAAACCCCAGTGTGTGATCAGACCAAGGCCTATCAAGCTGGAACCAGTGCAGGAAGGGCTGCACATGGCCTTAACTTCCAACAAGGTCTCCAGGAGCTTTTAGGGCCGAGACATGCAGCTCCCCTGACCCTGGGCACCCGGGATGCAGCTGTTCTCAACTCACCCTAGAAAGAGGTGGAGCAGCAGAGGGGGGAAGGCCCTCATTCTGGTGCTCTTCCTATGGAAGCTCCCCCAGCCCCTCGCATGGATCATGGAGAACCCTGTGCCCCATCCTGCTGGCTCCCCGCGTTTTCCCTGGGAGAGCTGCTTTGCACCTTCACTCAAGACACTGGGAGGTGCCTTCCGCTGCCACTGCACACCAGGGTTCTCCTTCTGTGATGTAAGGGCTTGAACATCTATCAGAAAAAATTCCTACGATGACGTCTTTGAATTAAATGGAAGAAATTCATTTAATACTAGCAAGTTGTACAAAAGCAGTCATGGGTCTTTTCCTGGGAAAAGAGTGGGAGAAATCCTGGAGTCATTCCTAGAATGCTTGATTTTAGTCCAAGCTCTACTGCAAACGAGCCACCCAACAGCAGATGGTGCTTAACCTTTCTTGAACTCTTTATTCATCTTTTAAATGGCATGTATTAAGGCCTGCTCTGCCTCACTCACATGGTTGCTATTTTTCCATTTTTGCAGATGAGACTATAGGTGTGAAAACATGCTGAGAACATAAGCCACACAACATTCCGTGTTAAAAGAGAGGAAACTTCTGGACATTGAACACGATGATGAAGCATTCAAGGACTGACACGACTCTCCAATGCACATTGTGGTGTGCAGGCATCTCAGCCCTGGCTATGTGAATATGGTCACATAGAAAATCGGCAGCATGGGGGCCTCACAAAGAAACCCATGAAGTCCTGGCACTTGGCATCTCACCAAAGCATTTCTATTTCTGGAACATAATAAGCAAGGAAAACAAGCAAAGACAAGTCTTTTTTGTTGAGACAGGATTTCACTCTGTTGCTCAGGCTGGAGTGCAGTTGTGCAATCATAGCTCACTGCATCCTCAAACACCTGGGCTCAAGTGATCCTCCCGCCTCAGCTTCCCACGTGCCACCATGCCTGGATAATTTTTTTTTTTTTTTTTTGTAGAGATAGGGTCTTGCTGGTCTAGAATTCCTGGGCTCAAGTAATTCTCCCACCTTGGCCTCCCAAAGTGCTGGGATTACAGGTGTGAGCCATGGCACCTGGCCAACAAGTCTTTTAGTTCGTTAGGTATTATACTGTCTCTGGGATCATAGGTGCATCCCCATAAGCCACAAGGCAGGCAAACTGTGGTTTAGTAAGTAGTAGTGATGCCACTGGGAGTGACGGGCAGCCTTCGGTCCTGTGACTGATTAGCTCTGTGTTCTCGTGTGGGGCAGCAGGACACAGCTCTGAATCTCAGCTACTCTTACGGTCCCCTCCAGGCACAGCAGAGTTCTTGGAGTAAATCATGTGTGTCGGCCAAAGCTCTTGGTGGTGGTTCCAACTCATTCAGGGTTGGCTCCACCATTGACATGTGTCCAGGCAAATGCTTGTCCCACCAAGACAAGCATTTACACAACAAACAATAATAATGGCAAACCCTTTCTAGGGGTGACTACTTCCACAAAAGGAAATGGGGGCAGGATCATGAGCATCAGGCACTTCCAGGCCACGCACGCTGACATGATACTGCTCCATCCCCACGACCCCAGAGGGTGGTGTTGGGCATCTCACACGCTGTCAGAAGCAATGTAAGTTTTCAGAAATATTATGGAATCCAATCCAGAAGTAAATAGTAAAGAGGTTAAAATAATGCGTGTTAATTCTACTTCTCTATAAGCAATCATTAATGTGAACAAACTTGTCTCCACAAAGGGTCCATTACATTACATCACTGTTTAAAATAGCAAAAAGGCAAAGATCTGCTCAAAGAGGATGAGCTACATAATTATGATAAACTCACATGGTGGAATAGTTTTCAGGCATTAAAAATCACATCCTCCTAGAGCAGGCACTAGGTTGCTGGGCACTCACTCTATGAGGCTATAGTTGCCCAAAAGAGTTTAAAAATTTTTATTTTTGCTGAGGATAATGGCTTCCAACTCCATCCATGTCCCTGCAAAGAATATGGTCTTATTCTTTTTTTATGGCTGCATAGTATTCCATGGTGTAAATGTACCACTTTTTTTTTAATCCAGTCTGTCATTGATGGGCATTTAGGTTGGTTCCATGTCTTTTCTATTGTGTATAGTGCTGCAGTGAACATACATGTGCATGTATCTTTATGACAGGATGATTTATATTCCCTTGGGTATATACCCAGTAACGGCATTGCTGGGCCAAATGCTATTTCTGCCTCTAGTGTCTTTGAGCAGTCACCATGCTGTCTTCCACAATGGTTGAACTAATTTACCCTCCCACCAACAGTGTAAAAGTGTTCTCTTTCTCCACAACCTTGCCAGCATCTGTTGTTTTTTGACTTTTTAATAATAGCAGAATGGCTATTTTGAAAAAGTCAAAAAACAGAAGTTGCTGGTGAGACTGTGGAGAAAAGGGAATGCTTATACACTGTTGGTGGGAATGTAATTAGTTCAGCTACTATGCAGGGCCGTTGGAGGTTTCTCAAAGAACTTAGAACTACCATTCAAGAAAGAAAATAATCATTCTACCAAAAAGACACATGCACTCATACATTCATTGCAGCACTATTCGGTATAGCAAAGTCATTGAATCAACCTTGTGCCCATTAGTGGTGGACTGGATAAAGAAAATGTGGTACATATACACCGTGGAATACTATGCAGCCATAAAAAAGAACATGGATGCAGCTGCAGCCATTATCCTAAGTGAATTAACGCAGGAACAGAAAACCAAACACTCCATGTTCTCACCTGTAAGTGGGAACTAAACAGTAGGTACTCATGGGTGTAAAGATGATGACAGTAGTCACTGGATACTACTATTAATAGATGGCGGACGGAGGGAATGGGGCAAGGGTTGAAAAACTAACTATTGGATACTATGCTCACTGCCTGGGTGACCGAATAAATTATACCCCAAACCTCAGCATCTCACAATGTACTCATGCAGGGACATGGATGGAGTTGGAAGCCATTATCCTCAGCAAACTAATGCAGGAACAGAAAACCAAACACCACATGTCCTCGCTTGTAAGTGGGAGCTGAATGATAAGAACACATGGGCACAGGGAGGGGAACAACACACACTGGCGCCTGTCAGAGAGGAGGAATGAGGGGAGGGAGAGTATCAGGAAGAGTAGCTAAAGGATGCTGGGATTAATACCTAGGAGATAGGATGATCTGTGCCACAAACCACCATGGCACATGTTTACCTGTGGAACAAACCTGCACATCCTGCACATGTACTCCTGAACTTAAAAGTTGAAGAAAAAAATATAAAATAATTTTTAAATAGCCATTCTGACTGGTGTGAGATGGTATCTCACCGTAGTTTTGATTTTCTGCACAGTATTTTTGACACCTCTGTCAATGAGAACTACTTTTATAATCACATTTTTGAAATGAACAAAGTGGAAATTCAAAAATAAAAATTTTTTAAACTCTTTTGGGTAACTATAGCCTCATAGAGTGAGTGCCCAGCAACCTAATGCCTGCCCTAGGAGGACAAGGCCAGCGCGGGTGTAGACATCCTGGTGTGCCTGCTCAGTGTTTCACGTCTGTAGACCAAGGCTTCCTCTACTAGAAAACAAGAAGTTTTGACAAGATAGTCTGAAATTTCCTCCCTGTCCTAAAATATTGCCTTTTAAATCATATCTTATTTAAATCACTGAAATATGCAAAGGATGAACCGAGACTCAAACTCTAACAAATATTCTCAAGGGTGATTTCCAAAATTGTTGCTTAATCCTGCTCCCAGCCCCACAGGTAGAGGGGAAACAGGTATAGAGGTGTCAGGATGATCACAAATCATTTCCACACTCTTTATTAAGGTAGCCCTGAAATTCAGTGACTGCCAGAATTGCTTTCTAGTTGGAAACTTGCCCTCTCGTCCTTGGCAAGTTACAATTTAAGGTGAGTAAAGTAATAAATTTGACTTATTTTAACTGCCCTCAAGGGCAGACTCCAAGAAGGCAGCGGAACGCTTCTGGAAGCTGGTGCCTGTGAACAATGCTGGGGCTGCTGGCGTGTCCTGCATGGAGCTCTGGGTGATGCTCCAAAGACACAGAGAAGAGCCGCTTCTGTAAGATGTGGAGGGGAAGCCCTTAACTAGTGCTGGCACATTATACAGATTTTACCATTTAGTCCTTACAACGAGCTTCTGAGGTATCTATTATCATCTCCATTTTACAGGTGAGGAAATTTAAGAACAGCAACATTGCAACTTAGAGAAGTAGATACCCTCAAAATAACTCACCTGTGTAATAATCCACAAAATAAGTCCGTTTTTAAGTCAAAATTATGTTAAATTCTAAATATCAACAGGCTACCTGGCTTAAAACTGTGGTTTTTATTGCTTATAAAAAAGGCATGTCTCTTTAAACAAATTAAATGGTTATTTTTACTAAGAATCAAATGATAAGAACGGTGTGATGGAATGTTCTGTCCTGTAGACCTAATAAATGTCTATCACGTACAAAAATGTTGAGCACTTGGGACAAATCTTTAAATTTAGCATTATAATTAGCTTCAGCATTGCATAACTCTAAATAACTTTTCCTGAGACCTGTCTTTCCAAACCCCCCCAAAACAAAAGGAAAATGAACACTTGAATTAATTGCACGGTGTGCCTCAGAGATGACTATCTCCCTCTGCACATCTTAGCCTCTCTTCACTGCCTTCCGCCACTTGGTTACTTCAGTGCTTTGACAAGTATGACAAGCTTGCACAGTGTGTTCTGGCTTCAAGAGCAACACATCTCTGCAGGCATTTACTGCTTCTGTGAAACTTCAATTATTCCGTGCCGACATTTAAATTTTTACCAAGTTGGCCAATTTATTCCATTATTAGTTGTTAGAAGCAAACACTTACTTCCTTCAACTTCCTTATCTTTGCAGGTTTTCGGGGAACTATATGAATATAACTGCAAAAGAAGAAAGAAGAAAACATCATTAGAAGGAAGATATTTACATAGAAAGTTCCAGACTCCTTAGAAACGAGTCCTTTTCCGGCTTAATAGATACAACCCCACAGCAATTTGGAACTAGGATCTAAAATTTTCTCGGTGTTAGAATCCACATCAGAATACAATAGCAATGCTGCTGTAGGACAGTTTTCACACTGGGTACCACTGGCACTGCCCCTTGAAAGTGTCTCTTAAGTGACATTGCTTTCCCTCACGTAATTTTATTAAAGAGAAACCTGAGAAATCATCTAATTCAACAGCATTCTTTAACCAGGTCGCTGAAGGCCCAGAACTGCGAGCTCATCAATGTTCCCATGACAGGCTAAGGTCGGAACAAAAACCCAGACTCTCCTCCAGCTCCTCTGCACCCCCACCGCTCCCTCCTGCTCACAGAAATTCAGCACTGTTCTCCTTTTGCCAAAACTGCAAACTGGAAAAGAGTCACCAGCATAAAATGTGTCTGAGCCCTACTAACACAATTTTTTTTACTGTTGGGGACTTTTGAGACTTCCATATTCCTCAAAAATAAAATGTTTTCATGGGTAATAAATAATACCTTCAAATTTATATCTGATACTAAGGTTTCTTCCTGATTAAAAAAATATGTATTTGAGATTGTTATTGTTTTTGATAGTTTCAGCAATATTCAGAGAAGGGTCAACTTAGACTGGTAAATAGAAGGGGAAGAAATAACTAAGTGTTCAATAAAGAGTCACGGATGCAGATCCCCACAGAAACTGGTCAAGTAAATGATGGCACTCGCCAAGGGTGGTCTCAGGGACTGGTGGGGGCTGTGGCTGGTGGGACCATCCTTTCCCTTCTGAGGCGGACAGGGCCTCACAGGTCCAGATAGCGGAGATGCACGCAGCTACAACCAAGTCCTCTGAACAATCAAATCCTCTATTTTTTCCAAGGGAGACCAAAAGTTCATATTATTACATGAGTTCTCCCAATTATAAAATGTTGCAGCCAACTCAAATCTTTGAAAATTGTATGAACTGAACAAAACATGGCTGCTGGCTGAGTTCAGCCTGAGCCTCTCCACTTGCTTAGAGGCCCTTGTATGCACTCTTCACTAGCTTAGTCTAGTCTTCCTGTTTTCCAAATAAATATTTTAAATTTGTTCTAAATTCCCAAATTCCATATTTGTTTATGAACATTAATCTCCCAAATGAGACATCTGATTTTCATTACATGGAACCAAAAAATAAAATTTAACACAGAAAAAAAGCATAAAAAGATCCTACAAAAACACAAAATACTATTTATTATTTCAATGTTGCACTCCCAAGAACTTATAAAAACAGAAAGAAAGGACAAATAGTTCCTCAGACAGCCCATGACCTGAGGTCTTTAACTCAGGCACATAGAGAAGCCTGCTGGGTGGGCTTGGCTTGCTCTGAGGTGGGCGGGGAGTAGGTCTGTGAAGCAGTGATGGGACCATGAGGTGCAAGCTCCCTCCCGGCTACTTCCAGAGAACAAAGGAAGGGAAGAAACCACCCATGAGAATCCGTGCCAGGCACCTTACCCTACTGCATTCATTCCATTCTCCCAACCGTACCGCAGAGTGGATGTGAAGCCAGCCTGCTTTATGGATGAGGAAACCAAGTCTTGGAGAGGTTATTTCACTTGCTGAACGTTACTCAGGTAGACAAAGCCAGGATTAAATTCCACCAGTCTCTGGCTCTGAGGCCAACATTCCTGTCATCTATCACAACTTCCTCTCCACCCACTTTTCCTCTTTCTCCTGTCATCTGCGGCTAGTTCCCAGGTACAAATGGGTGGCCAGGGAGATGAGAGGAAAAGGCTGGGTTGAGGAAGAACGAGGAGACTTTGATTCAAATAGCATGTTCACATTCATGTCTCAGCAACAAGCTCTAAAGTAAACAGGGTAATATTCCTAAGCATTCAAATTCTTTGGGGTCCCTCCCCTAAACACATACACACACACACGCACACACATGCGTGCACACATACACAACACCCTGATTTAGATTTTGTTGTAAATGTGGCTTTCTCCACAAAAGAAATATTAATTCTAGGCTTTATATGACACGTCATTGTTTTGAAAAGTAATTATTATCTTATAATATTTTGTTTTATAAAGAAAAAAATTATGTCCTTTGGGTCTCAAATTATTTTCTTCCAGAAAATGCAGGAAATGTCTGAGTAATGGCTGGATATTGGATAGATTTGTTGGTGTTTGTCTTTTTAATGCACCATCTTGAAACCACTATTATGAGGGGAGCTCCCGGATCACTAATATATCAACAGGCTTCACTTCAAAGTTCATTTGCTGGTGACACAATTAGAATATTATTTTCCAGTGAAAATTAATTGAACTGCTCAATGGCTTAGCAATTACAGAATATAAATTTCCAAGAGCTAGTTTACTTTACTAATACCAGTGAAAATCCAGCCACATTTTTCAGAGCTTTGTTCACCAAAGTCTGAATTCCAATTTCAGACTCACTGACCTAAAAAAAACTGAAGAAAAGGAACCCCACGTGCTCTCTATGTTGAACTTCACATGCAGACATGGCTCATCTATTTTACAGCAGTGAAGATGCATGGATAATAGATAATGCAAAATAACCCAGGCTGTCTGCCACACGGACCCCAACTCCCCTCCCTCTGCAGTGGGTGACATTTCTTTCCTCCCAAAAAGTAAAATAAACAGTAAGAGCACTGGGAAGAAAAACATCTCAATTTTTTCTCAATATTTTTGCTACATGTCCAAAACATTTTAAATAAACCATGAGACTCGAGACTCTCTCTACAAAACTGGAGGTACAACACGGTCTGGTTAGAAAATATCCAGCCCCACAGCAAGGGGAAAGAGTAACATCTCCCAGGCACACTCCAGGCTTCGTGGCAGGTGCTTGATACGTTTCCTTCCTCATTTGCTAACATGTAAAACACAGGCCAATTTTACAAGAAAATGTCTTGGGATAAAATTAAATACTTTTCATTATATATGTATCGAAAGGGACTTTAAAGGCAGTTTTTGTAGAGATATATTCTTTAATTGTAAATCAGCACTGAACACTGGATCCTGGGTAGGATGTCAGTTCTAGATATTCACACCATCTGACTAGCTTGGAAAAAATAATCACAAATCACATGGCTATAAAGGAATATAATTTTGTCCATGAATTCTAATACATAACAGGATTATCATAGTAATAAATTTCAATCTGAAATATGCTAATCCAGATTCTACCTCTTAGCAACTGTGATGCCTGTGACTTACGACTTTTCTTCAGAAACAACTGAATGGTAAATTCACATCTTTGCAAATGCCACTAAGAATTTGGAACCATACACCAGCCCTCATACTAAATCCTACTACTTTTTCAAAAAACAACAAACAAAACTCAAGCTGCTGATTTAATTCAGAGCATTTTTGAACGGAGAGCATTTGAAAGAAGAAAATGGAAATTCTCTCTGGGGAATCTCACTTTTATCTCAGCCCTGAAGAATGTCCCCACACAAAGCTATACAAAAGGAGTAGTTCACAGTCAAAAAATAAGTAAACCTACAAGGAAACAGAGAATCAGGAGAGAAAAGCAGCTGAGATCACAGAAAGCAGACACAGGCTGCAATAATGGGATTACAGACACAAACCGTGGGAGGGCAATAGTTTAATTAAAGGCAAGCTTGAAAATGCACGCAGGACCAAGTGATGGACACAGAGTGAGAGGGGTCACCCTGAGCGATTTCAAATGGGAACTGCCCAACCCGCCCCATTCCCAGGCCCTGCCCCCCACGCCCCTCCCCCCCACGCCCCTCCCCCCTCCCCCTCCCCTACACTCCTCCCCACGCCCCCCACGCCCCTCTCCACACCCCTCCCCCATGCCCCTCTCCACACCCCTCCCCCACGCCCCTCTCCACACCCCTCCCCCACGCCCCCCACGCCCCTCTCCACACCCCTCCCCCATGCCCTCCTCCACACCCGTTTCTGCCCCATGCCCCTCCCCCACGCCCCTCCCCCCTCCCCCTCCCCTACACTCCTCCCCACGCCCCCCACGCCCCTCTCCACACCCCTCCCCCATGCCCCTCTCCACACCCCTCCCCCACGCCCCTCTCCACACCCCTCCCCCACGCCCCCCACGCCCCTCTCCACACCCCTCCCCCACGCCCTCCTCCACACCCCTGTTTCTGCCCCACGCCCCTCCCCCACGCCCTCCTGGCCGTCTCTGGGGCGGTCCTGAATCGCTGCCGGCCAGGGCCCGCCCTGCCCCATAGGAAGGGACCCTGGGGGCGGGGCTGCCTCGGCTTCGCCCCCAGGAAACCACGTGGCCTGGGGCGGCCCGACGCCGGCTGCGCTGGATCCACGCCGAAAGATGGGCGCCCGAGCCGGGAGGGAAGCCTGGGGAGGACACCTGGGGGGCACGGCCCTGACCACGCTCAGACCCAAGAGGGCGGGGAGGGGCGCAGGGCGCGTGGGGGGCGCGGGCGCACTTACTCGAGCTCCTTGAAGCGCTCGCGGCCCGCCGCCACGTACTTGCCGCCCGCCTGCAGCGCGTCCAGCCCCAGCACCCGGTGC
This sequence comes from Homo sapiens, assembly GCF_000001405.40. Classification (NCBI taxonomy): domain Eukaryota; kingdom Metazoa; phylum Chordata; class Mammalia; order Primates; family Hominidae; genus Homo; species Homo sapiens. Next base: position 3,703,957 of record NC_000002.12, on the reverse strand, counting down.
CCACGCGTGGGCGTGAAGAGGCGGCGCACGCCGAACGGGACGTCCACCTGCTCCGTGAGCTGCTCCAGCAGCGCCTCGAAGGTGGCCGCGCGGCGCCGCGACAGCACGAACTTCTTGCCCACGTAGAACGGGTCCCCGTTGCGGTACACCACGATGGTCTTGGCGGGCGTGGTGTCCACCGGCGCGGAGGGCCCGCGGGTTCCCATAGCCGCGCCCCGCTCCTCGCTCGCCGGGGCCGAGAGGCTGCGGCAGCGCGGGCAGCGACGCCTGCAGAGCCGCGCCCAGGCCCGGGCACCGCCGACGGGAGGTCCGCTCCAGCCGCTGGCGCAGGACGGGGACGGGACGGGGACGGGACGGGGGCTGGACGGGGACGGGACGGGGCTGCCAGGCGGGCGGAGGCTGCGTGTTGACGCGACCCTGGGCGATTGTGACCGCCTGGCCGCCAGGGCGAGGGGCTCGGGGCCGGGGCAGGAGACGGGGCGACGGGGAACCCGGGCAGGTGAGCAGGCGGCACGGGGCAGGGACAGGTGATTGGGTAATGGGGAGCCCAAGCAGGTGAGGCGCGGCACAGGGCGGAGACAGGTGAGGGGGCAACGGGGAGCCCGGGCAGGTGAGGGGCGTGGCGGCAGAGCTCAGGAAAAGAGGAGGAGGAGGCGGCTAGCATGATTGTGCTGAGCGCCCCGGGACGCCCACCGTGCCTCCTCCCCCTACACTCGCCGCCTTCCTCTGTAGAAGCGGTAGAGAGGAGGGTTAGGGAGGGACCAGGACCATCTTGACAATCAACATTGGATGGGTGCTGGGATCTGCTTCACATTTTTTGAGCCTCTGTTTCTTTGATCTTAGGTTGAATTTGACCGGTTCAGCCCCAGTGTCTTCCAGGACTCCTGGCCCAGAGTGGGGAATTTGAGCTTTTCCACCAGAGGAGGAGGTGTGCAGAGCCACTGGGAGGCCGTGAGGAACCGCGCTATAGCCGCTGGTGTGCGGTGTCAGGCGCGTGCCATTCAGAACGCATCCTCATTGGGGAATGATTCAAAGGGAGAGGGGGTCTTTGGAAGAATCGTTCCTACTCTGGGTAAAGATAGGCCAGTCCCCTTGAGTGATTCTAGACAGTCAGTAGGCTACATGTTACGGCTGGAAGTCCACACCGAAGGTACAGATATTGATATTATGAGTATTAATATCTTATAATGTTCAAAAAAAGTAGTTCCGTAGAGACCACCAGTCACAGCCATAGCCAGTATGTAAGCTACTAAATGCCTCATAGCAACATTAAATACAGAGATCAATTTGTGAGACGACCACTTTATTAAATCACCAGGTGTTCAAAACATTTGAAAAGAAGACTATGACTGGGAAATTACTGCTGTGTGTCCGACACCGGGGCTTTGTGTGTGTTAAGGGTTTGCTTTGAAGCTCACCGAGAACTTCAACATGGGCTTCTCCCGGGGCCTCAGGAGGCAGATGGAGCTGGGGAAGCCCCGGAGCCGAAGGCGGCTCACTCCCCCGTCGGGGACGATGGTGAGCCTGGCGTGAGTGATGACATCTTGGAGCTCTAGGGTCAGGCTATCGAACAGATGACTTTGGTTGGGAGACAACTGAAAAGCAAGCAGATGCAGAGGTCCTAGTCTGTTAACAGGACATGTGTGGCCGAATGAGCCCACGGCCCGGGCAAACCTTTGGCTTAGACTTAACCGAAGGGGCTTTAAAATAAGTTATTAATTGATGATAATTGGGCTTTCCATGAAAATCTGCTAGTAGGGATAGGATGCCCAAATAATACATGAATAAGCAGGCCCCAATAAACAATTGATGGGCAACCTAAATGCCCATCAGTTGTTTCTAATAGTTGATTATACATAAGCAAATTGATAAGAAAATGAAGGAAGAGACCATCTTGGTCTCTCCCGGAGATTATTTCCTATCTTTACATGGGAGCAGCTCTCACCTCTAGCCTGACCCTCTTTCTAAATCAAAGAAGACACTTGTGGAATATCTCAGAGCATCCATCCTGCAGGTGGACACGCCATTAGAGCTTTAAATGTGCTAGTCGCCCCTTCTACAAAGTTAAACATGATGCAGAGACATGTTTCCACGTATGTATTCTGAACATTTAACAATTTTGTTCTAATAAAATTTGGAAATACAAAAGTGGAGAGAAATAGAGCCTTTCTTCTTAAAGTTTGCAGATAGGGGTTTTAAACCTCATTCGTTTTACCATTAAACTGAGCAGAAACTTTGGAGCGTATCCTAATCCTTCAAAAGAGAATCTTAGGGAAATAGCACAGTCTGAGTGCTGGATCCGAATAACATGCCACACGAACCTTGGTCACTGGAAGCAGTGGTTTCCACTTGTGGGCCGGGAGAATCCACTTTTGCCTGATCACGGCTTCTTCTTCCTGAGTTGTCAGGATGCACCCATCCACTTTACAGCTGTCAGGAGCATTGCCTGTTGGAGCAAAACACAGCGTGATTTTCTGCCCGCATTTGCACTCAGTTTGGCGTATAGGATATCATGCTTTTTTAATAAGATCAAAAACCCAGCAAAAAACAAGTCCCTGCTCTTCCTGAGCAAAAGCAAAGGTATGAAGTATGTGAGGGAAGGAACAAACCGGTTTGTGAGGCTCAGATTGTCTCATGAAATAGACATTTCTTTTTCAGAGGACTCAGAAGCAGTCCGCCATATGTGAAGGGGCTGGCGCATTTCAATTTGCATGTATAGCGTTCTCACTTTGAAATCTGAATGTATTTGATAAGCTTCCTCAATTGCAGATTTAATTACTTGCAGACTGCTATGTGGCTCATCTGAAATTATTATGAAGCTGGAAAATATTTTCCTATGACATATTTTTTAACATGACAATCAAAAGGAAATACTGAGTTTTATGTTAGCTAGCGCTGGGCACCAGCCACACACGTGTATTTGGGGATTTCTGAGTCATCTTCAGGTGAGAGTATATGGTCCTGAGATTCTTCTCTCTTTGGAATATCATAGGAATCGTGGGCTCAGTGGGGTTAGAGGACCTTGAGGGAAAGGTCCCACTCTCTTTGAGAAGAGAGAACTTCTACTGGAGCTCTTTAGGATCAACAGAGGAGGAGCTGCTAATCAAGAACCCTGGAAAAGAGGAGACTGTGGCTCACATGCCCCCTTTGTGGCCCATCTCTTAAAACGGTAGTCTCCAGGGTGGGCGAACATGCCCCTGGGGTGCATACGGACACAAAGGATGCAAGTAGAGAACATTAGAGCTGCTATTTCTATTTGTCTGATATACATACATATGTATGTGTATATTAAGCTTTGTGTATTTGATATAACCTACTATATTATTGCTATAAGTGGATACTGCCATGCTCCCTCATTTCCATTACAGTCATCATATTGTATGTACCAGAGGTATCCTGAGTGTTTGACAGTGGTAGATTCATGACCTGTTGCAGTTTTGGGTGTCTGCTTAAGTGGATTTACTGTTTGTTATCTAGTTTTAACTAAAGCATCCCTCACAAAAATAAGTAAGTTATTTTAAACCATTCATGCAGAGAACTGTGGATTAAAGATACCATAAAAAATGCAAGTATGTATGAACAAGAAAATCCAGAACTGCCATTTCACCTGACCCTCAGTCAGCCACATTGAAAAGTAAAAACCATGGCCACATAACCAGATCTAAAATGCAGTCTTAAAAAAACAAGCAATGGGGAAATGAATCCCAATTCAATAAATGGTGCTGGGATAATGGGCTAGCCATATGCAGAAGATTGAAACAGGACCCCTTCCTTACACCATATACAAAAATCAACTCAAGATTGATTAAAGGCTTAAATGTAAAACCCAAAACTATAAACACCCTGGAAGATAACTTAGGAAATACCATTCTGGACATAGGAACTGGCAAAGATTTCATGATGAAAATGCCAAAAACAATTGCAACAAAAGCAAAAAAAATGACAAATGGGATCTAATTAAACTAAAGAGCTTCTGCACAGCAAAATAAACTATCAGCAGAGTAAACAGACAACCTACGGAATGGGAGAAAATATTTGCAACCTATGGTTCTTTCAAAGGTCTAATATCCAGAATCTATAAGGAATTTAAACAAATTTACAAGCAAAAAACAACCCCATTAAAAAGTTGGCCAAGGACATAAACAAATGCTTTTCAAAAGAAGACATACATGCAGCCAACAAGCATATGAAAAAATGGCTGACATCACTAATCATTAGAGAAATGCAAATCAAAACCACTGGGAGATACAATCTCCCAGTCAGAATGGCTGTTATGAAAAAATCAAAAAATAACAGTTGTTGACAAGGTTGTGGAGAAAAGGGAACATATATACCCTGCTGGTGGGAGTGTAAATTAGTTCAGCCATTGTGGAAAGTGTTGTGGCGATTCCTCAAAGAACTAAAAACAGAATTACCATTGGACTCGGCAATCCCATTATTTGGCATATACCCAAAGGAATATAAATCATTCTGCCATAAAGACATGCACATGTATGTTCATTGCAGCACTGTTCACAATAGCAAAGACGTGGAATCAACCTAAATGTCCATCAATTGTAGACTGGCTAAAGAAAATATGATACATATACAACATGGAATACTATGCAGCCACAAAAAGGAATGAGATAATGTCCTTTGCAGCAACATGGATGCAGCTGGAGAGCATTATTCTTGGCAAACTAACGCAGGAACAGAAAACCAAATACTATATGTTTACATAAGTGGCAGCTAAATAATGGGAACACATGGACACTGGGGCATAATTGAAGGTGGAGGGTGGGAGGAGGGAGATCAGGCAAAAATACTTATCGGGTACCATACTTGATACCTACGTGATAAAATAATCTGTACACCAAAACCCCATGACACAAGTTTACCTATATAACAAACCTGCACATTTACCCTTGAACCTAAAATAATAGTTAAAAGAAAAAACAGATAAAATGCCGTCTTTCCAAAATAAGTTAAAATTACCAAGACTTCTTGAAATAATTATAGGCACTACTGTTAATGATGAGCCTGGCCTTGAATTTGATATAATGGTTAGTAATTGAGTAAAGTCACAATAATTCCCAAGACATTTAAAAACCACTCACCCAGTGCAGCACACCAACATGGCACATGTATATATATGTAACAAACCCGCACGTTGTACACATGTACCCTAAAACTTAAAGTATAATTAAATAAATAAATAAATAAAAATAAAAACCACTCACCCAAAACATGAATACAAAATGCCACTATTTATTCAAAGATGGCTAACGTGGAATACTCAATCCAGTATTTATAAAATGTCACATAACAATTGTAGAAGTGTACCAACTTCTTTTGAATTGTCTTAATAATACACATATGTATTTCATAAGAAAGTAAATACAGAATATCAAGGTTGTTTGTCCAAATATTTTTTAAACACATAGAGGTGTACGGTTTTAAAAATGTGTAAACCACTGCCTTAAAAGTGAAGCCTGGGGAAGAAATGGTCACTCCCCTTCCCCGGTCAATCTGCTTAGGACCCTTCTCTGTAAAAAGGTGCCTCCCATCCCGGTGCTTTTCACAGGCTCTTTTTCCAAGGGGGATGCAGAGCCTCTATGGTAAAGAGCCGGACAGTGTCATGGAATCTTGTGTGACTTTGGGGGTCATCCAGCCCAAATGTGAATTTTATAGAGGAGTTACTAAAGTTCAAAGGGTTGGCTGGGCATGGTCTCACACCTGTAATCCCACCACTTTGGGAGGCCGAGACGGGCGTATCACCTGAGGTCAGGAGTTCAAGACCAGCCTGGTCAACATGGTGAAACCCCGTCTCTACTAACAATACAAAAATTAGCCAGGCATGATGGCGGGCACCTGTAATCCCAGCTACTCAGGAGGCAGAGGCAGGAAGAATCGCTTGAACCCAGGAGGCAGAGGTTGCAGTGAGCCAAGATCATGCCACTGCACTCCAACCTGGGTGACAAAGCAAGACTCCATCTCAAAAATAAATAAATAAGGGTCGGGCGCAGTGGCTCAGGCCTGTAATCCCAGCACTTTGGGAGGCTGCGACGGGTGAATCACCTGAGGTCAGGAGTTCGAGACCAGCCTGGCCAACATGGCAAAAACCCATCTCTACTAAAAATACAAAATTAGCTGGGTATTGTCTAGGATGCCTGTAATCCCAGCTACTCGGGAGGCTGAGGCAGGAGAATCGCTTGGACCCTGGAGGTGGAGGTTGCAGTGAGCTGAGATTGCGCCACTGCACTCCAGGCTGGGCGACACAGCAAGACTCCATCTCAAAAAAATAAATAAAAGATAGATAGATAGATAGATAGATAGATAGATAGATAGATAGATAGACAGACAGACAGAGTTCTAAGGGTTAAAGTAGCATGCTCAAAATTACACAGCTTAAACGGGGAATCCACACCGAAAGTCCAGTGTCCTCAGTCCCACTTCCATAGAACTCAGTCTTTAGAATAAACAAACCAATTATAGGGTACTTCTTTATGGCTTTGCATTTACCTTCAAAATATTTTGTGTCAATTTCAATTCGAGTTATTACTCCAGGATGTGCCAATCGGAAAACTGCCCATTCACAACCCGGAACCAAGAGAATGCCATTCTCATCATTCTGGAATTCAGAAGAGAAGAAAATGGTAAACGAACTTGGAGTCATTCAAGAAACCAGTCCCGAAAACCAACAGGTGAAAAAGGTTGACGTGTTTCTTTTATTTCTTACTATAGAAGAGTGTTTCCTGTGGCCTGATGTGTAAATCACTTTCATGTAAATTGCCTCTTTGCTATCATTTCTTAAATGTCTCTTGCCAATTTGTGAGTTCATTGGGTCCCAGATACGTTTTTCTAAATTTCTATGTCAATTATAGATCCCTGCAAAATGTTATACGTGCAGCAATCTTCGTCTATTCCAGTCCATAGTTCCTCTAATTAGTTTGTTTTGACCTTTTAAGGTACATATTTTGTTGGTCAAACCTATACTGATACATGATGTGCGTTCAAACCTTAGTTTTGAGAACGGAGAGTCTGTTCATTGATATCTCAAAGCATCAGGTGACATGAAATCTAACTTAGGAAGGGGAGGGCACTTTTCTGACCAAGTTTTTGGTGGGATTTGCAAATTGAAAGGCATTGTATTTTTTGTTTCACTTCATCTTGGTTTCTCTATCTCAAATTAGTTACTGGCCAAATTAAACAGCTGCATGGACTCTAGAGCGCCCTGTCCATCACAAGTTCACATAAGTGGTGTAATCCTGAGATACACAGATATCAAACATTGCTAAACTAGTGGTTCTTCCCCAGATCTCCCAACACATTTATTCATAACTTTTGTATTATTAAATCGCAGCTCCTTTTGTTTCTTTATTGAAGAAACAGAGGAATGTTCCAAAAATGCATTGGCGTAGCTGGCAATGACCAGTATGTTTGGGCTTCTGAGTCTCTGCCCTGATATTATGAAAACAGTGGGAAATTTGGAAAATATAAATCATAGTAATTAGCATTTAGAACAATGCATATGAGGTTTCTAAAATGTGCAAAAGTTTATTTAAAAGAAAAAGTTCCAAAAAATACTTTTAAGAAAAACTTTAAACCATAGTTATTTTTAACTTCTTACTTCTAATATTGGTGGCCGGTCCAGCCTTCTTGCAGTTTCCCAACCATCCGCCATAGACTTTGCCCCGCCAACTCCTACAGAAAATAACATTGTTGAATGGTAAACTGCATGATTTTAACTATGAGGATGAATACATTGCTGTAATTAAATTACAGATCTTATGCATCTGAGCATTGCTACATAAGTTATTTTCATTAAAGTTAATGTTTCAGTAAATTCACAAACAATCATAGGGTTAGTTAAATTTTACTTTTCCTTTTAAAGCAGCTACTTAGGCCAAAATTAGGTAGAAAAATTGGTAATGTTGACTTATTTCATGTCATAAAGGCATCAAATCCTACACATGGAAGATTAATCTCATCCACTGCTGTGCTTTGAGATGTGCCTTTCCTTTTAAATCACTCTGACCATATTGGGGTATTTAATGCCGGTACCCAGACTTCCTAAATAAGCCAGCTCCAAGAATATCATCTTACCTATTATATTGTTTGGGTGCCCAAACTTAGCATTACTAAATCCTACACAGACACCCCCAAAAGCGATGGCCACTAGGTCTGCAGGTTCTTTGGGGTCAGTTGCAGTCCAGTCTTTTTGTCCAGTACCGAATACTCTAAGTCGTGCAATTCCACCATCTGAAAAGGAAAGGTGCCTTAGTTATTGTTTGTAAAAATGGCTGCTTGTGTATCATACACTACAGGACCCTCCTGTCTTCTCCAGTGTCATCTCTTGGTAGGCTTTGGCCACACCCACCTGCTGTTTCTCAAATACAACAAGCCCACTGCCCCAGGGCCTTTGCACTTGATATTACCCTGTACCAGAACAACTTTCCCAGCTCTCCAAAAGATTACTTATGTTCCTCACCTTAAAGGCATGGCCTCAGAAAAGTCTTCCCTCTCATGCTCTGAAGTTGTCTCCTCCCTCCTCCATTCAGCCACTGCCTGACTCCCCAGGTTACATTTTATCATATCTCTTTGTTATTTACTCCAGAGCTCTAATCACAGCCTGAAATTATCTTTTTAAGTTCCTGCTAAAATCAGTCTCCAATACCCAGAATGCGAAATCCTTGTAGGCCAGACCACTTACCTGTGTTGTTCACTTCTGTACCACTCTTGTATCGTCTCTACCTAGAAGAGGTCTGGGCACATAGTAGGCATTGAAGTTTTTTTCATTAAATGAACAACTCCAAGGTCAAACAGCATTCGGGAAATTCACCATACAGATAATGTTTCGTGCTAGAAATAAGCATCGCTGACTCCCACACAGACTCAGACAAGAGAACCTTATGTTTTTATTTTTACAACACCACCCTGCTTAGCAATGTGATTCAGAATACAAAAGATAATATTCACAAAATCAAATTGCTGCTGAGAACCACAGCAGCCTGAAATTAGGTCTGCAGAGCAGCAAATAGCTACCAAAATCAACTCACAGCATCTGATTCTAGTAGAACGAATGTTTTGTTTCTTCGAATATTAATTGCTAGAAGGTGGAAACCAAGCATTTTTAATATAGAAAATTAATTTAATCAAAATATTGTACTAAAACATGCCCTATATGTTTTTATTTTACAAATTTAGTGAAAATGAGTGATCTGAAAATTTTTTGGTAAAACAATGGAAGTCTTGCTATTTACAACAAATAAAACCAAAAACTTCATTGGCATAAAACCCTAGAAAATATCCTAGAGGGAGTCATTCAGCAGGAGCCGGGTTATGAGAGTAATATCACTGCCATTCTAGTTCATTAAATATTATAATTGGCTTTAATGGCATAGAAGATATTCGTCTGTTGAAAGTGAAGTCGATTTCACATTTTAAAAAATAAGATTCTTCTTTACAGAGTTAATATCCAAACTTGCTTTTAGTCACAGCTGCCAAGGAATCCCAGAAATGACTCTTCATCCTCTGAGTACATCTCATTTAAACCAACCCATTCCCACCCAGTGTGTCCCTGTAACATCAGCCAGGTTTCCCCAGCTTCCTTTCCCTTTACACCTGGATCCCAGGTGGAATCCTCATGGAGCAATTAAAGATGCCAGTAAGAGCTGGGACATGAAATCTGCATGCAGGCATTGCCCATCTCTCCTCTTCAGGCCATCAATGCTGACCAATTAGGAAAGAGCTTTCATGTGCTTAGGGACCCTTCATATTCAACCCAGAAAAGCAGGGCTTCCACTCAGAAACTATTTTAGACCCTCCCTCAACTCGTGAATCCTGTACAAATTGGGTTGGACATATAAAGTTGCTATTTTGGTGGATCAGAAATAGTCAAATAGAAATGTTTATGGCTCTACCAAAATACTTTTGTTGTATGTATCACTATTTTGCAGTTTTTTGTTTTTTTTCTTTTGTTTTCTTTTTGAGACAGAGTCTCACTCTGGTTGCCCAGGCTGGAATGCAGTGGCACGATCTCGGCTCACTGCAACCTCCGCCTCCCGGGTTCAGGCGATTCTGCTGCCTCAGCCTCCCAACTAGCCGGGATTACAGGCACCCGCCACCACACCTGGCTAATTTTTGTATTTTTAGTAGAGACAAGGTTTCCCCATGTTGGCCAGGCTGGTCTTGAACTCCTGACCTCAGGTGATCTGCCCACCTCGGCCTCTTTCCAAAGTTATTTTTCTTATCTGTCTCCCACTGGGTTATTCACTTCATAAGGACAAGGACTCTGTCAAATCTAACAACAAATAGTTATGGAGCTTCTCCTGTGTTCCCCATGCTGTGCTAAGTGTCAGGTGTACAAAAATGACAATCTGGACTCACAGCCCTTTCTTCATGAAGCATACACTCTGTTGGTTCTGCCCTACACATTGTCAGGAAAATGATTTTATGGCCAATGCTCAGTCTGTAGCTCAAAGTAGTTATTCCACAGTGTATGTTAAATTAACAAGTGGGGAAAAGGTCTGACTCTCTTGTAAGCTTTGCTCATTCATTTTCTTGCACTGTTTTTAGAATAGATTATTTCAGTGAGTAATTAATATTAGTAAACGTGTTTAGATCTTTCCATTTTCATGTCTCACTTTAAAGCATCATAACCAGAGAAACATTGCATCTAAAATAAGGTTCCAGAGAACCACTTCTGGCATGACAGCAGGAGAGCTTTGCTGTCCTGTTCCTCAGTGGAGCTGGTAAAATTTAGGGGGGTTGAGGGATGGGAAAACACTTCAGGTCTCTGGAAATGGTCCTAAGGGCATACGGAAAATTCAGCAACATCTATTCAAGAATATCTGCTAAAATTCAGTAAGAACAGTGAGAGTCTGCGGTATTTGAACCAAGACCTCACCTGCACACCCTCTCCCAGATCAGCAAAGTGGAGACTGCAAACAAGTGCAGCCCATGGTTGCAGGGCTGTCTTCCCAGGAGAGGCAGGACATCAGGGCTTCTCATCCTGCCCCTATATGCCTGTTACTGAGGCTAAGCCCTGGGTGAGTGTGGTTGAGAGGCGGGGGCTCCTTTATTTGACCCAGCCCTGACTCATGGGACAGGGTCCTACCTTGAGATATTGGGGCCACAGTGACCCATTCTCATGATCCATAAGGTGGAGGCTTCACACTGAGGGTGAGACATCCCCAGCCCTGCAAACCCTGTAACTCAGCCAGAGGAAACACCAAATCAGAGTTGCTGTTCAGCAACACCATGTTGTAGGAGGTTTGTTCCACAGGTCCCCTAGAGACAAACACCTAGCTAACCTTCCCACACCACTAGAATATGCTCCCTGGGACCTCCCCTATTCTGATGGGCAGTAATTTGATTGCTTACTACAAATGAAGCAATCCTGGACTTAAGGTGCCATCTAGTGCTGAAAAGTAGGCAGCTACCTAGCAGGAAATAAAATCAACAGGAAATTTATAATGATTCTCTAAGCTAAGCTTGTCCAACACATGGGCAGTGGGTCTTATGAAGCCCATGGTGGCTTTGAATGTGGCCCAACACAAATCCATAAACTTTCTTAAAACAGTATGAGATTGTTTTGCAAAATTTTTTTGGCTCATCAGCTATCGTTAGTGTTAGGGCATTTTATGTGTGGCCCAAGACAATTCTTCCTCTTCCAATGTGGCCCAGGGAAGCTAAAATATTGGACACTCCCTACATCTAAGCAAATATATTCAACAAAAACTGAAACAACCCAGAAAGAAAAGACTGGAATAAATAACTAATGCTTCAATGCACAGGCATAGATGTATACCCATAAGAAACAACAGCAAAGAACTATGACATCCCCAAATGGACAAAGCAAGGAACCAGTGACTGATCATAATAAGACAGTGATATATGAACTCTGTGATCAATAATTCAAAATAGCAGTTTTAAGGAAACTCAGTGACCTCAAAGATAACACACAAAAGCAGCTTAGAAGTTTATCAGAGAAATTTAACAAAATTTCAATAATTTTTTAAAATCAAACAGAAAACTTTGAATGGAAAAACGTATTTGCTGAACCAAAAAATTCATTAGAGGCTCTTAAGAATAGAATGAAGCAAGCAGAGGAAAGAATCAGTGAGCTCAAAATGGGCTATTTAAAAATACACAGAGGAGAAAAAAATGAAAAGGAATAAAGATTGCTTACAAGATATAAAATATTACCTCAAAAGATCAAATCTAAGAATTATTGGTGTTGAGGAGGGAGTTGAGCAAGAGCAAGGGGTAGAAAGCTTATTCAAAGAAATAATAGAAAACTTTTCAAAACTTGATAAAGACATAAATATCCTGGTACAGAAAGCTCAAAGAAATGGATTGTATCCAAATAAGACTACTCCAAGGCATATAAAAAATCCTAAAGGTCAAGGACAGGCTGGGTATGATGGCTCATGCCTATAATTCCAGCACTTTGGGAGGTCAAGGTGGGTGGATTGCTTGAGCCCAGGATTTTGAGACCAGCCTGGGCAACATGGTAAAACCCCATTTCTACAAAAAAAAAAACAAATACAAAAATTAGCCAGGCATGGTGGTGTGCACCAGTGGTCCCAGCTACTTGGGATGCTGATGTGGGAGAATCATCTGAGCCAAAGGAGGTTGAAGCTGCAGTGACCTGTGATTGCACCACTGGACTCCAGCCTGGGTGACAAAGTGAGACCCTGTCTCAAGAAAAAAAAAAAAAGTCAAGGATAAAAATATCCTAAAAGCAGCAAGAGAAAAGAAGCAAATAACATAAAGAAGCTTCAATTCATCTGACAACAGACTTCTCAATGATAACCATACAGGCCAAAAAGAAGTGGGATGACATTTTAAAGTGCTGAAAGAAAAAAATACTGCCATCCAAGAATATTGTATCTAGAAAAGCTATCTTTCAAATATGAAAGAGAGAGAAAATCTTTCCTGGATAAACAAGAGCTGAGAGAATTCACCACCACCAGTCTTAAATGAAATGCTAAAGTTCTTCCATTTGAAAAAAAAAAAACACTAATGTGCAAAAAGAAAACATTTGAATTTATAAAACCCACTAGTAAAATTAAGTGCATTAACGAACTCAGAATACTCCAACACTGTAATTATAGTGTGTAATTCACTCATAACTCTAGTATGAAGTCCAAAAGACAAATCTATCAAAAATAATAATCTTTTTGTTGATATCTTTAACAGGTGTTAAAAGATAGGCAATATAAAAACATGCAAATTGAGACAACATGAAGTCAAAATGTGGGAGGAGGGATAAAGTTAAAAATGTAGAGTTTTTTTTTGTTTTTCTTTGTTTATTTCTATTTTTTTCTTTGTGATCTAAGATGAGTTGACATCTCTTTAAAATAACTTGTTATAAGATGTTTTTATAAGCCTCATGGTAACCACAGTGCAAAAACCTATAATAGATTTGCTAAAAATAAAAGTCAATTAAAACATACTATCAGAGAAAATTAGTTAACCACTAAGGCAGAAAGAAAGAAAAGGAAAGGAAAGGGAGGGGAGGGGAGGGGAGGGGAGGGGGGGAGGGGAAGGGGGAGGGGAGGGGAGGGGGGAGGGGAGGGGAGGGGGGAGGGGAGGGGAGGGGAGGGGAGGGGGAGGGGAGGGGAGGGGGGAGGGGAGGGGGGAGGGGAGGGGGGAGGGGAGGGGGAGGGGAGGGGGGAGGGGAGGGGGAGGGGGAGGGGAGGGGGGAGGGAAGGGAAGGGAAGGGGAGGGGATCAGAAAACAAGCAACAAAATGACAGTAAGCTCTTACTGATGACAATACTGAATGTAAATGGACTCAATGTTCCAAATAAAAGGTATACTGTTGCTTAATGGACTAAGAAACAAGGCCCAACTATATGCTGCCTACAAGAAACCCACTTGACCTATAAAGACACAAATAGGCTGACAGTGAAAGGATGGAAAAAGATATCTCATGCAACCAGAGGCCAAAAAAGAGCAGGAGTAGCTACACTTATATCAGATAAAATAGACTACAAATCAAAGACTGTTAAAAAAAAAAAAAGACAAGACACTGTATAATGATAAATGGGTCAATTATGAATATCTATGTGTCCAACACCAGAGCTTTCAAGTCTTATATAAAGCAAACATTAATAGATCTAAAGGGATAAATAGACTGCAATACAATAATAGTAGGGGACTTCAACACCTCACTTTCAGTAATGGACAAATCGTCCAGACAGAAAATCAACAAAGAAATAGTGAAGTTGAACTACACACTAGATCTAATGGCCCTAACTGACATTACAGAACATTTTACCCAACTGCTGCAGAATATGCATTCTTTTCATCAGCACATGGAACATTCTCTAGAATAGGCCATGTCTTGGGCCATAAAGCAAGTCTAAACAAATTCAAAAAAGTAGAAATCATATCAAGTATCTTTTCTGACCATAATGGAATAAAACTAGAAATCAATAATAAGAGACACATTGGAAAATACACAAACACATGTAAATTAAACAACATGCTCCTGAACAACAAATGGGTCAGTAATTAAGAAGGAAATTTTAAAAATGCTTGAAACAAATGAAAATGGAAATACAACATACAAAAATATATGGGATACAACAAAGGCAGTACTAAGAGGGAAGTTTATAGCAATAAATACCTATACCAAAGAAGTAGAAAGACTTCAAATTAATATAACAATGCATCTCAATAAACTAGAAAAGCAAGTATAAACCAATCCCAAAATTACTAGTAGAAGAAAAAAATAAAGATCAGAGGATAAATAAATGGCAACTAAAATAATACAGAGGATCAACAAAACAAAAAACTTGTTTTTTTAAAAAGAAACAAAAGTGATGGACCTTTAGCTAGACTAATTACAAAGAGAAAAGACCCCAAAAAATCAGAAATAGAGAAGGATACATAAAAAATGAGACTGGCTCTCTTCTCTTTTCCATTTGACAGACACCTGCATATTTTTATGCAGTGCCAGCTGGGTTCCTGAGGCAACAAGGTGAAAATGAAGGCCAGAGTAAACAAATTTGGCCACATTAAGCACCTGGTCACCAAGGCTGCTTTTAGCTCTGGCAAAGTGGATATTGTCATCATCAATGATGCCTTCATTGACCTCAACTACCTGGCCTACATGTTCCAGTAGGCTTCCACCCATGGCAAGTTCCACAGTATCATCAAGGCTCAGAATGAGAAGACTGACATCAATGGAAATCCCATCATTATCTTCCAGGAGCAAGATCCCCCCCAAAATCGAGTGAAATGACAGCGGTGCTGATTATGTTGTTGAGCCCACTAGAATCTCCATTACCATGGAGAAGGCTGAGGCTCACTTAGAGGGGTAAGCCAAAAGAGCCACCATCTCTGCCCCCTCTGCTGATGCCCCTTATGTTTATGTGGGGTGTGAATCATGAGAAGTATGAAAACAACCTCAAGATCCTTAGTAGTGCCTCATACACCACCTACTACTTAGCCCTTCTGGCCAAGGTCATCCATGACAACTTTGGCACTATGGAGGGACTCATGACCACAGCCTATGCAATCACTACCACTCCGAAGACCATGGGTGCCCCTTCTTGGAAACGTTGGCAGGATGGCCACAGGGCTCTACAGAACATCATCTCTGCATCTACTTGCACTGCCAAAGCTGTTGGAAAGGTCATCCCCAAGCTGAATGGAAGCTCACTAGCATGGTGTTCCATATCCCCACCTCTGTGTCATTTTGGACCTGACTTGCCATCTGGAGAAACTTGACAAATATGACACCATCAAAAAGGCGGTGAAGCAGGCATTGGAGGGCCCCCTCAAGGGCATCTTGGGCTATAGTGAGTGCCAGGTTGTCTCCTCTGACTTTAACAGACATTCACTCTTCCAGCTTTGATGCTGGGGCTGGCATTTCCCTCAATGACTACTTTGTCAAGCTTATTCCCTGGTATGACAATGAATTTGGCAACAGGGTAGTGGAGGCCTCATGGTCCACATGGCCTCCAAAGAGTAAGAGCCCCTGGACCACCAGCCCCAGCAAGAGCACAAGAAGATTAGAGAGGTTCTCAGCTGCTAGGGAGTCCCTGCCACACTCACTCTCCCACCATACTGAGAATCTCCCCCTGACACAGTTTCCATGCCAGGCCCCCTGAAAAGAGAGGGGCCTAGGGAGCCACATCCTGTCACATACCATCAATAAAGTCCACTGTACTCAGCCAAAAGGAAATGTGACCACAGAATTACAAAGATCAATTAGAGACTATTATGAACAACTACATACCAACAAATTGGAAAACCTAGAAGAAATGGATACATTTCTGGACACATACAATCTACCAAGATTGAACCATGAAGAAATAGAAAACCTTAATAAACCAATAATGAATGATGAGATAAAAGCTGAAATTTAAAAAGTCTCCCATTAAAGAAAATTCCAGGACCTAATGGCTTCCCTGCTGAATTCTACCAAACATAAAAGGAATAACTAATACCAATTTTACTCAAACTCTTCAAGAAAATTGAAGCAGGAGTACTTCCAAACTCATTCTACAAGGCCAGTATTACCCTGATACCAAAACCAGACAAAGACAACAACAAAAAAAGAAAACTACAGGTTAATATCACTGATGGACATAGATGCAAAAATCCTCAACAAAATACCAGCAAACTGAATTTAACAACACAATAAACAGATCACTCACCATGATCAAGTGGAATTCATTCCAGGAAGGCAAGCATGTCTCAACATACATGAATCAATAAACATGACACATCACTAACTGAACCAAGAACAAAAACCATATGATCATTTCGATAAATGCTGGAAAGCATTTGATAAAATTTAACGTCACTTCATGATAAGAAAAAAACCCTCAATAAATTGGGTATAGAAAAAAAAACTACCTCAAAATAACAAAAGCCACATATGACAAACCCACAGGTAACATCATACTTAATGGACAAAAAATGAAAGCCTTTTCTCTAAGATCCGGAACAAGACAAGGATGCCCACTTTCACCGCTTTTATTAACATAATATTGGAAGTCCTGGCTGGAGCAATTATGCAAGAGAAATAAATGGCATCCAAATTGAAAAGAAAGAAGTGAAGTTCTCCTTCTTCATAGACAATATGATCTTATACTTAGAAAAACCTAGACTCCACCCAAAAACTATTAGAACTGATAAACTAATTCAGTAGATTTTCAGGATACAAATTCAACATACAAAAGTCAGTAGCATTTATACACACCAACAGTGAATAATCTACAAAATAAAACAAGAAGGCAATCGCATATACAATAGCTACAAAAACTATAAAATACTGAGGAATCCATTTATCCTACGAAGTGAAAGAGCTATACAAGGAAAACTATAAAACACTGGTGAAATATATTGAAGAGGACACAGAAAAAATGGAAAGATGTTCCGTGCTCCTAGATTGAAAGAATTAATATTGTTAAAATGACAGTACTATCCAAAGCAATTTACAGATTCAATTCAATCCCTATTAAAATACCAATGATATTCTTCTCAGAAATATTTTTAAAAAGTAAAATTTAAATGAAAGACCCTGAATAACCAAAGCAAAAAAACAAAGCTGAAGGCATCACACTACCTGACTTCAAAATGTACTATGAAGCTATATAAGCAAATCAGAATGGTTATGGCATAAAAACAGACAACACAATAGAGAACCCAGATATAAATCAACACATTTACAGCCAACTCATTCTCAATAAAGGCACCAAGAACACGCAATGGGGAACAGTCTCTTCAGTAAATGGTGCTGGGGAAACTAGATAACTGCATGCCGAAGAATGAAACTAGACTCCTATCTCTCACCTTATGCAAAATGAAATCAAAATGGATGAAAAACTTAAATCTAAGACCTAAAACTATGAACATTCTAGAAGAAAACCTTGGGGAAATGCTCTAGGACATTGGTCTTGGCAAATATTTGTGTGTAAGACCTCAAAAGCACAGGCAACAACAGGAAAAACAGACAAATGGGATTACATCAAGCTAAAAGGCTGCTGTCAAAGGAAATAACAAAGTGGAGTGACAACCCATAGAGTTGGAAAAAAATATATTTGCAAACTATCCATCTAAGAAGGGATTAATAACAAGAATATATAAGGACAACTCAATAGCTAACAACTCAGTAGCAAAAAAAATAATTTATAAATGGGCAAAAGTTCTGAATAGATATTTCTCAAAAGAAGGCATACAAATGGGCAACAGGTATATTTTTTAAATGCTCAACATCTCTAATCATCAGAAAAATGCAACTCAAAACCACAATGAAATGTCATACCACCTCAGTTGAAATGGCTTTTGACATGGTCTGGTTCTGTATCCCCACTCAAACCTCATCTCTAATTGTAATCCCCACATGTCCAGGGAGGGACCTGCTTAGAGGTGATTGGATGATGGGGTGGTTTTCCCCATGCTGTTCTTCTGATAGGGAGTTCTTGTGAGATCTGATGTTTAAAAGTGGCTCTTCCCCCTTTCTCTGTCTCTCTCTGTCTGTCTGTCTCTGTCTCTCTCTCTCTCTGTCTCTCTCTCTCTCTCTCGATCCTGCTGCCATGTAAGACATGCCTTGCTTCGCCTTCTCTTTCTGCCATGATTGTAAGTTTCCTGAGGCCTCCCCAGTCATGTAGAACTGTGAGTTAATTAAACCTCTTTTGTTTGTAAGTTACCCAGTCTCAGGTAGTATCTTTATAGCAACGTGAGAGCAGAGTAATACCGCTTTTATTTAAAAAGACGGGGGAATAGTGGATGCTAGCGAGGATGTGGAGAAAGTGAAGCCCATGTACACTATTGGTGAGAATGTAAATTAGTACACTCACTATGGAAAACTATGAAAACTCCTCAAAAAACTAAAAATAGAACAACAATAGATTCATCCAGCAATCTCACTACTGTGTATATATCCAAAAGAAAGTAAATCAATATATTGAAGAGATATCTGCACTTCCAAGTTTACTGTGACACTGTTTACAATGTCACAGCCAAAATATGAAATCAAAGTAAGTGCCCATTAACAGAGGAATAGATTTTAAAAGTGGTATATATACACAATGGATTGGGGATGGATACCTCATTCTCCATGATGTGATTATTATTCATTGCATGCCTGTGTTAAAACATTTCATGTACCCCATAAATATATATATACCTACTATGTGCCCATAATTGAAAATATTTTAAAAAAGAAAATATGGTATATATACATATACCATGGAATACTATGCAGCCATAAAAAGGAATGAAATAATGGCATTCACAGCAACCTGGATGGAGTTGGAGACCATTATTCTAAATGAAGTAGTTCAGGAATGGAAAAGCAAACATCATATGTTCTCAGTTATAAGTGGGAGCTAAGCTATTAGGATGCAAAGACATAAGAATGATACAATGTGGGGAAGGGTGGGGGGTGAGGGATAACAGGCTACACATTGGATACAGTGTACACTGCTCTGGTGATGGGTGCACCAAAATCTCAGAAATCACCACTAAAGAACTTATCCATGTAACCAAACACCACCTGTTCCCCCAAAAACCTGTTGAAATTTAAGACAAGTGAATAGAGATCTGAAGAGAAATTTTTCCAAATAAAACATACAAATGGCCAATAAACATATGAAAAGATGTTCCTCCTCATTAGTCATCAGGGAAATGCACATCAAAACCACAATGAGACACCACCTCACATCCACTAGGATGACTATAAACAAAAAGTAAGACAGAGAGTGCTGGGAAAGGCAGGGAGAAATCAGCACTCCTTTACGTGGCTGTTAAGAATGTAAAATAGTGCAGCACTTTCGGAAAAGCCTAGTAATTCTTCAAACAGTTAAACACAGAGTTATCATATGACCCAGAAAGTCCAGTCTTAGGCATACACTCAACAAAAGAAAGCATATATCCACACAAAATCTTGTACACAAATGTTTACAGCAGCATTGTTCAAAATAGCCAGCAGATGGAAACAAGTGTCTGTCAACTAATGAACGGGTAAACAAAATGTGGTAGTGGTTGAGTATCCCTTATCTGAAATGCTTGAGACCAGAAGTGTTTGGATTTCAGTTTTTTTAAATATTTGCATTATACTTACTGGTAGAGTGTCCCAAATCCAAAATCTGAAATATTCCAGTGAGCATTTCCTTTGAGCATCATGTCAGCACTCAAAAAGTTTTGGATTTTGGAACATTTCAAATTTTGGGGCTTTCAGATTTGAGATGCTCAACCTATATTAGCCTTACACAAAAAGAAAGAAAGTGTTAATACATGTTACAACATGGATGAATCTTGAAAACATTATACTAAGTGGAAAAAGTCAGACACAAAAGACCAATATTATATAATTCCTACTTATATGAAATGTCCAAAATAGTCAAAACTATCAAGACAAAAAGCAAATTAGTGGTTGCTTTGGGATAGGGAAGATGAGGGATGATAGCTAAAGGATATGGGGTTTCTTTCTGAGATGATAAAAATGTTCTAAAGGTATGGTGATGGTTGCACGTGTCTATGCATATGCTATACATCATTGATTGTACACTTCAAATGGGTGAACTGCATGTTAATTATATCACAATAAAGCTATTAAAAAATAAAATGAGTCATTTGTACATACCACTTCAGCTGCTAATATAACATACTTGTGAAATCTAGTTAGGATCTATCTAACCTAATACAACTTAGTTCCACCACATCCTAATTTACTTGATAATTTTTCAATAACCACCTATTGATGTGTGGATTAAAACAAGAATTTTCTAGAGCATAAAAAGGAGAAATTACAATCCTGAAATGCTAGAGAGATCAATTACCAAGAAGGAAAGAGCAAGTCATTTTATATTTTATAAACATGTCAACATAAAATAAAGAAGCCATGGAACTGGTGATAAGTCCATGTCACGATTACCTGGGAAAATGTTGAGTCTGATATGAGTCCATCTCTGCTGGGAATTGACAAGAAAATAGTTGTGGCCGGAAGCAGGGTTTCCTGGCTTAAGCTCAGTCATGGGAACCAAGTAACTCCAGTCGTCGGATTTTAGCTAGCAATAAATATAGAAATGTCAGCAATTGCTCTTGAAAACAATAAATTCTGTCATCCTATTGCCTCTGTGGCACTTAAGGTGTGGAGATACTTTGGAATAAAAATTAATGATGGATGCCGGGCACGGTGGCTCACGCCTGTAATCCCAGCACCTTGGGAGGCCGAGGCGGGCGGATCACAAGGTCAGGAGATCGAGACCATCCTGGCTAACACGGTGAAACCCCGTCTGTACTAGAAATACAAAAAATTAGCCGGGCGTGGTGGCGGGCGCCTGTAGTCCCAGCTACTCGGGAGGCTGAGGCAGGAGAATGGCGTGAACCTGGGAGGCGGAGCTTGCAGTGAGCCGAGATCGCGCCCCTGCACTCCAGCCTGGGCCACAGAGCGAGACTCCGTCCCAAAAAATAAACAAACAAATAAATAAATAATGATGGATACCTAATGAAACACTTTAATAAAAATAGTACATATCAAGCCCCATGTTTAATAAAAAACAGAATAAAGGCCTGTTTTGTTTTCACTGATCAAAACAGCCAGTGGGTGATGGTGGCAGATGCTTGCAAATGAAGGACAAGATCTCAGACCCCTCCAAATGTCTTCACCTTGAGGTGTGGTGAGGTGAACATTCAAATAAAAACCAAGGCTACTGCCATGCTCCATGACCTCTGGGGAAATCTGCTGGCCTGAGCCTTGCAACCATTTTCTCTAGGTTAGCACTTCTCAAACTAACGGCCCTGTTTACTGTTCCTGTTATTTACTTTCCTGTCTGTTATGGATCAACATTTCTGTAAAAAACAATACAAACTATTACTAAATAAACATTAAAAAAACAAGAATGTACCAAAACACAAGCCCTATTTATTTTTTTCCCCCGTTTCTTTTATTAAATTCTCCAAACACAAACGTTACTTCAAGTTACATCAAGTTGGTATAAAAAGTGTTTAAACGCTTACTATCAGTTTCTGTATGTGTGCTTATCGGGGCCAGCAGCCATTTGCAGATGGGTGCTGGTGGAACCCTTTGAGAAGCCTTTGGGCCATGATGCTCACTCTTCCCAGGTTGATGAACCACTGAGACGTTTGCAAGGCCACAGTGGGTAAGCAAATGATGTGGGGAGCATCAGGGCTGGGCGTCCCAAAGAATCGCCTTGCACAGCCAGGTGTGCAGAGCAGTTTCCCTACTCTCCTAATAATTGGTGACAAGACCCAATTCATTTGGGGGAGATGTACCTCAGCAATGGCTTCAAACTCCTCAGGAGTGGCTGCAGCTCCTGTCCTGGTTCCTCTTTCTGGGATTTCTGGTAGTTTATCTGTAGTTGGAATGACCATTCAGGATTAAGATTAGGGTTCAAAATCAAAGGGAATCTACTCTCTTGGTGGTTTGTATGGTAATTCTCGCTTTGCAAATAACACTAAAGATATTTCGAAGTATCAAATGATCAAAGTAATAGACACACTTGTTGAAGTTCCTCAATATTTAATATATTAACAGTCATTTCAAAAAATAGTACAAGATGTTTGATACTACATTTGCTTGTCAAACAGTAAATGTCATCTCCAAGTTAGCTCAAACTTCAACAAGTTTATCACATCGCTAGAGTTTTCAAAGTTGGACTATTACAAGGTCAATTCCAGAAACACCACCTCTCCCAGTGGCATCCTTAGAATTGATACTGGGGCAATTCAGAAATAGAAGCACTCATGGGCAGTTGAGGGGCTTGCCGAAACAATCTTACTCGTTTGTCACTGGTCATTTCCGCTTTTAGAGTAGCATCTCTTGTAGCATCATTTCCTGTTCAGGTGCCCCAGCCATCTTCAGGGAGCAGGGCCCGTTCGTGTCCACAGAGCCTCATGCAGCGCTGTGCACATAGCATGTTCAGTGTAAACTTGCCAACCCACATTGACTTATCTTCCCTAAGTACATGTATAAACACACACATAATTGTATATTTTTTTTAATTAATGCTAAAGTCAACATCAGATGGTAACAAAGGAATAAAAATACAGAAAGTCTGTGGAGACAAAGTGACTCCATCTTGGATGCGAATCTGCCATGTCAATGTCTGATTAGCCTCAATCCTGTGAACACGTCCTGCTTCCAACTTGATTTACTGTCCTTAGTCCAGAACATGTCAACCTTGATATTATCGCACAAATCAGAGGCTGTGACGCACACCGCCCTCTTCCCTGTTCTGGAGGCTGCCTTCAGTTGTCCCGCTGGAGCACGCAGACCCTTTCCCTACAGCATGTGAGCCCTGAGTCCGGGCAGTAACAGTGCAGAGATTTACCCATCTCGCTGCTGCCCAAGGCCACGCTTCTGTCCGTAAGTTCCCCCAATAAAATACCCGTTACCAACAGACTGGATTTGTCAGCCTCTTTCTTTGGTTTCTTGGCTTCTTCAGCACCTGAGGTCTGCTCTGTGTATATGGCCCTTTCACAGAATACGTCTCATTTATAGAGCCTGCAGGATTCATAGGTCCAGCATTCCAAGATGCAGATAGGAACCCTTGCCTAAAATGCCATAGCAGCTCCCCCATCACACACACTGGGACAGCCCAAAGCAGGGCTGGTGCTGCTCACCCCACAGCTGTCCCAGACCTGGGTCCACATCACCCGGGTCATCTGAGGCACAAACCACTCCCTCCCGCCCACCAGCAACCTGCTCACCCACGTTCCAGGGATGATGGCCTGCCTCTGCGTGAAGCTGAAGGACCGTGGGAATGATAAAATCTATATCTGGCTGTTAACACTATTAAGCCACAAATCAAAAACCACAGAGCGCTCTACTAGGAGTCCTGGTCCTACAGCCCCGTTACAGTAAAGTAGCCTTAGTCAAGCGCCTGAAGCTGTCTGGGTGGTAGGGAAAGTGAGCAGTTGTGGGGCTGTGGCTGGCCAGAGGAGCCATGTGACCCATAATTCTCATTTTGGGGACAGTGGTTCCTAACGCACCTTCTTCCAAGTTTGCTGCTTGAATGGACACTCGAGGAGCGTAATCTCCCGTGAAGTAAGAAACGTCCACGTCGAAGCCCCGGATGACTCCTTGGATCCCCAGCCTGAGGACACACCAGTCGTGACCTGCGCAACACAGAGGACAAGAGCAGTCTCGTTAGGGCCAACACAGCAGATGCTGCATGCGAGGCAGTGCACCCCACATGCACCTGACCCACAGCAGGGGCCATTCCGTCCATCACAGAAAAAACTGTTCAGGGCGGTTCTTAGCTAATATGACTGTAGGATCTCTCATAACCTGGCCACATGTGACCACCATTCCCCAACGAAAATCCTCAGTTCTAGCCAGAAGAGAAAATGCACAGGCTGGGATCCAGGAAGACCTGATTCTGGTTCCAAATGGATCATTTCCTATGACTGTCCTTGGCAAATTATTTACCTCTTACAGTAGAGAATCTCATTTTCTCAACTGTAAATTAGGGATGCCGTTAGCTTCCATAAAGCTTAGACTGAGTGTGCGATGTAGAAAGCACCTCACCAAGCTCAGCAGGTAGTAAGCAGAGCTGGTTCTCCTGCAGACACTGTGTTCATTGTCCTCTCAAGCTCAGGAACTGACACAGCACCCTCCAGCCTCCAGCCCCACCACTGGTCAGACACCTGCCTGCATCTACCAAAGCCTTCAGAGTCTTGAAGTCAAGTCTGCCACTATTGAGTTCTTGGTTATTTACTGCCAGATATTAACTCACCTTAAAATGTCCAGATTTGTTAGAAACTAATACTGCTTCAAGTACTGTAGAAAGTTAGAAAACTAGAAATATCAAATATTTCTGTAATACTTGAGATAGTGGCAAGTAAAAATCCAATTATCAACCTAATGCCTGGATTTGTTTGCTTTTCTTCAACTTCAGAAGGTATATTTTGATTGAGACTGAGTAATAGCAATGAATAAAAATTGCATAAAATCGTAAAAGACAGCGGGTACAGTGTTGAGGACAGACCCTGGCCCAGTCCCCAGCTTATCTTGCTAGCAGTGTGCCCTGGGCTGAGTCCAGGAATCTGTTTCCATGGCGGTTAAACGGGGATAAAGAGACCTACTCCAGAGGACTGTAGTAAGGACCCAGAAGATGCACGCTGCCTAATGCCTGCCACATTGCTCAGTGAGAATCCACTCTTTTTTCCATCCGCAGACCTCACCAGGGTTTTCATTTTCCCGACAACGTGCTTCTCACCCTTTGTGCCTGGTGGGACGTCAGTGACCCGGGCTCACGCTGCCCCTTCCTGACTTAGAGCCTGATGTTCAGATAAGGACATCCAAGATTACAGAGCATTCCAGGGCCCCATGTTAAAGCTGACCCAAAACGGACACTGGCTTTGCCACAGCCTGCGTTTTTAACTTTGCAGTGTCAGCTGCACTTCGATGAACGAACCGTTGTTATTACCTGGAATCCTTTTCCTCCTGGTCTCCCAGCCATCCATCCATTTCCCAAACTCCGTATATTCATGCTCTTTGAAGCACGGGCTGTCACTCTAGGGCAAAGACCACAACAAGGTGATCATTAACATTCATGTGATCTCCTGGCTTCCAGCAAGTCCACTTCTGTCCCACAGTGCCAGAGGAACGGTGCAAACCGGGGTCTAGGGGAGCCTCTGCCACCACCTTCATGCCCAGCTAGCCCCTTCCAGATTGAGAGATGCCTCCGCTTTTATCATCTTCAGAGAAAGAAATGTGACTTCTTTGTGGGCCTCAGCACACAGAATTGACCACTGATAGCAGCAGGTACAACCACATCACCAGGCACTCTGTGGGCCGCACAAATGCAATTCCCAACAGCAACCTACATGGGTATTAAAGTGAGAGAGGCTGGTCAGATTTCCAAGCAGGCCAGGTAGACTATTCAATCAGGAATTCATCCAAAGTCATAGGAAGAGTAGGCTGGACGCTCAGGGTCCAGGTGAAACCACACAGCACACTCTGCAACCCCCTGAGGAAATGCATGGTCTCTGATGCCCCACACAGCCTCCTTAGACAGCTGAGCACACTTCTTCATCTTCCAGAATGAGGAGGATACACGCATCCTCGCAGGAGTGTCATGAAGTTGGAATAGCCGACATGAAAGACCCTCAAATAGCGTGGATGCTCAGAAATCGTTATGCTGGCCCAGCATGGGGATACTTTCCCTGTTTCCATCAAGTCGTGCAAGGAGGATCTTACGTTACTGCTTAGGGAATCTCCCCAGGCAGGAGCAGAGGAAGGGACTAGGGGTAGCAGGACCCAGGGCGGCAGGGATGCTCTGATGGAAGCTGATGCATGAGACGCCAACCAGGGATCCCGCCAGACTCCCTGGTGTGACAACCTGCCCAGCCTCCCAGGCAGGGGACCCGTGGCCAACGGTACCCACCTTCCTGTGCCTCAGTGCTCCTCCTCTGTCAAAGGCAAACAGCCATCGTGCTATTGACCGCCTCTGGCTGTTGTCAACCTTAAATGTGCCTGGCACATAGTAAGTGCCCAGTATTTAGCATTATACATGAAAGTTGATGGTATTTTGAATGTTATTACAATCAAATCACATCTTAAAGACAGCACACACTCCAGCCTTTCCATTACTCATCAGGAATTGCAAAACTCTGCTCTGAACCCAGAAGGAGAGAAGGAGGTACACCTCCCACTTAAACCCCAGACCTCCAAGGCCCCAAACTTTTTGGTGTTTAGTTTTGGGGGTAGGTTGATTGTTTCAGGTGTGTTGCTGCTACTGCTGCTGTTGTGATTGGACTGACACTGAACGGTGTGAGGGAAGCTGGGGACACACGCTACTGAACCAGTGGCAGGAAAACAGCCCTGTTGTAAAACTGGCTCATGCCATGTGATGTTCCTTAAAAATGTGTGTTCCTTAAAAAAAGAGAAAAACTAGTCAGGTGCGGTGGCTTACACCTGTAATCCCAGCACTTTGGGAGGCCAAGGAGGGCGGATCACCTGAGGTCAGGAGTTCGAGACCAGCCTGGCCAACATGGTGAAACCCCCTCTCTACTAAAAATACAAAAATTAGCTGGGCGTGGTGGCGGGTGCCTGTAGTCCCAGCTACTTGGGAGGCTGAGGCAGGAGAATCACTTGAACCCAGGAGGTGGAGGTTGTGGTGAGCCGAGATCATGCCACTGCACTCCAGCCTGGGCAACAGAGTGAGACTCTGTCTCAAAAAAAAAGAGAGAGAGAGAGAGAAACCAAGGACTGGTCCCAGGGATAAACCGACACACGTGCACACACTTGTACAAGGATGTTTTCAATACGTGCAAAATGTCATCAACCTAAATGTGCATCAACAAGGAAAGGGGGCCATAAAATGGACCACGATGACATGGACAGTTATTATTCGGCAGCTAAGAGGGTGGCCTGGGTCTACACACATCAGCACCAATGGCATTCACAAACACGCAGTGAGAAAAGCAGGTTTAGGGCCGGGCACGGTGGCTCACGCCTGTAATCCCAGCCATTTGGGAGGCCGAGGCAGGAGGACTGCTTGAGCCCAGGAGCTAGAGACCTCATCTCTACAAAAAATTTAAAAATTCGCTGGGCACAGTGGAGTATGCCTGTAGTCCCAGTGAGGCAGGAGGATCGCTTGTGCCCAGGAAGTCGAGGCTGCAGTGAGCCATGACCGTGCCACTGCACCCCAGCCTGACAGCCTGATCACAGCGAGATCCTGCCCCACCCCCACCAAAAAAAGTGTGCAGAATGCTAAGTGCTTTGTGAAAATATGTATATAAATTTAGAATACAAAATATCTTATATATTTACGAATATATGTGTATTTAAGTGTATAAAATACATTAGAAGAATTCTCTGCAACAGACTGAATGTTTGTCCCCCACCAAAATTTGTATGTTGAAACCTAATCCCCAGAGTGATGGTATTCGGAGATGAGGACTTTGGGAGGTGATTAGGTCACAAGGGTGGAGCCCCCATGATGGGATGAGTGCCCATGTGGGAGGAGGCAGGAGATGGCCTGCTTCCCCTCTCTTCTCTGTCACCTGAGGGAATCAGCGGCAGGTGGCCATCCCAAGAGGGCCCTCACCAGATGCTGGAGCTGCTACTGTCTCAGGCTCGGTCTCAGACTTCCAGCCCCCAGAACTTCAAGAAATCACTGTGTTTAAGCCACCACCCATCTGCAGTATTTTGCTTCAGCAGCCCCAACAGCCTAAAGTATTTTCCCATCCTACAACAGTGTGAATGGTGGAAAGGGAGGGCGTGGACTGGCACTCAAGTTGGAGGTGAACGGTGAACTTTACATTTATCTGTAATGTTATTTTTTTCAAAAAGGAGAAATATATGTGTCTCGTGTGATGTTATAGCGTGACTATATATACACATATGTAGTGTGTAAGTGTTTATATGTGTGTGTGTGTATATATATATATATATGCTCAAGTATAAAATCTAAGAAATAGTGCCCTACCCTCTCTCCCACCCCATTTCCAAGCCCACCTCTCTCTTCACAGATAATCACATCTCACTGTTTGATGTGTGCGCCTTCAAACTCTGTTTTACACTCATAAAATATACATGGATCTCTCTTGTTGCCAGTGAATGGAGAGCTTGCTTTTTTTTTTTTTTTTTTGACAGGGTCTTACTCTGTCACCCAGGCTGGAGTGCAGTGGCATGATGATGGCTCACTGCAACCTCAACGTCTTGGGCTCAAGCAATCCTCCCAGCTCAGCCTTCTGAGTAGCGGGGACTACAGGTACACATAGCCATGCCTGGATAATATTTTTTATTTTCAGAAATGGGGTCTTGCTCTGTTGCCCAGGCTGGTCCCAAACTCCTAGGCTCAAGTGATCCTCCTGCCTTGGCTTCCCAAAGTGCTGGGATTACAGGTGTGAGCCACAGTGCCAGGCCTACCTCATTCTAGTAGCCACATAATAGTCCATATCTGGAAGAGCTATAATTTCTTTAGTTCCCTATCAATCAATGAACACTTAGGTTGGTTATCTCCTCTCCAAACAATACCAGAATGAATGTTTTCTACCTATTTTTTTGCCCACTTGTGCAAACGATGTAAATCTGTGGAACAACTAGGTCAAGGTAGACATGCATTTCAGTGTTTCAAAGACCGGACCTGTGGTAAAATGGTAAGAGCTTTGGCATTTAGTAACTGTGTGACCTAGAAAAAGTTAATTCATGTTGCCCTTTCTCATTTTATTTTCACTTTCTCCTGGGGAATAGGTAAGTTAACACTGTAAGGTGCCTTCTCAGGGCCATACTTCAGCTTGCTCTGGACCCAGCCAGGTCCTGCCCAGACAGAGAGCAACCATTTCACCAGGGTAACCAGATGGCCGCTGCCCACAATGGAGGCCAGTCATGAATGCTGTACGTGGGCATTAGCTCAATGTGCACCTGTGTTTGTCTCTCCACGCACAAGAGTTCGCATCTCCACACTGGGTATGACGGAGGAGCAGGACGCCAGCAGGGCCGCCATTTCTTCCCTATGTTCGTCAGCATTTTCTCTATTTTTTTAATAAGCTGTCCTGCACTTTTATAATTAGGCAGGTAAAACATTTCCCAGAAAATTCAAGACATAGATCCATTTTCTTCCCAACACAAATGATGAAATTCACCTTACCCAGAAGAGCAGTATTTGAGGACCTCAGAATTTTCCCCAGGAAACAATGCAGTCCCAAATTACTTGCTCAGATCCCTGTCTCTGCTATGTTTTGGCATGAGTTCATGCTGATTTGCATGTCTTTCTAACATTCTAATATGCTAATTTGCCAGTGTACATCACATGACTCCATCCCAAATATACAGGGAGATTTTAATAACAAGGCGGCATAGATTTCTCTACATCAACCCTTTACATTGCAGAATGTCAATTTACAATACCTTTATGAGGTTTTCTGCAGGAGCAAAAAAGTCATCTGTTGCAAATAAAATCTAGACAAAGAAAGAAAGAAAGAAAGATAAAGCAACCATAAATCTGATACCATTTTATTTCATTCCCTAGTGAAACATTATGAGATGAAGTAAAAAGAAAACGTGAAATCACCTAGGGGAAGCGACAGAATCTGCAGTTAAGCCATGATGCCTTGAAATGCTTCCATTTCATTGTCTGCCTCCTCCTTCTTCTTCTCTTCCCACCCTTTTTTCCGATTCTCCTTTACCATCTGGAGGTAAGAGCACTAACATCTTACACTCAAGAAGCAAATAAACCAACTTTCTTTTTTTCATGAACCAGAGGTTTCGTGCTACTTTTACAAACCGAGCAATGACCAAAAAAGCTCTGGGTTACGTATGCGGTTGGGGCCTCTGTGTTCACCCACAAGGGCCGCCATAGGTCACCCTGCAGGTGGGCTGTCCTGGTCATTCATCCACCAAAGCAGGATCATTTTGAGAGTGAGGTCAATGATACTAATTGTACATCCAGAATACAAGGTAAATCAGATTTTCCTGAGCAAAACAGGCTGTGGTCACTCCACCCAAGCCAGGACTCTGTGGTCACTGCAGCCTGGAGGGCACCCTGCCCCAGGCTCTGACTCCAGCCCAGGAGTTCGAAAGGCAGGAAGGACGAGCTGTTTCAGAGCTGCTGGCTGTTTGAGTGGCAGAGCAGAGGGAAGACCTGATGTGCTGAGGTTGACCTGTTCCAGGGTTCAAATGGCAGGTAGGTGGACATATCAGGATCCCCCTTGCTCCAGATCTCTCTGTGGCTCCTCAGCAGAAGGCTTCACAGGGCACATGGGGCCTCTCCTACCTCTCCAGACTCGTGCTCCCAACTCTTCTCACAAACGCGCAGCGTGTTCTTGAAACACTGAGCCACCTGGAGCATGTGGGCTCCCTTGCTCTCCTCGCAGACACCTCTGCCAGAACCACCCTGCACCTCATCCCTGCCCGCCAGCTGCTCTCCAGCAAGCTGCCTCCAGCAGCACTCAGCTGGCCCATCCCCACCCCTCCCACCCCAATTCCCCCAGGCTACCCATGGCTGGAGTCCATGTGCTCCCCCAGCACCCTGGCATTGTGCCAGTCACAGGGCTGGTCTGGACTTACATCTGTCTCCCTGCTAGAGTGTAGCTTCCTGGGGGCAGGCACAGGGTCTTCCCTTTCTGTACCAGACACACTGCTTCTGAGCACAGCCTGCACCCCAGCGCCTCTGCACATTATGTTTAATGAGTTCTCCAGGTGACCCTCATTACACACTAGAGCCAGAGGACCACAGGTCTAACTACAGCCAGAGGACCTCCGATCTAACCAGAGCCAGAGGACCTCCTATCTAACCAGAGCCAGAGGACTTCCGATCTAACCAGAGCCAGAGGACTTCCGATCTAACCAGAGCCAGAGGACCTCCCATCTAACCAGAGCCAGAGGACCTCCCATCTAACCAGAGCCAGAGGACCTCCTATCTAACCAGAACCAGAGGACCTCCCATCTAACCAGAGCCAGGGGACCTCCCATCTAACCAGAACCAGAGGACCTCCTATCTAACCAGACCCAGAGGACCTCCCATCTAACCAGAGCCAGAGGACCTCCGATCTAACTAGAGCCAGAGGACCTCCGATCTAACCAGAGCCAGAGGACCTCCCATCTAACCAGAGCCAGAGGACCACAGGTCTAACTAGAGCCAGAGGACCTCGGATCTAAATAGAGCCAGAGGACCTCCCATCTAACCAGAGCCAGAGGACCTCCTATCTAACCAGAGCCAGAGGACTTCCGATCTAACCAGAGCCAGAGGACCTCCCATCTAACCAGAGCCAGAGGACCTCCCATCTAACCAGAGCCAGAGGACCTCCTATCTAACCAGAACCAGAGGACCTCCCATCTAATCAGAGCCTGGGGACCTCCCATCTAACCAGACCCAGAGGACCTCCCATCTAACCAGAGCCAGAGGACCTCCAATCTAACTAGAGCCAGAGGACCTCCGATCTAACCACAGCCAGAGGACCTCCCATCTAACCAGAGCCAGAGGACCACAGGTCTAACTAGAGCCAGAGGACCTCGGATCTAACTAGAGCCAGAGGACCTCGGATCTAAATAGAGCCAGAGGACCTCGGATCTAAATAGAGCCAGAGGACCTCGGATCTAAATAGAGCCAGAGGACCTCCCATCTAACCAGAGCCAGAGGACCTCCCATCTAACCAGAGCCAGAGGACCTCCCATCTAACCAGAGCCAGAGGACCTCCAATCTAACCAGAGCCAGAGGACCTCCCATCTAACCAGAGCCAGAGGACCTCCCATCTAACCAGAGCCAGAGGACCTCCGATCTAACCAGAGCCAGAGGACCTCCCATCTAACCAGAGCCAGAGGACCACAGGTCTAACTAGAGCCAGAGGACCTCGGATCTAAATAGAGCCAGAGGACCTCGGATCTAAATAGAGCCAGGGGACCTCCCATCTAACCAGAGCCAGAGGACCTCCCATCTAACTAGAGCCAGAGGACCTCCCATCTAACCAGAGCCAGAGGACCTCCTATCTAACCAGAGCCAGAGGACCTCCTATCTAACCAGAGCCAGAGGACCTCCGATTTAACTCCAGCTAGAGGACCTCAGATCTAACTAGAGCTAGAGGACCGCCTGCCTATCTAGAGCAGAGGACCACAGTCTGTCCTCTAGTGAAACACACAAAATCTAAGGCAGTATTGTCCTTGCTGAGAATTGTCACCAATTTAAGATAAATTCTTTGGAAGTCTTTCTCGCTAACGGGTTTCCTTGGGCAGGCCAACACTTCAGCCTGATTCTTGTTGATTCTTGCATGAGGTTCTCTGCACTGGTGAGTTGTGCCCTTAGCACGGATGCCTTCAACCCTTGTTTGGCCATGAGAGACCCACTTACTTTTCCTCCTACGGATTCAGATGCCATGTCCATCAGCTGGGTGAAGTCCAGAAACCGGGTCAGTCTTCCCTCCTTCGGAGCATCAGCCGTGCTTCCTGGAAGGGAGAGGGCAGCTCGGTCAACCTTGGGGGCTGCGGGAGTGAGTGAGGCCCCGTCTAGGCTCCTGACGCTAAGATTTGAGACTTTCAAAAGTCAGGCAGTGACAGAACTGGATGTACTGTCAACTGTACCTGACAGGTGCCCTCTGCTCAATGAGGTTGAACTAAAAAGAGACTTTGCTTAAACACGCTGAAACGGGGAAGGAATTAGAACATGGCTTCCTTCTAAAGTATTTAAAAATAAAATATCACTAGCTATACAAACCCTATCGCCACAAAATGCAAAATTTTATTTTATTGTTTAAAAGAGAGAGATTATTTTAATTTTGAAAATAATAACTTGCTTTTAATAGTCTTTGAAGCCATTCAAAACACATGTATTGAGACCCTGGGTGGCAGGCCCTGGCTAGACGTGGGAAACAGCAGAGCCCACCCGCCCACAAGAACACCCCCACACGGGAACAGACGTCCACTGACGCGCAGGCCAGGCCACGCTCTGGAGCCAGCAGAGACTGAGCCACAGAGACGGGGCCAGCGAGGGAGATTCGGGGCCATGCGGCCATGGCGGGTCCTAACACGGGACTTAGCCCAACTCCCCAGCACCCTCATGTTGAGGTTGAGAAAGCAGAGACTTGGAGAAATGGAAAGAGACCGTGAGGGAGGAAGGGAGAGTCTGGCCTGACCCCAGAGCCTCCCCGCCCCTAAGCCAAGAGGTGGCGTCTGTTCCTAGCCCTTTTCTCTACCCCTCATGGTGAAAGAGAAAAACTACACAAAAACACCTCACTAAGAATTATGTTCATTCACAAAAGAAGGAATACAAACAGTCCATGGATATGAGAAGTCAGCTCTTCCTTGAAATTACAGGAATATAATTAATTCTAAAATACCATTTTGTCTATGAAACGGACACTTTCTTAAAGCAAACAGGCACTTCCATAGTCTGTGGTCAGGAGCACGAATGGGAACAGCCCCTCCAGGGTGATTTGGTCACACCTGCGGGCTGGAAGGCGCTCCCGACATCCTGATTCGCTGGTTCTTTTGTGCTGAAGCCTCTGGGCTCACTGGAGTCTCCTCCTCCTGCGCCCTCATCCCCTGGTGATGTCAACCAGAGTCATTGCTCCTAAGATCATCCACACTCCAATTATCCCCAAATGCATAGCACCTTCCCGACATGAATTTCCATCTGACAACTCAAAACATCTCCCCTTGGACGTTGAATCAAATCTCAAAGCCGACAGGTCCAAGCCTCAGCTCTGGCTCTTCCTCAGCCTGCCCCATCGCAGCCTCCCACCTCCGGGAGGAGCAGCCCCATCCTCCTGGTCGCTCCAGCAAAAGCCTTGGTGGCACCTTCAGACCCCTTCCTCGCACCCAGTCTGTGCAGCATCCTGTCCACCTGCCCACTGGACCCAGAACATGGAATTATCTTTATTTATTTATTTATTTTTGAGATGGAGTCTCCCTCTGTCACCCAGGCTGGAGTGCAGCGGCGCAATCTCGGCTCACTGCAACCTCCACCTCCCAGGTTCAAGCGATTCTCCTGCCTCAGCCTCCCAAGTAGCTGGGATTACAGGTGCCTGCCACCACGCCCGGCTAATTTTTGTTTTGGGAGGGTTTTTTTTGAGACGGAGTCTTGCTCTGTTACCCAGGCTGGAGTGCAGCGGCATGATCTCAGCTCACTGCAACCGCCGCCTCCTGGGTTCAAGCAATTCTCCTGCCTCAGACTCCCGAGTAGCTGAGATTACAAGAACCTGCCACCACGCCTGGCTAATTTTTTTGTATTTTTAGTAGAGACGGGGTTTTACCATGCTGGCCAGGATGGTCTCCATCTCCTGACTTCGTGATCCACCCACCTCGGCCTCCCAAAGTGCTGGGATTACAGGCGTGAGCCACCACACCTGGCCGGAATTACTGTATTTTTAGTAGAGATGAGGTTTCACCATGTTGGCCAAGCTGGTCTCAAACTCCTGACCTTAGGTGATCCACCCTCCTTGGCCTCCCAAAGTGCTGGGATTACATGTGTGAGCCACTGTGCCTGGCCGGAATTATCTTCTAAACTGTCTGAGAAGGAAGGAAGTGTATGAGGGCAAAGGTGAAGCGAGATGGGCGTGTGCTGGTGACCATTGTTACTGCTGGACAGTGGGAATATTCAGGGACCATCTGATATTTTTACCCACCTGGGGTATGTTTGAAACTTTTCACAATCAAAGTCATACACATGGCCAGGCGCGGTGGCTCACTCCTGTAATCCCAACACTTTGGGAGGCTGAGGTGGGCAGATCACCTGAGGTCAGGAGTTCGAGACCACCCTGGCTAATATAGAGAAACCCCGTCTCTACTAAAAATAAAAAAATCAGCCAGGCGTGGTGGCAGGTGTCTGTAATCCCAGCTACTTGGGACGCTGAGGCAGGAGAATCACTTGAACCCAGGAGGCGGAGTTTGCGGTGAGCCGAGATTGCACCACTGCACTCCAGTCTGGGTGACAGAGCAAGACTCCATCTCAAAAAAAAAAAAAAAAAAAAAAAAAAAGTCATACACATTATGCATATTACACACTCACAGAGGCAGAGAGGGAGAGGAGAGACACCAGCACCGTCTCCCTCCTGGGTAATGAAATATCCCCAACACATGTGTCCCTGCCTGTCTACAAGCCGTCCTTAGCCCAGCCCCAGAGCAAGCTTTCAGAAACAAAAGTCATTCCCTGTTCACTCAGAATGAAAGCTGCTCTCCTCACCTTGGCCACAAGCACCTCCCTCACTTAGGGCCCTTTCCCTTCTGTCCTGCCTCTGCAACTTGGCAAAGGTGGTTCCCTTTGCCAGGAATGCTCTTCCCCACACAGCTGTGTGTTTGCTCCTTGCCTCCCTCCAAGCTTTTGCCTGACAATCACCTCCTCAGCAACACTGCCCTGATCTCCTATTTACAGGTCAGCCCCCACGGCCCCCAGGCATCCCAACACCCCTTATCCGGGCCCATCTTTGTTCCCAAATAATATGAGCATACATGTCACTGCTTCTCTGTAATATTTATTATCGTCCTGATGCGGTGGCTCACACCTGTAATCCCAGCACTTTGGGAGGCCGAGGCGGGCAGATCACCTGAGGTCGGGAGTTCAAGACCAGCCTAACCAATATAGAGAAACCCCATCTCTACTGAATATACAAAGATTAGCCAGGCATGGTGGCGCATGCCTGTAATCCCAGCTACTCGGGAGGCTGAGGCAGGAGAATCACTTGAACCCGGAAGGCGGAGGTTGCGGTGAGCCGAGATTGTGCCATTGCACTCCAGCCTGGGCAACAAAAGTGAAACTCAGTCTCAAAAAAATGTATTTATTTATTATCTGCCTTTCCGGATTAGATGCGCACTCCACACTGGCAGTAAGTTTTGTTCCATTCACCAGTGTGTCCTTAGTGAACCCCCTAACATTTACTGTGAGTTCACAGGAATGTCGTGCGCTGTTCATACAGTTTATCTCATTTCGATCGTCAGAACAACCTGTGATTTTGGTATCATTCACATGCTACAAGTGAAAAGGAACGCGTCTTTGACAGATCAAGTAAGTTGTCACAGCCCGCAGCTGCAAAGTGAACCATATGGCCAACCGCGATGTATCCAAACGTGACTGATAGCGGAAAGCCCCTGGAAGAGCGCTGGAGCTCGATGAGTGTCACGGGAGTGTTGGTTAAACAAACTCCACCTGGTTCTGTGCTCATTCATTCAGCACCGTGTGCAGAGCTCCCAGATGCACAGACGCCATGCCCGGGGCTGAGCATGCACTTGCTCTTCAGCGGCTCGTGGTGCAGTGGAGGGGACAGACGAGGTGGTGACCATCCCAGGGAATGCCGTGACAGAGGCCCCCTCGAGGTGCAGCGGGGGACTGAAGACACACGCTCAGTGAGCTCTGCGGGCTCAGGAACCTCCCTTTAGGGGTGGATGCCAGGCTGGGTGGTATAGGGAAGGACAGACAACCAGGCAGGGGAGACCATGGGTGCAGGCAGGGAGGCCAATGATCCAGGGAACCACAGGAGCTGATGGTGCCTTTGCTGGGACCCATATTGTCCAATCTGGAAGCCAGTGGCCACACCTAGGTATTTAACACATTTAAACTTTTCAGTTACTTGAAATTATATAAAACTCAAAATCCAGTTCCTCCTTTGTTCTGACCACATTTTGTGTGCTCCCTAGGCACCTGCGGCCTCCCTGCTGAGCAGCACAGGTGTGGAACAGGCCTGTCGTCAAAGAGGATTTGACTGGACTGTGCTGGAAGAGCTCCGAAAAGATTACGACGCAGAGCTCACCCACCACCGTCGCCCCCACCATGCAATGCAGAATTTGAAACGGTGCTAAACCGCCACACAGACACACAACCTACCGACTGGCTGGAATTAAAATCGCGTCTTCACAGAGCTCGTAGCAGCATCGCGGCGTGCTCATCAAGGCTGGGTGATGCTGACTGCGCGCTGCCCTGTTTGCTGTGCCACAGCACAAGCCTGGCTGGGCATATATATTTATTATCTGCCTCTCCTGATTACATGCACACTCCACACAGGGAGGCTGTGGGTCGAAGGGTGTAGATGCTGAGGCTGCAGCGTGGGCGGGTTACAGACTAAGCAGCCTGGCTGTGGCCTGTGGGTCTCACCAAGTCCACGGGCTCCCCCTGCACACACCCCTTCATCATTGTCCTCTGCTCCACGCAAAATCACGCAGTGCTGGGCCAGTCACGGGCACACAGCAGAGGCTTGCCGACTGTGTGATACGCTAAGTCACTACAAAACACTGGATACACCAGCGGTTCTCTGGAAACAGCTTAACTTTTTCCCCATCAGCTCCAGCAAGCTCACTATGCCCCGGTACAGAGCGCTCAGGCATTTTGCCTAAGTAATTAATGTAATGTTCCCTCCCAGCCACCCCCCTGTGGTGGGAGAAGCCAGGGGTCCTGGTAACGTGGGGCATGACCCACTCCATCTGTATTGATCGGCTTCCCTGGGAAGCAGAGGGCACGGGAGGTGCAGGCTGGCCTTTTGTGCATACAGTCTTTCATCTTTTCCTTTGGTGTGCCTCCGATAACCTACACAGAGCATTCCATCTTACATGCATATACCAGAGGCTGTAAATTCAACAGAGAAAGAGATCAAAAGAAAGAGAAAAGCATTTATACCCTTTCTCAAGGTACCAGCAGCCTCCACACTTCACTCTGTGTAGCCCCACCCCACTGAAGCTCACATTCAACTTAGTAAAACACTTCAATTTGACCCAGCAATCCCATTACTGGGTATATACCCAAAGGAATATAAATAGTTCTACTATAAAGATACATGCACGCATATGTTCATTGCAGCACTATTCACAATAGCAAAGACACGGAATCAACCCAAATGCCCATCAATGATAGACTGGATAAAGAAAATGTGGTACATATAGACCATGGAATACTATGCAGCCATAAAAAGGAATGAGATCATGTCCTTTGCAGGAACCTGGGTAGATCTGGAAGCCATTATCCTCAGCAAACTAACGCAGGAAGAGAAAACCAAACACCACATGTTCTCACTCATAAGTGGGAGCTGAACGATGAGAACACACGGACGCAGGAAGGGGAACATCACATACTCCGGCCTGTCGGGGGTGGGGGGAGGAGGAGCATCAGGACAAATAGCTAATGCATGTGGGGATTAACACCTAGGTGATGGGTTGATCTGTGCCGCAAACCACCATGGCACACGTTTACCTACGTAGCAAACATGCACATCCGCACATGTATCCCAGAACTTAAAATAAAATTTAAAAAAAAACACTTCAACTCAGTACTTCAAAAACAAAAAAAAAGGGAAAAGAATGCTCCCTCTGGAAATGTTTCTCTTTGGGAAATAAATAAAAGCTCGTCTTCAGAAAACATTAGTCAGTGTAGCGATGCCATCTACAGCTGATGCCGCCAAGCAGACAGGCCCTTTCCAGGATCCGTCTCGCTGCGACAGGCACCACCCGAGGTCAACAGGCAGGCTGACTCATCAAACCTGTTATTCAAACTAGGTGAACCCACTTTCCTTAAGCTCATTACAAATATTTTTGAATATATTTATATATATTTGAGGTGCCATTTGTGGTACCTCAAAAAATCATAACAGTTTTCAAGACTAAGTTTGTGTTTCCAAATGAAATCGAGCATTTGGAAACATCTGGTTTGGGGGGGGGTTTTGGTTTTGTTTTTTTTTTTGGAGACAGAGTCTTTCTTTGTTGCCCAGGTTGGAATGCAGTGGCACGATCATAGCTCACTGCAGCCTCAAACTCTTGGGCTCAAGTGATCTTCCCACCTCAGCCTCTGAGTAGCTGGGATTACAGGTGCGCACCACCACACCAAACCATATTTTTACTTTTTTTGTAGAGACAGGGTCTCACTATGTTGCCCGGGCAGGTCTTGAACTCCTATTTTCAAGTGATTCTCCCACCTGAGCCTCCCAAAATGCTGGGATTACAGGCATGAGTCACAACACCTGGCCCGAAACATCTGCCTTAATTGGCAGAAATGAATTTAACTTGGGGTGAAAAATTCTCCATAGCCTTTGTCCTTAGCCTTCCCACAAATCGATGTCCACTCACTGACCCCCATGCCTGCAAGCTTCTCTAGAGAACAGGAGTTGTAAAGATACCTTTTCAGCAGCTTCCAAGAAATATTTCCTTAAACTGTTTTTATTATTCTCTTGGCCAAGCTCCATTTGTAGTTAAGACCCTGCTACTCAAATGTGTTTAAAATGTGTTACCTTGAGATAAACGCAAAACAAACAGACCCTTGTAAAATCCTACAGAGGAGCCACCATAGAGATAAGTTTCAAAGGCACATTGGCCTCTGGTTGAATAAACTGCTTCCATTTCATAGAAGCAGCAGGGGTGGCAAAGTGGTGGCAGGGGTATAAAATTCAGCCACCGTTTGCTCTGCAGCCACTCATATCCTTTTCTACTACTTTGTCTTTAGGCAAAAAAGACAGACCTTTAACTAAGAGAGATGTCCCACCACAAGGTGCTGGGTACGAGGCTCACATGGTTTGGTGCTGGCAGTGGGTGTCTAAGTGTTCCATGGTTGCACTGACGTGGGAACCACTTGCTATACATGGTATTTAAATTTAAATCTAATGACATTCAAAATCCAGTTCTTCAGTCATATGAGCCACATTTTACATGCTAGGAAGTTACATGTGGCTGATGGCTACTATACTGAACAGAACAGAAGAGATTTTCCATCATTACAGAAAGTTCTGCCAGACAGCACAGGTGTGTGGTTTTACAAAGCATGTTTGTGCATGTTATAGAAAAGGATCCATTATTTCAATATCCTTTCTTATTAATGACCTTAGAGGTAATATCAATTTTTAGTAGTGATCTTAGAAATTTTCAGTAACCATTCATCAACATAGGAAACCCTCAATGACACTGCAAAACCATCTATTTGGCTACTTACCATTGAAGACCTACTGTGCACCAGGCAGATACTGTTTCTGACATAGAGTCTTTTTTTTTTTCCAACTTTTAAGTTCAGGGGTACATGTGCAGGATGTGCAGGTTTGTTCCGTAGGTAAACGTGTGCCATGGTGGTTTGCTGCACAGATCAACCCATCACCTAGGTATTAAGCCCAGCACCCATTAGCTATTCTTCATCACTGATGCTCTCCCTCCTCCCGACTTCCGACAGGCCCCAGTGTGTGATGTTCCCCCCAACATGTCTATGTGTTCTCCCTGTTCAGCTCCCACTTATAAGCGAGAACATGCAGTGTTTGGTTTTCTGTTCCCATGTTAGTTTGCTGAGGATGATGGCTTCCAGCTCCATTCATGTTCCTACAAAGGACATGATCTCATCTTTTATGGCTGCATAGTATTCCATGGTATATACGCACCATGTTTTCTTTATCCAGTCTATCATTGATGAGCATTTAGGTTGGTTCTATGTCTTTGCTATCATGGATAGTACTGCAGTGAACAGGTGCATGCATGTGTCTTTGTAACAGAATGATTTACATTTCTTTGGGTATATACCCAGTAATGGGATTGCTGGGTACAATGGTATTTCTGCCGCTAAAACCACCTTACAGTGCAGGCACTATGTTTCCATACTCCCCATGGAAAGTGAACTCATGTCTTCCTCTGACTCCGAAGCTAGTGCTCTTCCATCACACTGGGGGTCGCAGCATTGCCAGGCCCCCCAGTAATAAACACTTTGCAGGTCTATATCCCCTCGCCACTGCAACACAAAGCAGCTTCAGACGTTACATAAGTGAATGAAGGCACCTGTGTTCCAGCAAAACTTTATTTATGGACACTGAAATTTGGATTTCATACCAGTTTTATGTGTCAAGAACTATTCTCTTTCGAGAGTAGGGTGACTGCAGGCTAGAAGAATGGATTGTACTCAGGTAATGGACACCCTAAATGCCCTGGGCTGATCACCATCCATCATATACACATAACACACTTTCACATATACCCAATACATTTGTAAAATAAAAATTATATATAAAAAAAGAATATCAGGGGTTCTTCATGCTGTAACATAGGTTCTGCTGCAGGTGGCGCCTTGAAATTAGTCCGTATATCTCATCAGCCACTAATTCCTAAAGCATCCACTCATGACTAGGAATGTGCTAATTACAAATGACCTGCCTGCAGGGCCTTGGCGTAAACACTTCCGCCCTGTGGTGAGCAGGATGTGCTAATTACAAAGAACTGCCTGCGGGGCCTTGGAGTACACACTTCCACCCTGGGTGAGCAGGGTGTGCTCCAGAATGCATGCTCTCTAATCCTGAGACCTATGTATTTCTCACCATATATGCAAAGCAGAATTTGCAGACATAACGAAGCCACAGACCCTAAGACGGGCCTGGGTAATTCTGGACGATCTGGGTGGGCCCAGCATCATCACACAAGGCCTTAAAAGCAGGCGACTTTCTCTGGCTGCAAACAGAACTGTGGAGCAGAAAAGGAAGTCAGAAAGAATCCAAGTGTGACTTTGAATCAGGCTTCAAAAGAAAGAAGCCACATCATGGCTGAGCTCTGAAGTTCAGGGCTCATGGGCAGAGACTTGAGAGAGGCCTTGGGAGGTCAGGGCAGCCCCTGCTCAGTCCCACCAGCTGAAGGAGCTGGATTCTGCCCACAACCCCAACAAGGCAGAAGAGGATGCTCCCAGAGCCTCTGAGGGGGAACCCAGCCCACCTGGATTTTGATTTCAGCCTCATGAAACCCAGAGCAGAGGGATCCAATGAGCCTACCTGGAGGTCTGCCAAACAGACCATGAGATCAGAAATCTGCATTCTGTAAGACACTAAGGACCTGTAATAACAGCAACATGAAACTATAATACACACCTAGAGCTTTTCATCCAAACTTCTCAACAACCAAGAAGAGTTATCAGTCACCACCAAAGTGAAAAGCATCGTCGGAGAGGTGCTAAGAGGTTTAGGCTGAGAGGGGCAATGACCCTTGACAGCTTCCCAAAGCAAAGACTTGCAGCATCTTTTGTGCCCAGTTCACAAGCCCAGGACACTTAACCTGAATTCCAGGGAACAGCCCCAGCACTGGTCTGTTTCTCTGGGAATACTCATTCTTTTCCCTCCAGCAGATGGTCCTGGGCCCCAAGCATTTCTCCTAGAACATCAAGCTCCTCTTGTTTCACAGCAGATCCAGCCCAGGCAGCAGCCCCCACAGGCCAAGCTTAATTAAAGCCTTCCCTGAACCCCTGCTTGAGGCTTTTCTGCCAATGACCCAGCAGCTAAATGCTTGCGTGCATTGAGGTCAGATGCCTGGCATGGTTTTCAAAACATGTGTGTACCATGAGCCAGGAGCAGAAGGAAGGGAACTGATGTCTCTAAGCATGAACTCTATAGCTCCATATCTGTTCCCGTATCTCCCGTACTCCAAGCCTTGGAGTCACACATTATTATACCCATTGCTAAGGAACTCAGAGACGGGACGGAGGCTCTCACCCAATGTCATTCAGCTAATGAACAGGGAGGGGGACGGGTTGTGAATGCAGATGAGTCCGACCCCAGGCCTATGCTGTTTGAAACCACAGCCCCTCTCACTTTATTATGAAAAAAACAGTGTTAGATATAAGTCCTAAATTTCTCTTCAAAGAATCAGTATGTCAGTATGTTCAATTATTTGCCTTCTACTTTTAACTTAACTTCCTCATAAAGCAACCTTTTTTGATCACCTGCTCCACCCTGACTCATTCCGATCACCTGCTCCACCCTGACTCATTCCGATCACCTGCTCCACCCTGACTCATTCCGATTTCCTGCCCCACCCTGACTCATTCCGTTTTCCTGCTCTGCCATAACCATTTTTCCCACCAAACCACTCACCCCATCACTCTCTTTAAATCAGCCAATCAGAATTAGTTTAGCCTGTGCGGTCTAACCCTAGCCAATAGGGGAATGATACAGCAGCAGGGGCCACGTGCGTCAGGAATAAGAACCCCGTCCCCTCCCTTGTCCAGGTGTGCGCCATTGCTCCATCTGTGAGGGCACACCCTTCTATAGCAGTAAATGGTCTTGCCGAGAAGAAAAAAAAAATTGATATTCAAGGGCTGTTTCTTTGGCGGCACCGAAACTTTATTTATAATAACAGTAAAGGCAGCATCATCTCCCCAAATATCGCAAAATTTATTCTCTGTGTTCTCCCAGTGTCTTAGCCTATTTGTGTCGCTGTGAAGGAATGCCTGAGGCTGGACAATTCATTAAAAAAAGGGGTTTACTTGGCTCATGGTTCTGCAGGCGGTACAGAAAGCACGGCGCTAG
This sequence comes from Homo sapiens, assembly GCF_000001405.40. Taxonomy (NCBI): domain Eukaryota; kingdom Metazoa; phylum Chordata; class Mammalia; order Primates; family Hominidae; genus Homo; species Homo sapiens. The sequence goes on along the minus strand of NC_000002.12, from coordinate 3,660,314 downwards.
CATATGCTTCCAGCGAGGGCCTCAGGCTGCTTCCACTCCTGGTAGGAAGTGAAGGGAGCCGGCGTGCAGCCACCACAGGGCAGAAGAGGAAGCGTGGGAGGGACGCCAGGCTCCTCCTAACAAGCAGCTCTCACCAGACTAACAGAGGAAGAACCGTCTCACCACCTCCAGAACGGCACCAAGCCATTCATGAGGGATCCGCCCCCATAACCCAGACTCCTCCCGCTGGGCCCCACCTCCAACACGGGGGATCTGATTGCACCATGAGGTTTGGGGGGACAAACATCCAAACCATAGCACCCCACAACCTCAAAGGCTGTTATGTGAAAAGTCTCCCCACCCCTAAGATAAAAAAATGTGAGAAAGGAGAGACCGTTTAAAGCTGGGCCTCCAGGCCACAGCACAGGCCCAACCAGTGTCTGCTGTGAAAGGGCCGTGACATTTGTCTTTCCTAAGTTTCTCTCCTCAGCCACAAATCCCAGAAGTATCCACAGTGGCCTGTGCTGTGCAGGGCCCCGTGGAGGTTCCCGAGAGATTCCAGGCAGCCAAGAGCTGGCGGTATAAGGGGCCGTTCTCAGCCCTGGTGGAGGTCACAGCTCCACGACTCTTGCGCCATGAGCTTGCTGAGCTCTCTGCTCACTGGTCCCTGCCGTTTCTGTTGATAAAATAGCCAAGGTCTAGGCAAGAAAGGAAGGAGCCACGCGACCTCGGCTGAGGCCACCAGCTCAGCAGCTCACAGTGCTCAGACAGCCTGTGGCAGCTGCTTCTAAGCTCATTGCTGCAACCCCTCCCACTGCCTGCTCAAGGGAGCTCTTAAATACATTTTCTGCTGTGGCTGAGACCAGACCCAGGGTCAGCTCTGATGTTTGAGGAACATGCTAAAGTTTTACCTGCAAATTTCAACTTAATCACCGCAAATGAGGAGCATTGTCATGGGTTACGGCAAGGCGATGAGGCAATGACTCTCTAAAATAGAGTCATGAAATTTCAGGCAGTCAAGTGGTGCTCACACTATTTTTTCTTTTGAGATTAGCCTTAAAATAAGAAAAGGCATGACCAGGCAAGTCTAGGAAGCACAAGAAAGAGAGACCTCCCTCTGACAAGCAGGGAAGGCTGTGCTGATGGAAGAGTTACTCCCTCGTAAAGAAGAAAACCTTCAGGGGCTTTGTCATCGCTGTCAATAAGTTCCGAAGAAGCCTTTGGCCAAAAGTATGAGATTTATGGTGAAATAATAAAAGTGGTTTGTTCAAATTTGGGACAAAATTAGAGTGACCTTGAGCAGGGACTCTGAGCAGCCCAAGGTCAACTGCACGAGACTCCTGACTACCGGCAACTCTTGGTATATATTTACATTTAGTTCTACTTTGTGACTCTTGTTTTGAATATAGGTTTACTTCACCATGGCCTTAGTTGTTTAGGTTTTTTTTTTTTTTTTTTTGAGACAGGGTCTCACTCTGTCATCCAGGCTGGAGTACAGTGGCATGATCTTGGCTCATTGCAACCTCCACCCCAATCCCATCCCGGGCTCAAGCAATTCTCCCATGTCAGCCTCCCAAGTAGCTGGGACCACAGGCACGCACCACCATGCCTGGCTATTTTTTTGATTTTTGGTAGAAATGGGGTCTTGCCATGTTGTTCAGGCTGGTCTCAAACTCCTCAACTCAAGCAATCCACCCACCTCGGCCTCCCAAAGTACAGGGATTACAGGCATGAGCCACCATGCCCAGCCTCTTTAGATTTTTTTTTAAGAAGGCCAAAGTCACATGATTTGAAACCAAACAGAGCAGTGACCAGAGCCCAGAAGCCTGACCCACCTGTGGGGCCCCTCCAGGTGTTTGGGCCACGCCCGGTACCAACACAGTTCAACGGCACAAAGTGGTGTCTGTCACCATCTACCCTCTGTCACCTTCCAAGTGTCGAGGGTTCGTTGCATGACTGAAATTCATCTCTGTCACCCTATTCTTTTGGCAAAGCCCACCTTAAAGATAGCAAGGTATTTATAAACCACACTCCAGCTCACCCAGCAGTCAGAAATCAAGTATTCATAAATGGATCTCTTGCTCCCCAGAAGCCAGCCAAGGTCCCACGGTGCTTGAGTGCCAGCTCAGAGAGAATGTATAGGGGCCTGAGGTAGAGACAGAACTTTGCAGAGATTGGCTGTGCCTGTATGATGTCACAAGGGTTGCAGAGAGGTGGAAGTAACAGGGGGAGCAGCCCCTCCCCGGAGAAGCCAAGCAGGCCTCTGCAAGACCCTCGCACAAGGCCCGAAGCCAGACATGGTCCCTGCTGGTCCCAGGGCCCTTCCCTGTCCCTAACAAAGCTGCCTCCGGCCACTGGCCTGGGCCTGAAACCCCCACCTTCCTGGTCCGGCCAGTAACCTGACTTAAAGTTTTATCTCTAGACGTCACCTATTCACTAATCATCATTAACTCAGAAAACACTGAGCACACCCAGCAGTGGGTCCTGACCTACTAGAGAAGACAGGGGCCCTTGGGAGGGTTTGGCTAGAGCCCCTCAGCCCCAGAAAAAGTAAATACACACAAAATTTTCATGGAATTTAAAGAAGCCCACAGATGCTTAAGAAAGGGCACCTTGCCAAGTGGATGCTAGGCCTGTGGCATACAAAACAACACGTGCCGCCTGCCTTCAAAGGCCCCACTGTCTGCAGAAGAACTTTCCATGCAGAAAGAAACAGCTGAGCCCGGCTTCGACATGCAGTAACAGACGTTGCCTTGCTTCACCACAGCCACCCTGCGGGGCAAGCTATCCACTCTGCAGATGAATCAGCTGGGGCCTTGAAGGCAGGAAAGCCACCCGAGGTCACCTGCGCAGGGAGGGACTGAGCTGGAACCAGAACCCAGCACAGCAGATGGCGCGCACAGGGGCCCTTGGGGCTCCAGAAAGACAACCTGCGTCCCAGGGAGATCCATCACCCACACGCTCCTTTTTCCTTCCTGGGTTTTCTTTCCCCAGGGCCTGACCGGCCTTCTCCTCCTGAACTCCAGCTTTCCCAGAGGAAAGCAAAGCCATTTGAAAGGCCGGCTCAAGGCCACCTCCAACTGAGAACCCCACCCCCAACCCCAGCCCGTCTCTCAGCCCCGCCACCCAGCCGTAGTTAGGATGCGTCCAGCGCCTGTTGTCTGATCTCAGCTCGCCCGGCCTTTGAGTCCATGTTTACACATCTGTCTGCCCATCCAGATGAAATTCTTTAAGAACGAAACCACATCCTATGCTGCCTTCCATAGCTGACTGTATTTTAATGAATTAATGCACGTGGCTTCGTCCCTGGCAGTTCTTGTCAGCCGTGACTTCCCCGCCACAGCAGTGCAGTGCCCCCGCTCGCCGCCTCGGATCAGTCACAAAGCTCACGGTGCGGAGAACAGAAGGGCCTATTTTTATCCTCGTGGTTTCGCTAAGCCTAGGCTGTGGCACCGATAAAGCCATGGAAGAAGGCACCCTGACCCCTGCCCTCCACACCCTGACCTCTGCCCTCCACACCCTGACCCCTGCCCTCCACACCCTGACCTCTGCCCTCCACACCGAGCTGGCTCCTACAATCTAATGTGCTTCCAAATCACCTACGAGCTGGTTAAAGTGCAGATTCTGACGCTGCAGATTTGAGATACGGCCTGAGGCTTGAGATTTCTCCAAGCTCCAGGGCGATGCTGGGGCTGCTGGGCCATGGCCAGAGGTTGAGCACAGGGCTCTGCCAGCTAGCTGCCCCATCCGACGTGGCAGCCACTAGCTATGCTAAATTCAATACTTCTCTAACGCTAAAATCAACTTAATTTAGTGAAGTTAAAAGTTTGGATGCTCTGTCTTATGAGGTAAGTTTCTAGTGCCCAACAGCCACATGCGGCAGAGGCGACAGGCTGGGCTGCACAGCTACAGAACTTTCCATCGTGGCACAGCAGACGTCCTGTGGACCCATCTGTGGGGCGGGAGGAGAACAAGAGCTGGCAGAGAGGTGGTCCCAGAGCAGTGGCCTGAGCCAGACGTGAGGCTGTTCTCGGAGCTCCGTAGGGGCTTCAACCCTCCTGCCTTGGTCCTGCCAAGACATGAGGATTCTCATGGAAAGGGCTGGAGCACCCTCAGAATAATGCCGCCATCCCCGGCCTCCCTGGGCTCCCAGGAGGCAAGGAGATCAGCCTGCGATGATGGAGGTGCTGGCTGCCTGGACGGGCTCCTCCCGACCCCTGCGCAGCCCCTGGCTGAAGTGGGTGTCCCGCTCACTAGGTGGGGACCTGATGTTGAGGAAATGTCCACTCTTCAGGCACAACAACCTCCCACCTCTTCCTCCCCCCGCCCCATTCCACTGGGAGCTCGCTGGCTCTGCTGACAGCAGGCTACCCACATCCCCCACCGGAGCGGGCAACAGGCTTTGCAGCGCTCCAGCAGAAGCACAGGGCAGCGCTTAGGGGCTCCAGCAGAAGCACAGGGGCAGAGCTCAGGGGCAATGCTCGAGGCTTGTCTTATGGCTCCAGCTGCAAGAGGCCAGTGGTTTCCTTAATGCTGTCCCTTTAATTAGGCAAATACTTAAAACTTGTCATTCTAAGGCTGGGCACAGTGGTCCATGCTTATAATCCCAGCACTTCGGGAGGCTGAGACGGGAGGATCCCTTGAGCCCAGGGGTTTGAGACCAACCTGGGCAACACAGTGAGACCCCATCTCTGAAAAACAAAAGTTTTTTAATTAGACAAGCATGATGACACACACCTGTATTCCCAGCTACTTGGGAGGCTGAGGTGGGAGGATCGCTTGAGCCCAGCAGTTCAAGGCTACAATGAGCTGTGATCGCACCACTGCTCTCCAGCCTGGGCAATAGAGTGAGACCCTATCTCAAAAAACAAACAAACAAACTAGTCATTCCTTTGACAGTCACATAAACTGTGCATGTTTTCCATGTTGCCCACCCTCATACAACACTCCTGGGACACATGTGCCAGCCTGGGTAGGGCAACTTCAAGGTGCTGGGCCCCCTCCACCTGCATCCACGCCCCATTCTTCTCCCCGAATGTGGGTGGAGCCCAGTGGCTCACTTCTGGTGAACAGGACACAGCAAAGGTGATGGGTGTCACTTTCCAGGTGAAGTTCCGGAAGCCTGTGACTTACGTCTTGACCCCTGCCCCTGCCTTTTCTCCTTTATTGCCCTGAAGGAGCAGCTGTCATGGTGCAACCTGCCCTGCAGAGAGGCCAGCAGCCAGCACGGAGCTGACCCCACCAGTGACCTGGGGAGTGCACGAGGAAGCAGTTCCTGTCCGCAGAGGGAGGAGAGTAGCCCACGGACACCTCGACTGCAGGCTGAGAGAGGGTCCAGGGAGCGGCTCAGGCACTGACCACAGACACAGGGAGGTCACGGATGCTGCTTTAAGCCTCTAATTCGTGCTAACTTGCTGTGCCGCATTACACAGCCAATGCAAAGCGCTTCTTTATCCATGGCAACCTTCGCCTGAAAACAGTCATGCGGTCCTCTTTCTGCGCCTTCCAGGCAGAGTTGCAAATGCCCTGTCTGTGACACGACCCCAGGGAAATGGGGCATGAAGTCCAGAACTGACTGAGAATACGTTTCTTCCACTCAGCTGAAGGGAAACACGCAGAAAAGACAGTCACGTTTCCTGCACACCTGAGGGTTCACTGAGAGTCACACGCACTGACTGTGTCATCCCAGAGCTTCTGGCAGTGTCTGGCTCGTGACAAGTGCTCAGGGAGTGTGTCTTGAGCTCTTCAGCTTCCATCAGATGATAACCTGAATGTGTGGGTCAGATGAACTAGCTTTCATCTAGAAAAAGCACAACCCTAAGGAGCAAGCTTGGGCAGCCTCCTAGACGGCCCCAGCAATCCTCACCTCCTGGCACTCATACGTTGGTAAATCCCTTCCATGCTGAGCAGGACCACCCAGTGCAACCAGCAGGGCCTTACAGAAATGGCAGAGCGTGGTTCCGAGGCTGCGCCATCAAAGCCACTGCAGCCGTTGCTTTTCCTCCCGTGTGGGGGATGCAGCCACAGTCGCAGTCCACCGCCTCTCCTCACGCTCACACCTCTTTACAATGTGACTTTGCAGGTTCTCCCATCAAGGGCTCTTGGATCACTCACATGGAGGGAAGCCAGCTGCCTTGTCATAGGGTCATGCAGCAGCCCTCTAGAGAGGCCCACATGGCAGGATCCAAGTCCTCCTGCCAACAGCCAGCAATAACTCGCAGGCATGTGAGCAAACCACCTTGGCAGCTGATCCTCTGGCCCAGTCAAGCCTTCAGATGAGACCGTGGCACCAGCAGATATCTTGAGTGCAATCTCTTGAGACTCCTTGAGACAGAACCACCCAGCAAAGCTGCTCCCAAGCTCCTGGGTCACAGGAACCATGCAAGCTAAGATCTATTAATCGTGGGATAATTCGTTACACAGCCATAGATGATAAACCCCAGCAGGGAAGCCTGATGGGGGATGAGGGATGAGAAAGGCTTAGAATAAGACTGAGGGCTGCAGCACAGGGGTAGCAGGAGCGGGAAAGATACACAGGACATGTTGGAATAGGCTTGGCCCTCACCAGAGTCTTCCCTCAGCTCTGCCACGCACCATCATGGCCCACGGGATGAGGGAAACGAGGTGAGCTTGAGGTCATCAAGGATGAGCAGAGCATCTCGGTGTGGTCTGGCAGCACCCTCGTGGTACCTGAGCCCAAGAGCAATGCCAGAAACTGTCTTCTCGACACCCACTGCTGCCACAATCCCCCAACAAACTGTGATGGAATTTTTTAGCAGAAGGACCTACCCCAGCTCACAGTGCCTGACACACCTTCAGGGAAAGCGGCAAGGGCTGGATCGTAGCTGGCAGGACGCAGGTCCACTTGGGCCACCAGGCCTTCAGTTCAACACATGCCCAGTCCTTGCCGGTCACCTGGAGTGGCCTTCCCTCTCCTCTCCAAACCCTGCCACAATGGATGTCTGTCCTGATTCTGGCCACATCTGAACTTCCTTCACACAAGTGGCAAACTGCAAACGTGGCCACAGTCCCTCACACCCCTGTGCAATGGAACTCCACAGCTTCTCCCATCATGGGCAGAGTCTATTTCCTGACCCCTGGGCTCACCTCATGACCAACTTGGGGCACAGAAGGAGACAGAGTGATGCTCCAGCTCTGAGTGGAGGCTTCGGGGGGCCCCGTGTGCACCCACTCTTTTTGAAGCAGCGCCAAAATGCTGCTGCCACCCTGCAGACATGTTCAGGCCAGTTACTTGAAGTGAGAATCTGCAGGCTGCAGACAGGCCTCCCAGCTGATGCACTGGAGACCAGCCACCCCACCAGCTACCCAGAGACACCAGAGTGAGCCCAGCCAAGACCATAACAACTGCCCAGCTTAGCTCAGTCCAAATTGCTGACTACAGAGTTAAGATTAATGGTTAAATGGATGGTTATTATTTAAAATCACTAAGTTTTGGCCAGGCGTGGTGGCTCACGCCTGTAATCCTAGCGTTTTGGGATGCTGAGCCAGGCTGATTGCCTGAACTCAGGAGTTCAAGACCAGACTGCGCAACACGGTGAAACCCCATCTCTACTAAAACACAAAAAATTAGCCGGGCATGTGGCACACGCCTATAGTCCCAGCTACTTGGGAGTCTGAGGCAAGAGAATCCCTTGAACCGGGAGGCTGCAGTGAGCCGAGATCACGCCACTGCATTCCAGCCTGCTAAACGAGCGAGACTCCATTTCCAAAAAAAAAAAAAAAAAAAAAAAAAAATCACAAAGTTTTGGGGTGGTTTGTTACACAACAAAAGCTAACTGATATACGCTGTTTGGGATATCTCCATCCTTAGGAAACACATTTTCTTCCCACCATAGAAATGGAAAAATATGTGCTTCCCAGCCTCCTTTGTATCTAAGGCATGGACGCCTACAAAGCTTCCATGTAGAATTGTGCGGATTGTAGCTCTATGAATAGTGGCTCTGGATTTGTGCAGTGCACAACCTGTGCAGGCCCACAAAATGGCCCCGAGCTCTAGGTACCAGACAGACCGGCCCCCAGGCTCTGCACAGGAAGCTAGTGAAATGCAAACACAGCAGCACAGCCGCTTCCATAGCAACAGCGGGCAGCCTAGCAACCACCCGCACCTGCTGCTGGCAGCCGAGGGGCCCTTGCAGGTCGTGGTGGGCGGCACAATCCATGGGCTTTGTTCCCTTCCACACGCACCGAGGCGGGGCTCCGGGCCTCCCAGAATTCCTGCGAGCTCCCAAAACGCTTTCAACAAATTCCCTTTGTGCTTAAATTAGCCCGACTGCGATTTTCCTGCTTGCAACTAAGAAACGTGTGGTTCTTGGTTCCGAACTGCTGAGCTGAGCCGGGTTGCGTCTGGTGACCTCAGCCCTCACCGGCCACAGACCCTGATGGGCCCACAGGGGAAGCGAAGGGCACGGTTTCCATGCAGTGACCTTGAGTTGCCTTCTACGGCGTGGGCAGAGCGCGAGAGCAGTTTCAGGCCTAAGGGAGGAGCATCCGGATGAATAGCTGCCCGCGAATAAGGACGATTGAGAGCCACGCGACATCTGTCAGGGATCTCGTCCTGCCCCTGAAGAAACGCCGGGCATGTTTCCCGCCTCCCCGGCCGATGGAGCTCCGCATGGGGTTGGCCCAGCCTCCATCCAGAGTTCGTCTTTGCCATCAACGGCCAAAGTGACCTTTCTTTCTCCTGACTGCTCTTTCGGTCGTCAGGTCTACGTGGCTGCTGTCACCGCAGGGACACAACGTGGGTGCCACTGAGGATGAGAACTCACGCGGAGCGAGGCCGGGTGCTTTCTGAAGAGTCTGACACCTCGGCCTCTGCCTCCTGCTCCCGCCTGCTCTTTGTCCTTTCTACGCCTTTAACTCGTCTCCCTTCCTAACACACACACACACACACACACACACACACACACACACACACACACACACACACACACACACACACACACACACACACACACACACACACACACACACACACACACACACACACACACACACCCCCCCCACCCACCCACCCACCCAAAAAGAATTCCCGCAAGCATCGGCGGCCTGAGCGCCCTCCGTGGCTCTGCAAACCTCCCCGCGCCTGTGTGGGCGCCGCCGTCCTCGTCCTCTTTTCCCACTAGATGGCAGTATGGAGCCACGGATCCGCCGCCACCGCCGGGCAGCCCCAGGCTGTGTGTCTGCGCTCATCCATCTCAGCCCACGCTTCAGAGGGCTCTGAGAAATACACGCGTGCCAGCTCTCCGGTCATGCCTCAATGCAGCACCTAATAAATCCCGGCTCTCTCCTTAACCAAACCGTTTCCCTCCTACTTTGCAGATCAGATTCTGCAGTCTACACAATAGGTCTCCTCCTCGGAAGTTATGGGAATAAAATCAGGGTAATGGTTCTGACTTCAGGCCCAGTGTTTATAGCCCCTCACGTTTGCTTTAAAGCAAGCATAATCCTACACTGCTGAATTAACCAGGTACAAAGAAAGGCCCCGTGCGCCTTCACTGTGCCTGCTATTAACACAGACTCCCCTCCATGAAGCCTGGTGGAGGGTCTGCAGGGTGGGGACTGCGTGACAGTGGGTACCCACATGGGAGGGGTAGTGTGGAGGCAGAGGTGTTTGTACCCAAGCTCCTCGCCTGTATGGGAGTAAACTGAGCCCCAGACAAGTGCGAGACGCCCCAGGAGCAGAGCATCTGGAAGGGAGGTGCACGCACTGCTGACCCCCACAGAACTATGGGGCAGGTGGCTGCCAGGGCCCACATGTTCACCGGGCCGAGGGGCTTCAAGGTGCTGCTGGGGCTGGAGCTGCAGCTGCCCGCTTGCCCAGGCCTCACCAGGCTTCCACCTGACAGTCACCGTGGTGCGCTGTTTCTCTCACTCAGTAGCCAGCAAACAGCGCTCAGCATCAGTCCTGGCAAGGCAGGCTGCCTGGGTCAACTCAGGGGCCATCAGCCCGGTGGCCGGCCACAGACAGGGAATCCTGGCTGCCCCGAGAGCCCTGTGGATGCCACTCCGGCCCCCAGGAGGAGCAGTGGGAGCTCCTGCAGGAACCTGGAACAGGGCTTTGCTATCTAATTCCCTAAACCCCAGAACCCAGAGAGTGTTCCCTCCTCCAGGAGGTGTCCCGGCTTCCTCTGCCCTCTCAGCCAGCGCTGCCCTCTTCCCTTCCAATTGAGGGCACTGTGCAGCCAGTGCCGAACGGCTCTTGTTTTCTGCAAGAATCAGACATAAGAGGGGAGAAAGGGGTGAAGACCCACAGATGACGGCTCCGTGCCTTCCAGGGCACTAATGCATCACGTCCAGTTCCTCACAGAACAAATTTGGAAAACGTCTTAGACGCTGCTGAACAGCTGTAGCTGGGGAAGCTACGGGCAGCAAGTCCTCGAATTGTTTCATCCAACCTTGCTTCGTTGTAACACTGATGAGGAAAAACACTGAATCCCAGCTGGGGCCGCTGTCTGTGGCGTCTGTTTGTTCTCCCCATGTCTGCGTGGGTTGTCTCTGGGCACTCTGGTTTCCTCCCGCGTCCACACGTGTGCACGTGAGTCCCTGGTGTGTCTGCCCGGTCCCTGTGTGAGTGCGGGTGTGTTGCCCTGCGATGGGACAGCGTCCTCTCCAGGGCTGGAGCCCACCCTGCACCCTGAGCTGCCAGGTCAGGCGTGGGCCACCCGCACCCCTGAACCAGAATCACTGGGTAACATGGATCTTATTTCTATTAATCTTTCTTAAATGTATGTGTAAACCACATTTACTTCAGTATTTAATATTAGAAGTGTTTGGGGGCCGGGCGCGGTGGCTCACGCCTGTAATCCCAGCACTTTGGGAGGCCGAGGCGGGTGGATCACGAGGTCAGGAGATCGAGACCATCCTGGCTAACACGGTGAAACCCCGTCTCTACTAAAAATACAAAAAATTAGCCGGACGTGGTGGCGGGCGCCTGTAGACCCAGCTGCTCAGGAGGCTGAGGCAGGAGAATGGCGTGAACCCAGGAGGTGGAGTTTGCAGTGAGCCGAGATCGCACCACTGCACTCCAGCCTGGGCAATAGAGCGAGACTCCGTCTCAAAAAAAAAAAAAAAAGAAGTGTTTGGGGTCTTTTTTCGAAGTCTGGTGATGACCCTGTGACCAGAATGACACCCTAGGCACTTCAGTCTTGCTCATTAACGCGCCCATTGTGGAACTGGTTTCATTAACTGCCATTTCACCCAAGCCTGCCATTTCCAAGAACCTATGACGTGTGTTGCCGTTTCTATGAACCCGTCTACGGCGTGCATGAGAACGTACTGTCCTGGGCTATGTTCACCACTGCCTGGCACCCAGGCTTCTCTACGGGGCCAGGTACTCAGTACTCAACACCCAGTACTCTGCCACGCCGACCGCCCTACACACATCGTGTCATGTAATCCTCACAAGGCCCCAGTGGGAGGCATGAAAATCATTCACTCCACCAATGAGGAAACTGAGGCTTAGGATGTTTCTGTAACTTCATGAAGATCACACTGTCACTTGAAGTCGTGTCCCAGCCTGGGACACAGCGGGTCGTGTGATGCGCTGGTGGAAGAGGCGGCCGTCTGCCCACATGGATTTGCAGGAGGACAGGGGTTGGTGTTGGAGCAGAGAATGGGGGGCAGTGGACAGCCTACAGCCCCGTGGACACTTGGACAAAGATGCTGTGGGCAGCCCTAGGGGAATGGAGGCCCAGCTGGCAGGCCTTCCCTGTGGCCAGGAGTCCGCACATGGAAGCAGAGTCTCCACCCACTCTGTGGGCAGCACCCCAGACCCTGCAGGATCCCCGAGGCCAGCAGCACCTCCAGGACTGGTGGACCTGGGGCAGCCAGGGAGGCTTTGTGGGCAGTGGATGCCGCCGTGCAGGTGAGGAAGAGCCAGCCAGCCTCACATGCACAGAGCTGACACCCTATGTGTGCACGAGAGCTTTGCCAGTGTCAGGAGCGTCTTGGCTCCCCCAGCCTGGGCAGAGCAGCCTCGAGCATGTGAAAGCCTCATCAAAGACAGATGGGAAGACATGCTTTCCTGTGTGACTGGGAGACGTGTCAGGGAGAAGCCACTCCACATAATGAATAAGACTCATCCATTAAAATAATTACCTCTGCTCCTTAATGGGGGGAGAAATGGAAAAGAGGACAAACCTCTCTAGGCCAAAGAGCTCTCCTGCTCCCATCCTGAGGGCCCAGACTCATCACTAGCACAGGAGTGGGAGAGGCTGCCAGGGCTGCCGGGCTCCCTGGCGCTGCTGTCCCCAGGACACCCACTGCCCATTGCCCCACACCTGCCCACTGCACCATCATCAGCAGAGCCTGGTCTCTCCTCTCCTGCCTGTAACTCACAGGCCCAGACTTGGCATTGGATTGGTTATCAAATTTGTAAGTGCAGCCATTCAACCTCCAGGTCTGTTTCTCCCCTACAGATAGGGTCTCACCGGCGCACATCAAGGTGCAGTCAAGGAGCCTGACCGCAGCTGGGTTGCGAGAGTGAAGGCTGAGACAACGCTAGTGTCCATCAGGAGAGGATGCGTTAGTGATCACCAGGGAGTGAAGGCTGAGACAACGCTAGTGTCCATCAGGAGAGGATGTGTGAGTTACCCCCAGGGGCATCAGGAGAGGATGTGTGAGCAACCCCCAGGGGCATCAGGAGAGGACGGGTGAGCGACCCCCAGGGGCATCAGGAGAGGACGGGTGAGCGACCCCCAGGGGCATCAGGAGAGGACGGGTGAGCGACCCCCAGGGGCATCAGGAGAAGATGGGTGAGCGACCCCCAGGGGCATCAGGAGAAGATGGGTGAGCGACCCCCAGCGGCATCGGGAGAGGATGGGTGAGTAACCCCCAGCGGCCACACTCTGGAATACTCTGCGGCAGGATGGGAGAAGCAGGCAGGCCCCATGGGCAGCATGGGAATTGCCCCAAGACAGGTTGCTGATGAAGAAGGTGAGAAAGAATGCCCACCCCCGAGGCATTCTCCAGATACGTTTTAATCGTGTGTGTATGTGTGTGTGTGTGAGTGTGTGCATGCTCTTGAAAAAGGCCTAGAAAGACTGACCCTCAACTAGAGCAAAGTTGACTGAAGTAAAGGAGGATTTTTGCTTCTTAGACGTATGTGTGTGTCGCGTTGAACATATTACCAATTACATTCACATGGTCCCTGTGTCATCACACGCGCAACCCCTGCAGCCTGTCTGGGGCCCTATATTTCAAGGCCACCTCAGCGAACCAGAGAGTTCAGAGGCAATGGGGGGATGAGGGGTGCGGGGGCTGAGGGAGTGGCTCTGCGTCCTCACGGGGATGATGGACAGCAGGGCACAGCCTGTGAGACCAGAAGTGGGGACCACTGAGGACTTGCCCATTCAGTGAGATGACCTGCTCAGTGACAACCCTCCCCACACACAGCCTGGCCCCCCAACACACAAACACAGCAGCATCCCCCAATTCTTCAGCTATACTCCAGGCATTGTTGGAACTGCCACACAGAAAACCATGGGTCTGACAGAGTCAGAAACGGAGAAATATTCAAACTGACTGCTTAGTAAATGAATGCATGGGTGAGCAGATAGAGGGGTGAGTTAATGGCTGCAGTAGCTTGTAAGCACCAGAAGGATATACGCACCAGTAGGAAGACTCCATCTCTCATACACAGAGTCTGCGCCAATGAAGCAAAAGCCTGGTCGCTCTGACGGGCTCCCTTCCAGCAGGCGAGGCAGCGGCACCTGCTTCTCCAGCTGTACATCATTCCCTGGAACCTGCTCCATGAAGACAAGGTGCTCCTCTTCCCATCCAAACAAACCAGGGACCACTCAGGTCCGGAATAAACTTGTTTGCTATGTCCTTCCAATGAGATGAGAATTAAATTCAAGGAGATATCAAGAAATTCCTGTCAAGAACTGTGAAAGGCCTGAGATTTTACCCTACTTACAGTCCCAGGTTCATGGGTGCTGGCTGAAGACATGAG